>NC_000003.12:46979696-47282727 GCF_000001405.40 Homo sapiens | reverse complement strand
TCTTTCTAGATCAATCGGCCCCATCTCTCGTCTTCCCGATTCGGCCATGACCTCACCCGTATCCTCGACGTAGGACCTCGGACTTCATTTCCGCCACCCCGACACTTCCGGAATCCCCGGAAGCGACCCGTTGCCATGGCGACTATGTACACAGCCAGGCAGCCCCGCGTGGGGAGTGCAGGTGGTTTCGGTTGCGGCAGTCGCGTCCCGGGAGCGTCGCTGCCTGGTGAACGGTGAGCAGGGGCTGCTCGCCGGTGGGAGTGGGGAGACGGGAAAAGGGTGTGCGCCCGGACTGCTGAAAGTGGCTGGGGTCCAAAAACCGCTTTATCTGGGGGTTCCCAGCTGGGTCGCTCATCTCTGAAACCCAGGCGAAGGAGGGCTCGACGTCGCGGGAGTCCTTTCAACCTGACCGCGGCTTACGGTCTTCGGAGCTAATGTTCATTGGTCCCACAAAGGGGTCCCACGTCGCGTCCAGGACATAGAGGCCGTGAGGCAGGGAGCCAGAGGTCGTCTGGACTCTTCCGTACTAGTCAGTTTTCGAACTAGAGGGGGCTTTGGGATCACCAGTCGGAGCCCTTCGTGTTACAGGTGAGGAAACCTCTCCAGAGAGGGACCGGAATGGGTCCAAAGCCCACTGCCGCCCAGGCTCCACGCGGGGGTCCGGCACATTGGGTGAGAAAAAGGAGAAAGTCTAGTTTTGCCTGCATCCTAGTCTTGTTCAGCCAAGGCCAGGTGCAGTTGGACCCAGTGTTTTGGATTCGGGTGTTGGTGCTGCCGCTACGGGTAGCTATGAGGGTTCCCCATGACAGCCCCTCATCTGGACGGGAGCACTGGAAGATAGGGACCCACCTGGTGCCTTCCACCCCACCAAACGCTCCCTTTCCTCTTGTCTAGTCTTCATGGCTGCTTGTTGCCAATTCTGTTCATTCCCACTAAAGACAAATGAGGAAACCTCGAGCGCCTTAACACAGAAGTCTCCTGGTGGCCATTCAGAGACTTGCTTTGTTATACCAGAAATATCAAAGGGTGGTTCCCCAAGGAGAGACATTCCCCACAAGGTCCTGAGGGAGAAAGGGAGGGGGCCGGGCGCCGTGGCTCACGCCTGTAATCCTAGCACTTTGGGAGGCTGAGGTGAGCGGATTGCTTGAGCTCAGGAGTTCAAGACCAGCCTGGGCAACATGGCGAAACCCTGTCTCTACGAAAAATACAAAAATTACCCGGGCGTGGTGGTGCACGCCTGTAGTCCTAGCTACTTGCGGGGCTGAGGTGGGAGGATCGCTTGAACCCAGGATGTGGAGGCTACGGTGAACCGAGATTGTTTCACTGCACTCCAGCCTAGGTGACAGAGTGAGACCCTGTCACAAAAACAAATAAACAAAAAACAAAAACAAAAACAAAAAAAGCGTGTGGTGAGGTGCTGGATGTGGATTTTTGCACCTGGAAACCAAGTGTCCTCCTGGAAGGGCTGTGGGCTTTGGTTGGAGTTGTCATGGAAGGGGAGTGACATCATATGCCCCTTGGGACTCTCTCAGTAGTGACTGAAGATAGACCCACATATGAAGATTCAGCTGCCCTCTGACTTCCAGCCATTACCATCACCAACCACCGCCATTTCCTGAATACCTACTCTGTGCTGGGCTCTGCCCTGGACATTGTGAGGGGATTCAAAAGAGATAAAAAGCACAATCCTTGCCTTCAAGCAGCTTGTAATTTAATTTTGGGAACTGAAACCCACTCAAATGAAGCGACGTAAGAATGGTAACAAGCAGTATTTCAGTAAGTGCAAGATGGCATGGGGTCCCTAAATGTTTGGGTGTTAAAGGGCTGCTGAGTAGCAGGCTCACAAGACGGGTGTGCAAAGGAAGACTTTATTGCAGGTGGATATGGCTCCTGGCCTGCTTGGAGCCATGGTGTCAGCATGGGAGGGCCTTGGGAAGCATACATGGGGTGACTGCGTGTGCATGTGCATGTTGGCAAATAGCAGGGCAGAGAAGGGCCAGGCTCTGGAGGGAGAGTGATGCTTTTGCTTATTTGTTTTGTTTTGTTGAGACAGTCTCACGCTGTTGTCCAGGCTGGAGAGCAGTGGTGTGCCATCACTGCTCAAGTGATCCTCCTGCCTCAGCCTCCTGGGAAATTGGGACCACACGCGTGCACCACCACACTTGGCAAATTTTTAAAATTTTTTGTAGAGACAAGGTCTTGCTGTGTTACCCAAGCTGGTTCCTAATTCCTGGCCTCAAGCGATCCTCCCACATTGGCCTCCCAAAGGCTGGGATTACAGGCGTGAGCCACCATGCCCAGCTGAGGTTGATGCTCTGAACTGGCCTGTGCTACTCTTGTGCAGGGGCTTCAGGGAGAGAGGCCTGGGCACCTGCTCCCAGAGCTCCCCTGCTTCTTCATGGTCCCTTTCGGAGCATACCCTGGATGGCATCTGAATTTCCCTGGGCAGGAGAATGGGCCCTTGGATGTGAAGAGTGGTTCCCCGGTTCCCCAAGCTTTAGAAATTGAGTGTGAGGCTGAGGTGGGTGGATTGCTTGAACCCAGGAGTTTGAGACCAGCCTGGGCAACATGTTGAAACCCCATCTCTACAAAATTGCAAAACGTTAGCCGGGTGTGGTGACACACACCTGTCCTACCACTACTCTGGAGGTTGAGGTTGAGGTGGGAGGATTGCTTGAGCCTGGGAGACAGGCTGCAGTGAGCTGAAATCACACCAGTGCACTCCACCCTGAGAGAGAGATCGAGACTCTGTCTGAAATAAATGTCTCAAAAATAATAAATAAATAAAATCTGGAATAACTTTTGTCAGGTAACACCCATTGGACCTCTCTTAGATAATTTTATATAAAATGATCCGCTGAGGTGGGCAGATCACGAGGTCAGGAGATCGAGACCATCCTGGCTAACACGGTGAAACCCCATCTCTACTAAAAATACAGAAAAATTAGCGGGGCTTGGTGGCGGGCGCCTGTAGTCCCAGCTACTCGGGAGGCTGAGGCAGGAGAATGGCGTGAACCTGGGGGGCGGAGCTTGCAGTGAGCTGAGATGGCGCCACTGCGCTCCAACCTGGGTGATAGAGCGAGACTCTGCCTCAAAAAAAAAAAATAAAATAAAATAAAATATTACCATTATTTAATGTACTTTTTAAAAAAGCAAGATAATCTAATTAAAAGTAGTCCCTGTTATACATGAGGGGTTTTTATGGTTAACATCTTAAAAGTTACTTAGATTTTTTGATTTTTTTTTTTTTTTGAGACTGAGCTTGCTCTGTCACCCAGGCTGGAGTGCAGTGGCATGACATTGGCTCACTGCAACCTCCACCCTCCAGATTCAAGCAATTCTCCTGTCTCAGCCTCCTGAGTAGCTGAGATTACAGGCGCTTGCCACTACACCCAGCTAATGTTTGTATTTTTTTTTAGTGGAAACAGGGTTTCGTCATGTTGGCCAGGCTGGTCTTGAACTCCTAACCTCAGGTAATCTGCCATCCTCAGCCTCCCAAAGTGCTGGGATTACAGGCAAGAGCCAACGCACTTGGCCCACGTTAGTTTTTTTTTTTTTTTTTTTTTTGAGATATGGTCTCACTCTGTCACCTAGGCTGGAGTGCAGTGGTATGATCAAAGCTAACTGCAGCCTCAGCTTCCCCAGGCTCAAGTGATTCTCCCACCTCAGCCTCCTGAGTAGCTGGGACTATAGGCATGCACCACCATGCTTGGTAATTTATTTATTTTATTTATTTATTCATTTATTTATTTTTTGGAGATGGAGTCCCTCTCTGTCGCCCAGGCTGAAGTGCAATGGCGCGATCTCAGCTCACTGCACCCTCCACGTCCCAGATTCAAGCGATTCTCCTGCCTCAGCCTTCTGAGTAGCTGGGATTACAGGCGTCTGCCACCACAACTAGCTAATTTTTGTATTTTTAGTAGAGATGGCATTTCACCATGTTGGCCAGGCTGGTCTTGAACTCCTGACCTCAGGTAATCCACCTGCCTCGGCCTCCCAAAGTGCTGGGATTACAGGCCTGAGCCACCGCACCTGGCTGCCTGGCTAATTTTTGTATTCTTTATAGAGATGGGTTTTCGCCATGTTGCCCAGGCTGGTTTCAAACTCCTGGCCTCAAGGGATCTGCCCACCTCGGCCTCCCAAAGTGCTAAGATTATGGTATGAGCCATTGCACCCAGCCAAAAGTTAGTTTTTTTTTAAAGCCAAGCCATGCGCCTGTAGTCTTAGCTACTTGGAAGGTTGAGATGGGAGAATCACTTGAGCTCAGAAGTTAAAGGCTAGCCTAGACAACATAAAGAAACCCTTGTCTCCAAAAATAAAACAATGAAATAAATGTTAATTTTTTAAAAAATATTGAACATCGGCTGGGTATGCCTGTAATCCCAGCACTTTGGAAGTCTAAGATAGGAGGATCACTTGAGGCTAGGAGTTCAAGACCAGCCTAGGCAACATAGTAAGACGCCATCTCTGCAAAAAAAATGTAAGAAAACTAGCCGGGCACAGTGGTACGCACCTGTAGTCCCAGCTACTGGGGAGGCTGAGGCAGGAGGATCACTTAAGCCTGGGAGGTCAAGGCTGCATTGAGCCATGATAGCACCACTGCACTCCAACCTGGGTGACAGGGTGAGACTCTGTCTCAAAAAAAAAAAATGTATGTATATATGTCCTATGTCTTCCTTTATTTATACTACTATATATATGTATATGCACACGCATACACACACACACACACACTGAAAGAAAATGATGAGAATATAGTTAGGTTTTAGGAGAGCAAGAGGAGGTAGGGGACTGTCTGTGATATTTTTTCTCAATATAGTAAGAGAAGAAAGAATATTTATTATGGACCAAATATACGTCTGGGTCATCTATTTCTGATCTAGTTAGTCTACTGGAGAAGAGGATGCTGTATCTGAAGCAAGATAAGTTAATGAAAAGAAAATTAGTTTTAATGTATTTCATAGTAAGTATTTTAGAAGAAAATATAATAAATGAAGGAAAGCATAAGTGGACTCATCATCTTAGTTGCAGAACATTTCTAGAAATGACATCTAAGATTAGGCCACTAAAGGAAGCATTCTTTTCACTTTGTATTTCAGTCTCTCTGGGGTCATTGGTGGAAAATGGCAAAGCAGTCTGTGAAGCAGAAAGTGCGTGTATTTGTTGAGCAGTGTCTTGTGGGTAGAACACTGAAATGCTGAGGGGTGAAAAGGAAAACTGGCTTTCAGGGAGAGAGGGAAAAATGGACTGCTCGTCACTCTTTTCTGATCTTCTTAATGAATGACCCCTCTCCTCTACTTGTTATTTGATAATGACTACTCAAAATTTCATTGTTCCCTTCTTTTTAGCTAGAATGGGTACTAGGAAAAAAGTTCATGCATTTGTCCGTGTCAAACCCACCGATGACTTTGCTCATGAAATGATCAGATACGGAGATGACAAAAGAGTAAGTGCGATGTGTTTGCCTTCAACTGACTGGGCCTCTCTGTCCCACCTTGCTATAGTGTGACCGTATTTCCAAGCAACCTTTGAAGGACCAAGACAGAATTGGACAGGATCCAATGGACTCTAGAGCCCATCAAATCCAAACCACCCCCTCACACACTGCTAATGAAGAAATTAATAAAATCCCATCGTTAATTGTCTTTTAATAATTTTACCTTTAATAAATTAATAAGTTTACCTTTACCCTCGTATCTGACACAGAAGAATTGACATTTGTTCACATTCATAAAGCTTTCTAATGATTGATCTGTCATTGTATAATCGCCCATGGGGTGCAGTAAGAATATCTTGAGTTCATTACTGTTTAGCTTATCAAAACAGCTGGAGAAATACTTATCAAGAGAAGTGGAAAGATATATCCGTCCCTATATCCTCACCCTGAGAATGCTTCTGAAGGCTTAGGACAGTGTAAGAGTGTTAGATATTTTCATTCAGCAAACAATTATGGGCCTACTCTGGGCAGCATTGAGACATTCTTCAAAGGAAAAATTCAAGGGCAAACTGCCCAAGCCTCGCAGGTCCTAGCGGTCAGAAAAGAGCTCACATGCAGCCCTATCAAATGTGTCCTGCTGGACATGGTTTTCAGCGAACACAGAAGCACAGAGCATTTAATGTGTGAGTGGACCAAGTCTTTCTTTCTTTCTTTTCTTTTTTTTTTTTTTTTTTTGAGACAGAGTCCCACTCTGTTGCCCAGGCTGGAGTACAGTGGCACAATCTTGGCTCACTGCAACCTCCGCCTCCCAGGTTCAAGCGATCGTCCTGCCTCAGCCCTGCTAGTAGCTGGGATTACAGGCACGTGCCACCATGCCTGGCTAATTTTTGTATTTTTAGTAGAGACGGGGTTTTGCCATGTTGGCCAGGCTGGTCTGGAACTCCTGACCTCAGGTGATCTACCTGCCACGGCCTCCCAAAGTGCTGGGATTACAGGCGTGAGCCACCATGCCCGGCCAAGTCTGTCTTTCTTCATCTTAATTTTTCTCTCTGTAGCCAGGTATAGCTCCTGCATTAGGGCAGTCAGTGTAAGATTTCAGCAAGAGTCTTTACATCAGAAGTTCTCATCAAGAAGATTGGAATCTACCACTGACCTTACCCAGTATGTCCCTAAGCCAGCTGCTACTACAATGGCTTACTATGAAGGGGCATGCATCTAAAAATCTGCTGATGACACCCTCAATTTACTCTTAATTCCTATGTCTGAGAAGTCCATAGCCTTCTCTGTGGCTTTCATTTCATCATCACTCACTTTGGCTCATAGCGTGTGTGTGGAAGTAGATGTTCACCATAATGCAGAGCTGAGGGAGGCCTCACTGCCAGCAACCAGAGCAATGAGGCTGGAGCCCAGGCCTCTGTTACCAGGCTCACTATTCCCTCTGGCATAATTCAAGGCCTCCCTATGCTTATGGAATCTATCTAAAACTTGTTTAATAAGAACATGATAAATTTGACCTCATATCATAGGTGGGGAAACAAAGACAGCACCGTGTGAACTAGGGTTAGAGGTGCTAAAACTAGAAAGTGCTCCACTCTCCTGATCTTTCCATCTCCCTGCAGGAACTCTCTTCTCCCATCCCAAAGAATTCATCTGGAATATCAGCCCCTACGTGGGAGTCCCCATTCATCCTACAGTTCATTTCCTCTGTTCCCTCCAGATTAGGCCTCAGCTATCAGTGATTTTTTTTATACCCATTTTTGAACAAATAACATTTTTTTCTTTCTCACTCTTTTTTCCTAGAGCATTGATATTCACTTAAAAAAAGACATTCGGAGAGGAGTTGTCAATAACCAACAGACAGACTGGTCGTTTAAGTTGGATGGAGTTCTTCACGATGCCTCCCAGGACTTGGTTTATGAGACAGTTGCAAAGGATGTGGTTTCTCAGGCCCTCGATGGCTATAATGGTAACTTAATTAATTAAATGTTGTCTTATGTAAGAACCTGAGGAGTAAGAGATGCAAATATTTTATGGTGAATAAAATAAAAGCTCACTCACTATCATTTGTATGTTTGTCTGTCTCCATGTTCTTACGTTGCAAAACTTACTGTTTGCTTGTTGACATTGTGGGCATGGCTTGATCCAATGTCCTGGGATTCTACCTTCATAGGAAAATTAAAAGACTATGGCTCTCTATAGGTCACAGGGGTTCAATTATCCTGTTTCAAATCTCTCAAGTATTAGTTTTGAAGATACGTCTTTATGACAAATTTGATGGAGTCCAAACATTTGTCTCTCAGCTTCCTGCTAGGAGCTATTTTCATGTATTCTACCAACACAATCAATGTACAGTTGATATTCTAGTATAGGATTGTATAAAAGAATATGTCACAGTTTGTAGACTTTGCCATCTGGTGGCTGCTGACTAGGATGTTCCCTGTTTTGCAAGTTTAGGTTTTATATTTAAAAGTGCATTGAGTGTAGATGCTGTAATTTATCCTGAATGTGATACGTAGGTGTGGTCCCCACTGACTTAAGGAGGTTCTCTTTTGGTTTTCATGATGCTCTGATTGTGACCTTGAGGAGGTGAAGACAGAGGAACTAAGGCCCAGGGAGATGAATAGTCTTGAGCACTGGTGCTGTGGAACCACAAATGGGCTCTGATTTGCAGCTGAAGTGACTCCTTCCTGTTCATTTGTGTTGGGTTAATAGACACCATTTCTGGCTCCAACTCAGATGCTGAATCAGGATCGCTTGTGTAAAACCTGCCACCAGTCCCAAGAACTAGAGTGTCTGTGTGACAAAGGCAAAAAATTTTCACAGCCCAGCATTGCCTGGGCAGATCTGCCATGTAAATGCCCATGGGCAGCCTGTGGGATGGGGTCTGGCTCAGGCTGCCCATGCTAAGGGGAAGAACAGATAGGAGCCGGAGCTCAGGGTGACTGCATGGTTTGTGTCCCGGAGCCTGGTGGTGATGGTAGACCTAAAGGATGTTGAGAAGTGCAATGAAAGTCTTCCCAGGGTGGGCAGTGGACCAGATCAGGGCCTGATCATGGTGGTACATTTCTGGAAGTGACATGGAACCAACTAGGAGCCCTGTTTCATCCTGCAGGAATTTGTAGTCTACAAAGAATTCTCACCCTTGACAGAAAATGCCCTTTCCACTCCATCTCTTCCTGGAGATTTTGAAAGCCCCTCTTTGCCTCTGTGGGGAAGTTGATGCCTCCTGCCAACCCTGAGACCCTGGCAGTTCATAGCTGTGCTAGAGAAGGGCTGGAGTCTAATGCTCCTATCTCCCTCCTCATCTTTTTAGGAAAAGTTCCAGTTCCTCTGTACCCTGAGATTCCCTGTCCTTCTCAGAAGCCCTAGGGCCGGATCATCTCTTGGTGGAGGGAACAGCAGAGCATTGTGGGGACCACAGATTCAGGGCAGATGTCCTTGTTTTGACCACTTTTGTCCCTGTTCCCCTGCCCACCCATCCTCTTCCATGGTGGAATTCCTGATGTTCTTGGCTGCCCCCACTGGCCATCTTCATGCAAAGGGCCCTGGCTGGCACCAGGCATGCTGGGAGAGGGGAGAGTTATCCTTGGAGCTATTTTCCTGGATGTCACCGTGTTTTGAAATGTTTGCAGGCACCATCATGTGTTATGGGCAGACGGGAGCTGGCAAGACATACACCATGATGGGGGCAACTGAGAATTACAAGCACCGGGGGATCCTCCCTCGTGCCCTGCAGCAGGTAGAGAGTGGGCCCAAGGGTGGGATGCCACACAGGTTCCCTCTCTCTGCCATAGATGTTACTGACCCTGGGCCAGCTACTAGAGACAGTGGGGACCAGGCCTCAAAGGAGTTGCAGTGGATACTGGTACTGGAGACAACATACACAGGGCTCTGGAGTCAGTAGAGTCAGGGGCCTCAGGAAACCAGGAGGTTGGGTGTCAGACTCTGAGCCATACCCACACTGAGCCTGTTTCCTCATTTGGGAAGGAGGGAGTCAGGCATGCTAATCAGCCTCTTGCTGCTCCAGTGGTCTGTGATCCTGTAATTAAGGATTTGGAGGTCCTAATCATTCTCTTTCCTGGTTTTAATGAGGGGCATATAGACCCTTGCAGAACTTCCTTACTGGCCTACTCTGGCTTTTTTCACCACCACAGCCCCTGAAAGATCAAAAGCAAGAAGGAGGGCATGACTTGAGCTTTCAGGACTGTGTCAGCCCGGGGGGTCTCAATAGCATAACTGAAGATAAGACAGAAGGGCCTTCCTTTGGGCCCCACTAGCCTGGGTTCTGTAAGGACCCTCTGGTCGGAGGTAGGAGGCAAAAGCTGCCAAGAGGCAGCTTTACAGCCCTGTCCTATAAGAAGTGTTATAGGACAGGATTTTTTGCAGCCCTGTCCTATAAGAAGTGTATACATTCCTCTAGTATGTGAACCATCCATGCTCCTGTTTTTGGAGCAATACCCTTAATATCCCACTGTCAAAGCTTCAGTATCTCAGCATCTTAGACTTTAGTAATCTAGCCCAGTGCCACTAATAGAAATATACTGTAAGTCACATGCAAATTTGAGTTTTCCAGTAACCACATTTTAAAAAGTAAAAATAAACAGATGAAATTAATTTTAATGATATATTTTATTTAACTAAATATATTTAAAATATTTCCGCATGTAATCAATATAAACTTATTGAGATAGTTTACATTCTTTTTCTCATACTAAGTCTTTGAAATCCAGTACATATTTTATACTTGGGGCACATTTCAGTTTAGGCATAAATATTATCAGAAATGCTTGATCTGTATTTAGATTTCATAAAATGTTGAAAAAGTAGATTTACATACCCAAGTTGTTCCAGACATACTTAAAGTTTACCAATAACTGAATTGCATCAGTTTTTAAATCTAACTGTAATTAAAATTACATAAAATTTAAAATTCAGTTCATTTGTACTAGCCACATTTTAGATACTCAGCAGCCATCTGTAACTTGTGTCTACTATTTTGAACAAAACCGGTCTAAATTCTTAGAGGAAGGCAGGACCTCAGGAATTATCCCTTCCTTGATAAGCACTGGGGAGGGAATTAGGAGTTGAGAAGGCTGAGTTCTGGCTTTACTTCTACCCTTACTAGCTGAGTGACCAATAGACAAATTATTTATTTATTTATTTATTTATTTTTTAGATGGAGTCTCACTGTCACCCAGGCTGGAGTGCAGTGGCGTGATCTCATCTCACTGCAAGCTCTGCGTCCTGGGTTCAAGAGATTCTCCTGCCTCAGCCTCCCGAGTCGCTGGGACTACAGGCGCACGCCACCACGCCCAGCTAATTTGTGTAATTTTAGTAGAGACAGGGTTTCACCATGTTGGCCAGGATGGTCTCGATCTCCTGACCTCATGATCTGCCCACCTCCGCCTTCCAAAGTGCTGGGCTCACAGGTGTGAGCCACCACACCCGGCTGACAAATAATTTTATTTTGTAGTGCCTTCCACAAATACGTATTGCTCCTGCACTGCCTCATTCACAGAGATTTATATGTGGATGGAATTAAATAGATTTGAAAGAGGCATATAAATGATGAGACTCTAAAATAAGAAATCCTCACTCCAGAGTCCTTTCCACTCATTATGCCTCTACTTCGTGAGATGGTTTAAGTGTTAGCCAATCTGATGTCAAGCCTCAAAACACTACAAGATGATACTAAATATCACCCAATTCCTTTAGGACAATAATTATTCTATACATCTTGATGTTCCCTTCTGAGTTAGGAAGCCCCCCTTATGCTAGTTGGCTGTTGGGGTTCTGCTCTTGGTGACCGCTGTACAATCTGTCATCTAGGTTTTTAGGATGATCGAAGAACGCCCCACACATGCCATCACTGTGCGTGTTTCCTACTTGGAAATCTATAATGAGAGCCTGTTTGATCTCCTGTCCACTCTGCCCTATGTTGGACCCTCAGTCACACCAATGACCATCGTGGAAAACCCTCAAGGAGTCTTCATTAAGGGCTTGTCAGTTCACCTCACAAGTCAGGAGGAGGATGCATTCAGCCTCCTTTTTGAGGTGAGATAATAAAACCTGAGGGTTCCTTTCCTTCTCTCCCTCCCTGCCACCCTCCTTCTCAGCTTTTCTTTTTCTTTTTCTTTTTCTTTTTTTGAGACAGGATCTTGGTTTTTCTCCAAGTCTGGAGTATACTGGCATGAACATGGCTCACTGCAGCCTCGACCTCCTGGGCTCAAGTGATCCTCCTGCCTCAGCCTCCCAAGTAGCTGGGACCACAGGAGCATGCTACCATGCCCACTTAATTTTTTTTTTTTTTTTTTTGTAGAGACAAGGTCTGGCCATGTTGCCCAGGCTGGTCTTGAACTCTTGGGCTCAAGCGATCTTCCCACTTCGGCCTCTCAAAGTGCAGGGATTACAGGCAAGCTACTGTGTCCAGCTAGTTTTTTACTTACTTTGATTATCAGAATGGAAATTAATATATGCACATTTAGCAAGTTCAGATAGTGCTGAAAAAAAAAAGGAACAAAAAAGAATTTTATTTCCTCTTCCTTTCCTGTTACGTAAATAAAAAGAAAAAATGATTCATGCATAATCTGTTTTTTACATAAGGCAACAATAATGTATATTTTAGCTCATTTCCTTCCAGTCTTTTTTCCTGTGCAGCTTTTTCTTTACATAGTTGAAATGATTCTTATGTCCCTTTTTTCAGTTAAATTATGAGCTCTTGTATGGAAAAAAATAAGGCCGGGTGCAGTGGGTGATGCCTGTAATCCTAGCACTTTGGGAGGCTGAGGTGGGTGGATCACCTGAGATCAGGAGTTTGAGACCAGCCTGGCCAACATAGTGAAACCCCATCTCTACTAAAAATACAAAAAATAAGCTGGGTGTGGTGGCGGGTGCCTGTAATCCCAGCTACTAGGGAGGCTGAGGCAGGAGAATCACTTGAACCCGGGAGGCACTGGTTGCAGTGAGCCAAGATCGTACCATTGCACTCCAACCTGGGCAACAAGAGCAAAACTCCTTCTCAAAAAAAAAAAAGAAAAGAAAAAGAGAAAAATAAGAATTAGCATCCTTACTATACAAAAGCTCTTAGAGCCAGGTGCGGTGGCTCATGCCTGTAATCCCAGCACTTTGAGAGGCTGAGGTGGGTGGATCACCTGAGGTCAGGAGTTCGAGACCAGCTTAGCCAACATGGTGAAACCTCATCTCCACTAACAATACAAAAATTAGGCTGGGCACGGTGGCTCATGCCTGTAATCCCAACACTTTGGGAGGCGGAGGCAGGCGGATCACAAGATCAGGAGATTGAGACCATCCTGGCCAACATGGTGAAACCCCGTCTCTACTACAAATACAAAAATTAGCTGGATGTGGTGGCGCTAACTCCCAACTACTCAGGAGGCTTAGGCAGGAGAATAGCTTGAACCCGGGAGGCAGAGGTTGCAGTGAGCTGAGATTGTGCCACTGCACTCCAGCCTGGCGACAGAGGGAGACTCCATCTCAAAAAAAAAAAAAAAAAAAAAAAAAATTAGCTGGGAGTGGTGGTGGGCACCTGTAATCCCAGCTACTCGGGGGGCTGAGGCAGGAGAATTGCTTGAACCCAGGAGGCAGAGGCTGCAGTGAGCTGAGATTAAGCCATTGCACTCCAGCCTGGGCAATAGAGTAAGACTCCATCTCAAAAAAATAAAATAAAGGCTCTTAGAAACCAGTCAAATGCACTGGCACAGTGGCTCACGCCTGTAATTCCAGCACTTTGGGAGGCCAAGGCGGGTGGATCACTTGAGCTCATGAGTTCAAGACCAGCCTGGGCAACACAGTGAAACCCCACCTCTACCAAAAATACAAAAATTAGCCAGGCATGGGGGCGCATGCCTGTGGTCCCAGCTGCTTGGGAAGCTGAGGTGGGAGAATCACTTGAGCCCAGCAGGTAGAGGTTTCAGTAAGCTGAGATCATGCCACTGCACTCCAACCTGGGTAATAGAGCAACACTCTGTCTCAAAAACAAGAAAAGAAATCAGTCAAGTGTATGTTATTCTTTTAGAAGTCATATAGGCTAGGAACTCTTTATTTTTTTATGCAAGTTCTCGCTGTGTTGCCCAGGCAATGGGCACATGTGCAATGGCTATTCACAGGCATGATCATAGTGCCTTCTCACAACATAGCAACTTACTTCCTCAACGTCAATAGCAGGATCTTTTTTAAAGGGCCAGAAAGACAAGGCAAGGCCAGGCGCGGTGTCTCACACCTGTAATCCCAGAGCTTTGGGAGGCCGGGGCAGGCGGATCACTGGAAGTCAGGAGTTCGAGACCAGCCTGGCCAACATGGTGAAACCCCCTCTCTATTAAAAATACAAAAAAAGAAAGACAAGGCAAGAGGGTACTTCAGAAGGGGGACTGAAGAGTAAAGGTGAATGACCTGCTGTGGTGGCTCATGCCTGTAATCCCAGCACTTTGGGAGGCTAAGGCAGGAGGATTGCTTGAGCTCAGGAGTTTAAGACCAGTCTGAGCAACATGGCGAAACCCTGTCTCTACAAAAAAATATAAAAAATTAGCCTGGCATGGTGGCCTGTACCTGTGATTTTAGCTACCTGGGAGGCTGAGGTAGGAGGATCACTTGAGCCCGGGAGGCAGAAGTTGCAGTGAGCCAACATCACGCCACTGCACTTCAGCCTGGGCAACAGAGTGAGAATGATCTCAAAAAAAAAAAAAAAAAGAAGAAGAAAAATGAAGTGACCCCTTATATTCTTGGTGAGTGTCACTGGATTTGTAGAACAGGCCTGACCATAGACTATAGCCTCACTACTATAAGCTATAGAGGTATGGCCACAGGAGTCTGCTAGGCTTGCTCCACAGCCTCAGGCCTTCCCTCTTCAGCGGGTGCTCTCCTCTCCCCAGGGGGGGCTGTCCCCCACCCTCACTTTGGGGCTTGTTCATAGCACTTCTCATCAGCATTTAAGGAGACATCAGTCTATCCCTCAAGGACCTTTTTCTCCAAGAACAGCCATTTCCACCACACCACCACCCTGTCTCTACAAAAAATTCCTTTTTAAGTATATTCTGGTCATAAGGCCTCCTCCTGTAAATTAGAGGTAAGGGCCTACTGTCCCTTTAAAAATACAAATTACTAGGTCAGGCACAGTGGCTCATGCCTGTAATCCCAGCACTGTAGCAGGCCGAGGCGGGCAGATCTCTTGAACTCATAAGTTCCAGACCAGCCTGGGCACATGGTGAAACCCTGTCTCTACAAAAAATACAAAAATTAGCCAGGTGTGGTAGTGCACGCTGGTAGTCCCAGCTACTCAGGAAGCCGAGGTGGGAGGATGGCTTGGGCCCGGGAGGCAGAGGTTATAGTGAGCCGAGATCGTGCCACCACACTCTAGTATGGGTGACAGACTGAGATGCTCTCCCAAAAAAAAAAAAAAAAAGGAGAACACAAAATAAATAAAAATATAAATTATTATTTTTATAGTAATACATGCTCACTAAAAAAAACCCACAAAACTGTATAAAAAAGATAAAATAACCTATAAACCCCAACCCAGAAGCAACTATTATTAACATCTTATTAGCAGAATTCTGCTTATTTCTTCTATGAATGCTTTTGCATTTCTTAGATCAGCTATAATATGATTTTGGATTCTACATTTCTCTCTGTTATTAAAAACTATGTGTCAGCATTTTCCTGGCTGCCCAATATCCCACTGTATACATAGATCATTCCCAAATTGTTGGACATGCAGGTTGATTCTGATTCAATATTCATAAACATTTTTAAGGCTCTTGATTTTTATTGTCACTTTGCTTTCCAGAAAGCTATACCAATTCACACTTCCCCAGCGGCGGGTGAAAGTGTAGATGTGGACTCCAATTTGACTCCCTTTCTATTAGTTTATAAAAGAGGTTTGCCTGGAAGGCCCAGCTGATCGCAGTGATATGAGACCACTTGTGTAGCTATTGGTATAATTGAAAAATGACCCAAGTGCCTTGTCGTTTTAGTTTTTCGAAATGTTGCCTATGATTCCCTTCCTCTTCAGGGTGAGACCAACAGGATTATAGCCTCCCACACTATGAACAAAAACTCTTCCAGATCACACTGCATTTTCACCATCTACTTAGAGGTAGGTGCAAGCTCTTTGATCAGCCCAGGCGGGGCAGTCAATTCCCACGGGGCCTGCTCAGTCAGAAACTTCTCCCTGTGACAGTCTAACTTCTGCTTGGATGTTTTGTAGGCCCATTCCCGGACCTTATCAGAGGAAAAGTACATCACTTCCAAAATTAACTTGGTGGATCTGGCAGGCTCAGAGAGGCTGGGGAAGTCTGGGGTAAGTGATGGGGGCTGGAGGTTGCTACTCAATAAACCACAAGCCCTTTTTCTGGCACAGTGCCTGCACATCTGGGCCATGACTCATTGGATATTTGTGAACACAGTCCTGAGCTAGGCGAAGTGGGACATGTGGGCTTGCTGGAGGGACAGGATTTGCAAAAAGGGAACGGCTATTACCTGGGGGCGGTTCCTACCTCAGAGGATTTTTGTAAACATTAAATGAGATAGTGCCCTCTACATTCTTAGCAAAGTGCCTGGCACTCAGTGCTCAGTAAATATTCCTTGCTGGTATAGCATTTCTCTGTGTGTGTTTTTGTTGTTGTTGTTTTGAGACACAGTCTCGCCGTGTCTCCCAGGCTGGGGTACAGTAGCACAAATACAGCTCACTGCAGCCTTGACCTCCCAGGCTCAAGTGATCATCCCACTTCAGTGTCTCAAGTATCTGGGACCACAGGTATGCACCACCATGACCAGCTAATTTTTAAATTTTTTTGTAGAGACGGGGTCTCGCTATGTTGCCAAGGCTGAACTTGAACTCCTGGGCTCAAGCGATCCTCCTGCTTTGGCCTCCCAAAGTGCTGGGATTACAAGTGTGAGCCACCACACCTGGCTTCTTTGTGAATGAATATGAGTATTCGTATGAGTATTTGCATGAGTATTTCAAATAAATATTTGTATGAGTGTATTAGCAGAAGTATTAACAAGAGTATTCAGATGAGCATTTGTATGTGCATTCATGAGTGTTTGTGTGAATATTCACAGGATTCTTTGCTCAAATATCTAGACAAGTATTTCAGTACATATTCATATTAGTGTGAATCTTTGAGTGAATGTCCATATGAATATTCATGTAAGCATTCACATTCGCATGAGTATTCACATGAGTGTTCACATGAATATTTCTGAGTTTTGGTATTACCATTATTAGCCCAAGATGGAATACAATCGCATGACATTGAAAGAAGACCCTGGTTCTGGGAAGGAGGCGCTGACCTGACCACAGACTTATAGCATTTCTCCAGACCAGGAAGACTGCTATTCTTAGTGGGGCAGCTGCTTTATTCCATCCAAAGTGGAACTGACCTTTGCTTTGTAGTCTGAGGGCCAAGTCCTGAAGGAAGCCACCTACATCAACAAATCGCTCTCATTCCTGGAGCAGGCCATCATTGCCCTTGGGGACCAGAAGCGGGACCACATCCCCTTTCGGCAGTGCAAGCTCACCCACGCTCTGAAGGACTCGTTAGGTGAGGGGGTACAGTTGCTGCCCAGGGAGGAGGGTCTGTGTCTTTGGGGAGGGACAGGTTTGGCACATCTGCCACTGGTGATGATAGAATTGCTCCCTCCTGGTGGCATGGATTCACCTGCAGCACATTCACAGTGACTTCAGACACCTGGAAAGGCAGAATCAAGCACTGTGCCCAGAACACACTATGCTATTCACTCCTCAGAACCTTCCTTAGGCTTTTTACCTGTGCTAGGAATACCTTCTCTTTTCCTCTTGTCCTGAGGAGACAGCTGGCAGAATCCTTCACAGCCTGAAGACTTGGGGCGAGGGCCTCTCTCCCATGGTGTCTTCCCTTCCCCTGCAGCCTCCTGTACAGAGCAGCGGGGGCTTTGTCTTATCATCCCCATAGCCCTAGGCCTTTGTGTTGAGCCTGACAACACAGTCACTAGTGTCTGATTGTTAACTGAGTGCCACCCTGAGCAAAGCTCCAACTCATACCTCCCTCTCCTGTCCCTGCCCCTCCCTGCCCTGTATCATCTCTCCTCTGCTGTTTTCTCCTGGATCCTCTTTTAGGTACATGTGGTGGCCTCTCTTTCTCTCTTCCCCTTACCTCCCAGCCTCACAGATGTGTGTGTCCTCTCTGACCCTGTCTCAGTTCAGGCTGCTATAAGAAAATACCATAAACTAAGTGGCTTAAACAATAGACATTTATTTCACATAGTTCTGGAGACTGGAAGGTTCAAGATTCAAGTGCCAGCAGATTCAATGCCTAGCGAGGGCCCTCCTCCTGGCTTGCAGATGGCTACCTTCTCGCGTATCCTCACATGGAAAGAAAGAGAGGGTTCTGGTCTCTTTCCTTATAAGGACACTAACCCCATCATGGGGGCCCCACCCTCTGACTTCAACTAAACCAAATTACCTCCCCCTCCCCAAGTCCTCCATCCAGATGCCATCACGTCGGGGTTACAACTTCAACATATGAATTTTATAAGGACAAAAACATTCAGTCTTGACCAGGTGTGGTGGCTCACACCTGTAATCCCAGCATTTTGGGAGGCTGAGACAGGAGGATCGCTTGAGGCCAGGAGTTCAAGACCAGCCTGGGCAACATAGCAAGACCTCATCTCTACTAAAAACAAAAAAAATTAGCCAGGTGTGGTAGTGTGCACCTGTGGTGCGAGCTACTTGGGAGGCTGAGGCAAGAGGATCACTTGAGCCCAGGAGACTGAGGCTGCAGTGAGCTGTGATTGTGTCACTGCACTACAGCCTGGGTGACATAGTGAGACCCTGTTTCAAAAAAACAAATAAAAAGCATTCAGTATATAACAGACCCCATCAACTCCTTTGGAGCAGAAAAAACACATGGTTCATAGCCCTTCTGTGTCTTGCTTTCCGCAGGGGGAAACTGCAATATGGTCCTCGTGACAAACATCTATGGAGAAGCTGCCCAGTTAGAAGAAACGGTATGTAAAGACAGTCAGTGAAACCAGGCTGGAATCCCCCTTCATGGGTGCCAGGGCAGGGTAAGGCTCCAGGCTGGCTACCCTGGCACAGTGGCCATAGACATTGTCAAGAGTGGAAGGATCCAGGGGTGAGTCTGAGCCACAGTTGCTGAGGGGGCCCAGAGCTAGGATCCACACACCAAGCACTAAGCTGTGCGGAGGAAAAGGGCCAGCCAGCAGGCAGGCTCAGCATGGGAGACTGTGTGAGGAGGGAGGCTGAGAGCCAGCTTTGTGAAGACAAGGACCATGTTTCCTGGGGTGCTGCTCCTGGAATTGGGATCAAGAAGGATCGTTGGTGACTTGTTCTTTATAATCACACATGTTTAAACATCTTGAAAACCCCACAGGGTTCCAGGCTGTGGTTATAAGGCCAGTATGAGCAGATGGTATTAAGCACCTGCCATGTGCACCATGGTAAGCAGGAGTAACCTGGTAGAAATTAGTCTTAAATGCCCTTGGGCCTCAGCATCCTCAACCCAGAAAGAGAGAGAAGCCATGGTCCTAAGTAACGTGAGGCCCAGAGGGAGGAGACCTTCAGAGGAGGCCAGGATGGGGGTGATGGGGAACTTTTCCTGAAGCTGGAGTAGGGAAAGATGGGCACTGAGCTGGCTGGGGTTAAAGGATGGGTGGTAGGATAAGCAGAGGTATTCCTGGCAGAGGTAATAGTGGGACTGAAGATGTGACCCACACCAGGAACATCTATCTACTGCGGGGGGTGGGGGCTCTCAGCAAGAAGAAGAAAAGAAATCACAGGGGCTGAATCGGCTCTGGTGTCCTGGCTGAGGCCTTGGCTGTTTTCCTGCAGGTGGCTGGAGCTGTCACAGGGTTTGAGTAGGGGAGGGCTGTGGCCAGAGGTGGGATTAGTCAGGGAGATTATCCAAGTGGCAGGACACAGGTGGCCTGGGGAAGGGAGAAGCTTGTGAGAATTAGAGGCAGGAATAAAGGTCTAGCCCAGTGACACAGGTGAGTCCACACAGCTGAGCACCTCCAGCTTGGGGCTTTCCCAACCTTCCTCTGAAGTGCCACCCATCATAAATAAGACAGATTAGGGGCCGGGCGTGGTGGTTCACGCCTGTAATCCCAGCACTTTGGGAGGCTGAAGCGGGTGGATCACCTGAGGTCAGGAGTTCAAGACCAGCCTGACCAACATAGTGAAACCCTATCTACTAAAAATACAAAAATTAGCTAGGCATGGTGGTGCATGCCTGTGGTCCCAGCTACTCGGGAGGCTGAGACAGGAGAATCGCTTGAACCTGGGAGGCAGAGGTTGTAGTGAGCTGAGATTGCACCACTGCACTCCAGCCTGGGTGACAGAGTGAGATGTCTCAAAAAAACAAAACAAAAAAACCCCACAAAAGACAGATTAGGAAAGCTATCATTAGACATTTTACTTTTCAAGTGTGGATGTTTAAGGCAAGCTTCAGTCACCTGGAGAATCTACTTAGGAGAAACAGATTATTTCCAAAGATGCTTCAGGGCAAGACATGCCTGCAGGGTCTCGCAGCTGTGTGCATTAGGGACTGTCCCAGCTTCCAAGGAGAGTGCTCCTGTCGTACATCCAGCACCCTGGGACTTGGGAGGCAGGGGAGGAGAGCTCCAGCTGACGTGCAGGCAGCATCCCCAGAGGAAGGCTTCTGGAACTTCTTGGTCTCATGGCATAAAATGCATGGTTGAGGCCAGGTGTAATGGCTCATGCCTGTAATCCGAGCACTTTGGGAGGCTGAGGTGGGCAGATCACTCCTTGAGGTAAGGAGTTTGAGACCAGCCTGGCCAACATGGTGAAACGCTGTCTCTAGTAAAAACATAAAAATTAGCAGAGTGTGGTGGCGGGCGCCTGTAATCCCAGCTACTTGGGAGGCTGAGACAGGAGAACCCTGGAGGCAGAGGTTGTAGTGAGCGGAGATTGGGCCACTGAACTCCAACCTGGGTGACAGAGCAAGACTCCATCTCAAAAGAAAAGAAAAAAAAAAAACAAAAAAACCCCGCATGGTTGAACCCAAGAAGAGCCATAAGAAATGGGCCTCCTGGCTGCCTTGTTAACAAAGATGCCCTCCAAGACAGTAGAAGCTCCCTGTCTCCCTTTATCCCCACCTCCTGTGATGGTTACAGCTCAGGAAACAACTCCTGGTACCCGCAGTCTCCGGGGGCTTGTGCCCATATACCACTTGGGTTCTCTGCCCAGGACGGAACCCAGAGCTCAGAGGAGCTGTTGGAGGGGTCTCAGGGGTTTGGGACAAAGGTATATTGGGGGTATGGAAGCTAATGATTGTCTCTTCCAAATGTGTTGAAACTTTAAAACTATTCTCATCATGGATTGTATTGCTTTATGCAGTGACACTGTACATGTGTGCTGAGTAACCACAGGGATGGGACATGGCCATACTTGCGGCTGTACTTGGAGTAGGAGAGTCTGACTTGGCCCTGCATAGAAGCAACACCACCTGTAATGACAGAGACGTCTTCTTGAGGGCTCGCTGTGAGCCAGCTCTGTACAGAGCGCATATACACCTTATCAAGGCAGCTCTCCCTTCACCTTACAGAGAAGATGTGAGATCTGTCAGTGGTCCTGCAGGGGGTCAGTGGCTGAGCTCTGAGCCACCAGAGTAGACTGCCCAAGGAAGAGCCCTTTCAGTCTTTCCTCTGGCCCACTTAGGGGCCAGCCACTCCTAGACTGCTTCCTCATTTCAGGATCATTCATTGAGAGATGAGACAGCCCAGCATGGCCTGAGGCAAGAATCTCTGGGCCTGC
This sequence comes from Homo sapiens, assembly GCF_000001405.40. NCBI lineage: Eukaryota > Metazoa > Chordata > Mammalia > Primates > Hominidae > Homo > Homo sapiens. Next base: position 47,261,497 of record NC_000003.12, on the reverse strand, counting down.
CTCCTGAGGCCCCTGGCTGTTCGTCACTGCCAAGGAGGAGCTCTCCACCCCTCAGCTAACATCCAAGCAATGAGGCATGGCATCTGGGCCTGCTCCCATAGCTGCCTCATAGGCCTCCAGCCATAATTATCCTTGGCTGGCTCCCCCTCCAGAGAGACTCTGCTGCGACCCCCCAGGCATCACTCTTAGTGTCCCGGGGACCCCAGAGTCCATTTTGGAGCATGCTTCTATGCAGAGATTTATCTTTCCTAGTGGTCTCATTTTACCTATTTTGCAAATAATCTCTATTCACAAGCAATGGGCCAAAGACACAGAGGCCAGTCAGCACACACACACACATTTTAGACCTCTGCTGAGTTGAATTTTTGGCCTTGTTACTGAGTAGCAAAGGCTAACGAACATTCCAATGCTTCCCTCCTTTCAGGTTCAACATTTACCAAACACCTACCACTTGCTGGCCTTACCTGAGAAACTGATTCCCCAGGCCCATGATTCCTCAAGGCCTTTCTCAGTTCCACTGCCAGTACCACTGAGCCTCCTCCCAGAGCACCCTGTCATTGTCTCAGTCCACCTGAGATGTTGACCTGGCTCTCGCCTCCCTCACACTTGGGGCGTACTGTCCCTCCATCAGGATGCACTTATCCCTTCCCCATCACCTGGCAAACTACTCCTCTGGCCCCTCCCAGGCCCCACCCAGGCACTAGGATGGGTTTCCTATTGGTCCTGCTCCCAGCTGTGAAGAGCACAGACTTGGGAGCTGGAGTGCCTGAGTTGAATTCCTGTGTGGCCACAGACCAGCTCTGTGGCCATGGGTGGGTGCCTTGACCTCCCTGTTTTTCAGTGTCCTCGTCTATAAAACTGGGTTGATGATACGTCTACCTTACAGGAAGTTGCGAGGATTAAATGAGCAACCACACTTCTACACTTAGAACAGAGCCTGGCCACAGCAAGCGCTGTGGAAGGGTTGGCCCTATCATAACTTGGCATGAGCTTACCTGTAGGGGTGGGTTGCCCCTACACACCTGTGGGTGTTTCTCGTAAGGTGGGACGAGAGATTTGGAAAAGAAAAAGACACAGATACAAAGTATAGAGAAAGAAATAAGGGGACCTGGGGAACCAGCGTTCAGCATATGGAGGATCCCGCCAGCCTCTGAGTTCCCTTAGTATTTATTGATCATCTGTGGGTGTTTCTCGAAGAGGGGGATGTGTCAGGGTCACAAGACAATTGTGGGGAGAGGGTCAGCAGACAAACACGTGAACAAAGGTCTTTGCATCATAGACAATGTAAAGGATTAAGTGCTGTGCTTTTAGATATGCATACACATAAACATCTCAATGCTTTACAAAGCAGTATTGCTGCCCGCAGGTCCCACCTCCAGCCCTAAGGCGGTTTTTCCCTATCTCAGTAGATGAAGCATACAATCGGGTTTTATACCGAGACATTCCATTGCCCAGGGACAGGCAGGAGACAGATGCCTTCCTCTTGTCTCAACTGCAAGAGGCATTCCTTCCTCTTTTACTAATCCTCCTCAGCACAGACCCTTTACGGGTGTCGGGCTGGGGGACGGTCAGGTCTTTCCCTTCCCACGAGGCCATATTTCAGACTATCACATGGGGAGAAACCTTGGACAATACCTGGCTTTCCTAGGCAGAGGTCCCTGCGGCCTTCCGCAGTTTTTGTGTCCCTGGGTACTTGAGATTAGGGAGTGGTGATGACTCTTAAGGAGCATGCTGCCTTCAAGCATCTGTTTAAAAAAGCACATCTTGCACCGCCCTTAATCCATTTAACTCTGAGTTGACACAGCACACGTTTCAGAGAGCACGGGGTTGGGGGTAAGGTTATAGATTAACAGAATCTCAAGGCAGAAGAATTTTTCTTAGTACATAACAAAATGGAGTCTCCTATGTCTACTTCTTTCTACACAGACACAGTAACAATCTGATCTCTCTTGCTTTTCCCCACACTTACCTACCCATTATCTGCCCCTTCTCTCACAGAATGAAGGGCTGAGCAAGCTGAGGCCACTCTGGGAGGTCCAGGCCCCAGATGTTGGATGCAGGGTTAGACATGATAGCCATAAGCCTTGCTGAAGGGAGGCTGAGAGAGCCCAGTACGCCTCCTGTCCTGACATGGCCTTGTGGCTTGGCAGCAGAGAGGTCCCTGAGGGAAGTGTATACAGGGGACAAAACTGGTAGGAGCCCATCTCTGTGCTGGCAGTGAAGCCTTTCAGCCCAAACCTGTGGAGACTCCCTGTGGATGGTGGGGAGGACACTTGACTAAGGCTGGTGGGCAGAGTCCAGGCTTCATTAACAGATCGGTCACGCCCCAGAGCAGCCTTTCTTAGCATGTGTGGCTAGAGGCCCCTGCCTCCAAATGCAGCAGAACTACCCATTCCCACCCAGACTGCTGAGTCTATTCATCAGGGGGCCTGAGCATCTGCCCTCCCAGGAATGGCTCAGGGGTGTCTTCACAGGGTAAAGTTTGAGCAGACGCTGCTCAGGGGCTAGACCTGCACTGGCCACTATGGCAGCCACTGGCCACATGTAGCTATGGAGCACTCAGATGTGGCTGGTCCTGACTGACATATAATGCAAGTGTAAAATGCACACCAGATTTCAAAGACCCAGCACCAAAAAAGAAGGTGTATTAGTCCATTCTCACACCTGAGACTGGGTACTTTATAAAGAAAAGAGGTTTAATTGGCTCATGGTTCCACAGGCTGTACAGGAAGCATGGCAGCATCTGCTTTGGGGGCGGCCTCAGGGAGCTTTTACTCATGGTGGAAGGCAAAGCAGGAGAAGACGTCTTACATGGCAGGAGCAGGAGGAAGAAAGTGAGGGGCAGGGAGGTGCCATATGTTTAAATGACCAGATCTCATAAGAACTCACTCACTACCATGAGAACAGCACCAAAGGGGAAGTCCATCCCCATGATCCAATCATCTCCCACCAGGCCCCACCTCCAGCATTGGGGATTATATTTCAACATGAGATTTGGGTGGGGACAGAGATCCAAACCATGTCAGATGGTAAAATATCTCAATAATTTAAAAATGTTGATTACATGTTGAATTTATAACATTTTGGGGCCAGGTTCAGTGGCTCACACCTGTAGCCCCAGCTACTTAGGAGGCTGAGGTGGGAGGATTGCCTGAACCCAGAAGGTAGAGGCTGCAGTGAGCTATGACTGTGCCACTGCACTCCAACCTGGATGACAGAGCAAGACCCTGTCTTAAAAGAACAAAACAAAACAAACAAAACCCCACAAACAAACCATAATATTTTTGATATCTTGGGTTAAAATTTAAATAAAACATATTAAAATTATTTTTACCTGCTTCTTTTTAGCTTTTCTTACATGGTTACTAGAAAATATAAAATTACATGTATGGCTTACATTTGTAGTTTGCATTGTATCTCTGTTGGACATGGCTGATCGAGACCCTGAAAACTGCGTGAAGGAGGGGGATCACTGTGGTTTGTGGAAGGGGCAGAAACGTTTCATGTGAAGGAAAACCAGGAGGGCTTCAGGAAGGAAGCTGATTTTCAGCTGAGCCTTGGAGAGAGAGTGGAACGCAGGAAGGCAGACAGCATAGGAGGACAGAAAAGGGTACTCCAGGCAGGGGGTCACCTGAGCAGAGGCCTAGAGATAGAAAGTGGTCAGGTTTGGATGAATAGACCAGTGCGCATCCTCACAGTCTACATGACGAGGACCAGGCTGCTGGATGTGCCCTCTGTCACCTTCCTGCTCTTCTCATGGGGACCTCATACCCAAGAACTCTTTTGACCAATGTCCTCTGGGGGAAGGGAACCAACATGGGTTGACAAGGGAGCTTAAGGAGCCAGGAAAGGGCAGGCAAGGTCTCTGAGAAGGCCGGTCTCTTGGGGTCTCACTTTAGTGGCGAGCCATCTAATGTCTACCTGCTCTGTTTTGCAGCTATCTTCACTGAGATTTGCCAGCAGGATGAAGCTAGTCACCACTGAGCCTGCCATCAATGAAAAGTATGATGCTGAGGTACAGCAGGGGTTGTGGACAGGTGTCCCACTGTGGGGAAAGTGTATGGGTTTGCTGCTTGGGTCACACAAGCGAGCCTTCCCTTCCTGCCTCAACCAAAGATCCCCATGCAGCCCTGGGTCAGCCCTTTTCCACTCCTGGACTGGCCAGAGTCTTCAGAGTCCCTGGAGACCCTTAGGGGCTGTCATGGGGTAAAAGGGCTAGGTCAGGCCACCAACAAGTTCACATGTGAGGCCTAAAGAACTTATTAGAAATGGGATAGAAGCCGACCTTAAGATGAAGAAAAATTTTTTTTTTTTTGCCAGTCAATAATTTTTTTTAAAATTAATTAATTTATTTTTTTATTGATCATTCTTGGGTGTTTCTCACAGAGGGGGATTTGGCAGGGTCATAGGACCATAGTGGAGGGAAGGTGAGCAGATAAACAAGTGAACAAAGGTCTCTGGTTTTCCTAGGCAGAGGACCCTCTGGCCTTCCGCAGTGTTTGTGTCTCCGGGTACTTGAGATTAGGGAGTGGTGATGACTCTTAAAGAGCATGCTGCCTTCAAGCATCTGTTTAACAAAGCACATCTTGCACCGCCCTTAATCCATTTAACCCTGAGTGGACACAGCACATGTTTCAGAGAGCACAGGGTTGGGGGCAAGGTCACAGATCAACAGGATCCCAAGGCAGAAGAACTTTTCTTAGCACAGAACAAAATGAAAGGTCTCCCATGTCTACCTCCTTCTACACAGACATGGCAACCATCCGACTTCTCAATCCTTTCCCCACCCTTCCCCCCTTTCTACTCCACAAAACTGCCACTGTCATCATGGCCCGTTCCCAATGAGCCGCTGGGCACACCTCCCAGACGGGGTGGTGGCCGGGCAGAGGGGCTCCTCACTTCCCAGCAGGGGCGGCCGGGCAGAGGCGCCCCTCCCCTCCCGGACAGGGCGGCCGGCCGGGCGGGGGGCCGACCCCCCCACCTCCCTCCCAGACGGGGCGGCTGGCCTGGCGGGGGCTGACCCCCACCTCCCTCCCGGACGGGGTGGCTGCCGGGCGGAGATGCTCCTCACTTCCCAGATGGGGTGGCTGCCGGGCGGAGGGGCTCCTCACTTCTCAGACGGGGCGGTTGCCAGGCAGAGGGTCTCCTCACTTCTCAGATGGGGCGGCCGGGCAGAGATGCTCCTCACTTCCTAGATGGGATGGCGGCCGGGCAGAGACGCTCCTCACTTTCCAGACTGGGCAGCCAGGCAGAGGGGCTCCTCACATCCCAGACGATGGGCGGCCACGCAGAGACGCTCCTCACTTCCCAGACGGGGTGGCGGCCAAGCAGAGGCTGCAATCTCGGCCTTTTGGGAGGCCAAGGCAGGCGGCTGGGAGGTGGAAGTTGTAGCGAGCCGAGATCACGCCACTGCACTCCAGCCTGGGCACCATTGAGCACTGAGTGAACGAGACTCCGTCTGCAATCCCGGCACCTCGGGAGGCCGGGGCTGGCGGATCACTCGCGGTTAGGAGCTGGAGACCAGCCCGGCCAACACAGCGAAACCCCGTCTCCACCAAAAAAATAGGAAAACCAGTCAGGTGTGGTGGCGCGCGCCCGCAATCACAGGCACTCGGCAGGCTGAGGCAGGAGAATCAGGCAGGGAGGTTGCAGTGAGCCGAGATGGCAGCAGTACAGTCCAGCTTCGGCTCGGCATCAGAGGGAGACCGTGGAAAGAGAGGGAGAGGGAGACCGTGGGGAGAGGGAGACCGTGGGGAGAGGGAGAGGGAGAGGGAGAGCGAAGAAAATTTTTTAAAAAGAAAGAAAAGAAAAAGGGCATCTTCAGGCTCTACCCTAGACTGGCAGAATCAGAAACTCTGGGAATGGATCTAGTGACCTGTAGTTCAACATCAGTCAGGTGATTCTGATGCCTTGTCACATTTGAGAACTGCTGCTCTAAGCTCCACTCCCTCCCCAGTCTCCAAACCATGGGTTAGTTCTACAAACTCTGGGTGCTCTAGGCTTCTACATGAGATTTCCTTAGAGCTAAGGGCTAAAGTGTGGACCATCTTTCAGAATCACCTCGCTATGTCACTACAGAATCTCTTTCGTCCCAGTAAACAGCTGGCCAATCAGAGGGAGTGCTCAGCATCACCATTAACAAGGGAAATACAAATTAAAACCTCTTTGGAATTCTACCCTTAAATTAGCAAAAACTAGAATGTTTTTGACAACACAAAATGATGATGAGAATGTGGAGAAATGGAAACTCTTGTCCACTTCTGGTCAAAGTGTAATTGATACAACCACTTTGGGGAGCATTCTGGCAACATCTGGTGTAGTAAAAACACATTTATTGTTAATTTGGCTTTCCTCTAAGATGCTCATGGAATCATAGCTCATGGAGAAAGGAGCATTTGTAAGCCCTAAGCTCGACAAACCAGTTAAACTTTTCAGATTCTAAATCCTGAAGGAAAATGACAGTCCCTGTGGCTCTGTAGAACTAACCCATGGTTTGGAGACTGGGGAGGGAGTGGAGCTTAGAGCAGCGGTTCTCAAATGTGACAAGGCATCAGAATCACCTGACTGATGTTGAACCACAGGTCACTAGATCCATTCCCAGAGTTTCTGATTCTGCTGGTCTAGGGTGGGGCCTGAAGATGCCCTTTTTTTTCTTTCTTTTTTAAAAATTTCATCTTAAGGTCGGCTTCTATCCCATTTCTAATAAGTTCTTTAGGCCCTTTTATGACACTGAGGCCTCCTCTCTTGAGGTCACACTTGAGAACCACTGGCATCCTAGTTAAGGCCATGGTGACTGGATTGGGCTCTCCTGGGTTTAGCACCCTGCTCTTTCCTCCATTAGCTGTATATAGCCTTAGCAAAATACCTACACTTTTTTGTGTGTGTGTGTGAGACAATCTCCCTATGTCACCCAGGCTGGAGTGTAGTGGCACGATCTCTGCTCACTGCAACCTCTACCTCCCAGGTTCAAGCCATTCTTCTGCCTCAGCCTCCCAAGTAGCTGGGATTACAGGCACATGCTACCATGCCCAGCTAATTTTTGTTTTTTGAGATGGAGTCTCACCCAGGCTGGAGTGCAGTGGTGCGATCTCAGCTCACTGCAACCTCTCCCTCCCAGGCTCAAGCTATTCTCTTGCCTCAGCCTCCCAAGTAGCTGGGACTACAGGCGCACACCATCACACCCAGCTAATTTTTGTATTTTTAGTAGAGACAGGGTTTCACCATGTTGGCCAGGCTGGTCTCAAACTCCTGACCTCAGGTGATCTGCCCGCCTTGGCCTCCCAGAGTGCTGGCATTACAGGAGTGAGCCACCACACCTGGCCAAAATACCTACACTTTCTAAGGCTCAGTTTCTTCATTTGTAAGTTGGGTAGATAACACAATCCATGCTCAAAGAGATCTTGTGAAGAATGAGATAATGTGTAGAAACCTCTTAGCATAGTGCTGTCATGGGGTAAATGTTCAATAAATGTTGTTTAGCACTCCTCTCCCTTCTACAGAGCAGCAGTATTGCTTCTAGGTATATATAGTCTAGAGACATTCTCACATGTGTGAGAGACTATAGGTCACTATTAAAACAAGCACTGTGAGCACCATTCTTCTATAGAGTCTATAAGTCTCTTTATAGACTTATTGTAATAAGGATTAAATAGTGACTCTTTATAGTACTTACTATAATAGCAAAAAATTAGAAACATAATATCCTTTAACAGGGGAGTAGCTAAGTGAGTTGTGGGATGAGGGAGCCAGAGCTAGAGCTACCTGCATGGATAAATCTCAAGTGAGAAAAAGACTAGATGCCTGAAGTGGCCCAAACGACAGTCTCTATTATTTACACCACATATAAAAACATGCAGAGAGATGCTGATATCATTGATGGATATATGTGTGTGCAGTAAAAGAAAAAATGCATGGGAGTGAAAAAACCAGACTGAGGCCAGAGGTTTCCTTTTGGGATGGGAGGGGAGTGGATTTGTAGCATGGTATGCAGAAGCTTCACATTTATCTGAAATGTTTTACTTCTTAAAAAAAAAAAAATCACTGGGCCGGGTGCGTGGCTCATGCCTGTAATCCCAGCACTTTGGGAGGCTGAGGCAGGCGGGTCACTTGAGGCCAGGAGTGCGAGACCAGCCTGGACAACATGGAGAACCCCATCTCTACTAAAAAATGTAAAAATTAGCTCAGTGTAGTGGTGCATGCCTGTAATCCTAGCTACTCGGGAGGCTGAGGCACAAGAATCGCTTGTGCCTGAGGGGCAGTGGTTGCAATGAGTGGAGATCATGCCATTGCACTCCAGCCTGGGCAATAGAGGGAGAATCTGTCTAAACAAACAACAACAAAAAAACCACCCCTGAAGCCAATGTGACAGCAGGCTATTAAAGTCACATTTTGGGGCGGTTTGCCCAGGTTTTATGGCATTATTTTGTATGGTTTTCTGCTTTTCTGTATTCTTGAAGATTTTCTTATCTTTTTTTTTTTAGATGGAGTCTAGCTCTGTCGCCCAGGCTGGAGTGCTGGAGTGCAGTGGCACAATGTCGGCTCACTGCAACCTCCACCTCCCAGGTTCAAGCGATTCTCCTGCCTCAGCCTCCTAAGTAGCTGGGATTACAGGCACCTGCCACCACCCCCAGCTAATTTATGTATTTTTAGTAGAGACGGGGTTTCATTGTGTTGGCCAGGCTGGTCTCAAACTCCTGACCTCGTGAGCCTCCAGCCTCAGCCTCCCAAAGGGCTGGGATTGCAAGCATGAGCCAACATGCTTGGCCTTCTTATCTTTTCTTATTTGGTGTTCCCTTAGCTTAGGATTATCAACATTGCTACCCGTGAACCTGGCTGGGTGGACGTTGTACCTGTCTTGAAGGTTTTTCATGCCCCTATTTTTTATTTTTTATTATTGTTTTTTAGACAGGGTCTTGCTTTGTCACCCAAGCTGGAGTGCAGTGGTGCTGTCATGGCTCACTGCAGCCTCAACTGCCTGGGCTCAAGCAATTCTCCCACCTCAGCCTCCCAAGTAGCTGGGACCACAGGCCTGCGCCACCACGCCTGACTTAATTTTTTTTTTTTTCCTCTAGTGATGGGGTCTCCCTATGTTGCCCAGGGTGGTCTTGAGCTCCTGGGCTCAGGGGGTCCTCTTAGCCTTCCAAAGTGCTGGGATTACAGGTGTGAGCCACCACGCCTGGTGAAGTTGGACAATCATGCTTTTTCATGTAATTTGTGTTCTAAGATCTGCATTGTTGGCCTTGGCCAACTGAGTGAGTCTCTGTGCCATCCAGTGTGAATGTGTTTATAATCTTTCTGATAAGCATTTTTCTTTACAAACATGAGTTCTTGAGAGAGATGTGGAAAAATTATTTTGGTTGCTGCCTTTCCTAGACTGTAGCCAGTATTCTCAGGTCATTTTCAGCACTGTCTTCGGTATTGATGCCTGTTTTCAAGAGGGTAGAATTGCTTCTTCAGAATTTCTTTGGCTGATGGGGCTGGCTATAAGGCAGAAGACTGGGTTCCTAATCCACCTCTTCCACAAGCTCTCTGTGGCGAGTTGCTCAGACCCTCTCAACCTCAGGGTCGTCCTCTGTGAACAAGGAAGTTGGCCTGATAACCTGCAGTGACCCTCCCACTCTGCCAGTCGGTGATTCTGTGAAGTGGTGTAAAGGGCTGTGAGCCTCAGGCATAAACAGACAGCAGGGAGAGACTTAGTATACTCCACTCTGCCAAGAGAAGATACACTGGCAAGCTGCAGTGGGATGAAAATCGGAAAACTGCCTGCCCCAAGAGCTGCCCCACAGCCTGATGTGCAGCTTAAGCAGAATTCTCTGAATTATCCTCATTACATTTATAATGAAAATGCCTATTAGGAAACTTACATGAGTCTGTGCTGTTTCCAAGGCATTTTTTTCCTATCTAAAAAATGTCCCTGTTTGTTGTTGTTGTTTTTGAGACAGGGTCTCACTCTGTTGCCCAGGCTGGAGTGCAGTGGTGCAATCTTGGCTCACTGTAACCTCTGCCTCCCGGGTTCAAGCCATTCTCCTGCCTCAGCCTGCTGAGTAGCTGGGATTACAAGCATGTGCCACCGCACCCAGCTATTTTTTATTTTTAGTAGAGATGGGGTTTCACCATGTTGGCCAGGCTGGTCTTGAACTCCTGACCTCAAGTGATCTGCCCGCCTTGACCTCCTAAAGTGCTGGGATTACAGGCATGTGCCACTGCACCCAGCCTCCTACATCACCTTCTGATTGGCCCAGACATGTAAGTTTGGCTCTGCTGTGCCTCACTGAACAGAGTCATCAAGCTGGAGGACCCTGATGGCTCAGTCGAACTTTCTGTAGCTGGGCCATGATACATTTTCTAGAGCTGGGAGAAGGATGGCATGTGGACAGGTGAGACTGGCCAGCAAGCCTCTCCTGTTGACCCCACAGGAAGTCCACACCTGAAGGGGACCTTTGTGGGGCTTCCAGAGGGGCAGATCCAGGATCTGGACACTGGTCACATGCCTTGGGTCCCAGGCTTTGTGCCTGAATTGCCACAGAGCCATCAGGATGCCAGGGGTTCTGTTGACCCTTGCTATGTGAGGGCAGTTGGGCCTCAGTGCCCAGGTGACCTGGTTGGATGAGGGCTAGAATACAGCAGGCCTTTGGTCTGGGAGAGGGCCAGTGGGGCAGTGGACTGGTCACAGTTTTGGTCACCAGTCCCAGGATCCAGGTGTCAGGGGCTCCCTCCAGTGGCCCTTTTATGACAACTAAAGGAAGTCCTATTGTTCACAGCGAGGGTTCTCAGCTTGAAGTTCCTTGTGCCTCTTTTAGGGAAGACACTCAGATGGTATATCGAGTATAAAATGACTTAGCGATTCTTCTCCTCAAAATGTGTCATTTATGATCCTTTTGTAGTTCATGAGTGTGATGATTGTGTGTTCATACGCTTGTGTGAGATGTGCCACCCTTGAACCTTGTTACGACATTGGCACATTACCCGTCTGATCTGAAAAAAAAAGTATCATTTATTTACTTACCTAAAATCTATGGAGTGCTTACTATGTGCCAAGTGCTTTTTAAAGCACTTGGAATACCTGACTGCATGAACAGAAACACAAATCTCTGAGCTTGCAGTCTGATGGGAATAGGGGAGATACATAATAATAATCACAATAAATAGGTAAGTTCTAAAGTTTCACTGTTTAATACGGTAACTGCTACTCAAATGTGGCTATTTAATTAAAATTAGAATTACTTCTTCAGGCACCCTAGCCACATTTCAAGTGTTCAGTAGCTGTATTTGTCTCATCATTACCATACCGGGCAGCACAAATATGGAACATTTCAATAATTGCAGAAAGTGCTATTGGACAGCACTAATCTAGAATATGTTAAAAGGCAAAATGTGCTATGAAAAAAAATTAGAGATTTTTAAAGCATGTTGCAGGGGTGGAGAAGGTATTACAATTTTTTTTTTTTTTGAGACAGTGACTCGCTCTATTGCTCAGGCTGGAGTGCAATGGTGCGGTCTCAGCTTACTGCAACCTCTGTCTCCCGGGTTCAAGCAATTCTCCTGCCTTAGCCTCTCTAGTAGTTGGGATTACAGGCGCATGCCACCATGCTTGGCCAATTTTTGTAATTTTTGTAGAGACAAGGTTTCACAAGGGTGGTCTCGAACTCCTGACCTCAGATGATCCACCTGCCTTGGCCTCCCTAAGTACTGGAATTGCAGGGATGAGCCACCGCACCTGGCTGGAATTACAATTTTAAAGAGTAATTGTGGTGCACCTAATTTAGAAGCTTTTGAACAAAGATTATCAGGAGGTAAGTGAATGAGTCTTGGAAATACTTAGGAGAAGAGAATTCCAGGGCAGCGGACAAGCAATGCAGAGGCAGAAGCATACCAATTTGTGGAAGTGTTTGGAGTGCACCAGAGAAGAGAAGCAGAAAAGAGGTAATGGGGGCAGATCTCAAAAGCCTCATAGATCACTGTGTTATTCTACAGAAATCTATGAGGACATAAATATATGAGTACAAAAATGTTCTTGCAGCATTGTTTGTAAGCAGCAAAAAATTAGAGGTGAGGCCAGGCACAGTGACTCACGCTTGTAATCCCTGCACTTTGGGAGGCTGAGGCGGGCAGATCACCTGAGGTCAAGAGTTCGAGACCAGCCTGGCCAACATGGTAAAACCCCATCTCTACTAAAAATACAAAAATTAGCCGGGCGTGGTGGCACATGCCTATAATCCCAGCTGCTCAGGAGGCTGAGGCAGGAGAATTACATGAACCCGGGAGGCAGAGGTTGCGGTGAGCCAAGATTGCGCCACTGTACTCCAGCCTGGGCGACAGAGCGAGACCCCATCTCAAAAAAAAAAAAAAATTAGAGGTGACATACATGATTATTATTGGGGAGTGGTGACATGTTCATGCAGTGGTTGGTGAGGATGAGGGTGAAAGGATGAGGTTATAACCATGCATAGAAAGCATCCTGGAGGCCAGGCACAGTGGCTCACATCTGTAATCCCAGCCCTTTGGGAGGCCGAGGCGAGAGGATTGCCTGAGCCCAGGAGTGTGATACCAGCATGGGCAACATAGTAGGACCCCTGTCTCTACAAAAATTAGCTGGGCATGGCAGTGTGTACCTGTAGCATGACCTACTCAGGAGGCTGAGGTGAGAGGATTGCTTGAGCCCAGGAGGTTGAGGCTTCAGTGAGCCATGATGGTGACACTGCACTCCAGCCTGGAGGACAGAGCAAGAGCCTTTCTCTAAAAAGAAAGCATTCTGGTGCTGGGTATGGTGGCTCATGCCTGTAATCCTAGCACTGTGAGAGGCTGAGGTGGGTGCATCACCTGAGGTCCGGAGTTCGAGACCAGCCTGGCCAACATGGTGAAAACCTGTCTCTACTAAAATTATAAAAATTAGCCAGGTGTGGTGGCGGTCACCTGTAATCCCAGCTACTCAGGAGGCTGAGCCAAGAGAATCACTTGAACCCGGGAGGCGGAGGTTGCAGTGAGCTGAGACCATGCCATTGCACTCCAGCCCGGGCGACAAGAGCAAAACTCTGTCTCAAAAAAAAAAGAAAGCATTCTGGAGTCTGTAGGCTGCACCAAAAGGGCCATTATCCTGGTAGACTGGAAGGAGCCTGGGGCCCCTGGGAGTTGGGGTTTGAGGTGGCTGTGTGGCTTGTGCTGTCTCTTCTACTGGCAGTAGCAAAGGCCAGGGGACTGTTCAGGTCCTCCCAGACCCTAAACTCACCCCAGTTAGGGAAGAGTCACCAGTCGGGAGGGAATCACCAGAAGCTGAAAGCATACCCTGTGGATCCAGGAATGGCCAGGATGTCTGGGCACAGAATGAGGAATTGTACTTTTGCTGTGGAAGAGACAGGGTAGCTTCTCTGATGATCCTTCCTGTCGGCCCCCACCCTACCATGTTTCCCGGCAGAGAATGGTCAAGAACCTGGAGAAGGAACTAGCACTACTCAAGCAGGAGCTGGCTATCCATGACAGCCTGGTAAGAGGCTAGAGGCAAAGAAGGAGGGCAGAGGTGCTGGGGTAGGGGGTGACTAGAGGGACTGGGGCTAGGGGCAGACAGCATCATGGGTCAAGGCCAATGGTGGGCGGGGTTGGGGGGCAGGCTCAGTGGCAGGAAAGGGGCAGCAGCAAGGGTCCATGAGGACAGGGGTTGGGAGCAGAGTCCTCCAACGGTCCTGAGGGGCCTCGAGGCAGAGGCAGCGCATGCCTCCCGTCCTCGCCTTTCTCATGCTGCAGAGTCTGCTGGGACTCAGCCAGCAGAGCCTCTGTCTGGAGTAGCAGGACCCATGTCTGAGGGTCTTTCCTTTCCTCCCCGACCCCATTATCCCTCTCTGACCCAAGCACCTGGCCTGTTGTGTCAGGCCCTCTGGCAGGACCCGATGATGAAGGGAAGGAGCCAGCTTGGGCAGCCAGGGCCTGTGCCCAGCCTCCCCACTTTGCCTCTCAGAATGGCCCCTGCCACTCCCCTGTGGGCTCAGGTTCTTGTTGCTTATCCACATGTTCTTCATCCTCCTTCAAGACCAACCGCACCTTTGTGACCTATGACCCCATGGATGAAATCCAGATTGCTGAGATCAACTCCCAGGTGCGGAGGTACCTGGAGGGGACACTGGACGAGATCGACGTAAGGAACCCCTCTGTGACCACTATGCTCAGCCAGCCTGGGCCTCCCAGTCCTGGGCACACCCCAACGCATGCTCTGCTGGCCTCAGAGCCTCATGTGAATGGGTGCAGTGGGTGGAGGGTGGTGCTGGACTCTTGATGTCAGGGTCCCTTCAGCTCATCTCAGGGGCACAAGCACAGGCCCTAGAGCCAGGCTTTCTAGGATTGAATCCCAGCTCAGCTGCCTCTTTGCTGAGTGACCTTGGCAAAATACTCAACCTCGTGTACTTCAGTGGCCTCACCTGCCTAGTGGGGAGGGAAACAGAGTGGGGATTAACTGAGCTGCTGCACCTGGGGTGCTTGACTGTGTCCGCAGAATGAAGCTGATGAAGGATGGTGGTCATGCTGGTTGTCTACAAGGTAGACCCCAGGGCCCATGTTGGAGTGGGCCAAGGAGGGGGAAACCACCCCACAAGGAAGGGTCCTCAGGGGGAAGGCTGCATCCTGTTTTCACAGTGCAGTCCATCAAACCCCTCTTCTTGGAGACATGGGCAGACCCCCCTGGCTGTTACTGTGGGCAGCTCCGAGAAGCAGGCCTGGGACAACTAAGGGATGGACTCTTCTGGCCTTCACAGGAGGGGCAGTCCCAAATTAACCCTTGATCAAGGGGAATGCTGTGGGCTTTAGGCTGGGGGGAGGCCAGTAACCTTCCTCCAGCCTCGTGTGTGTGTCTGTGCCCATGCAGACAGGACCATAAATGGGCTCCATCTGAAGACAGCAGGCAGAACCTTTTGGAAGTAAGAGAAAGCTGAGAAGTACATTTTATTAAAAAAAAAAAAAAAACCTTTAGAAGGTATTTTCAAGGTATAGAATCATTTCATTTTATAGAGGTCTCCACT
Organism: Homo sapiens; assembly: GCF_000001405.40. Taxonomy (NCBI): domain Eukaryota; kingdom Metazoa; phylum Chordata; class Mammalia; order Primates; family Hominidae; genus Homo; species Homo sapiens. Next base: position 47,246,495 of record NC_000003.12, on the reverse strand, counting down.
TCGAAAAGGTGGTTTTTATAGCCTCAGCAAATACTTAGTTTTAAAATTATTAATCAGGTGTTTCTCTGCTCTGGAGGAGGGCTTGGCTGCCACTTCGCTGAGAGGCTGTGTGCACACGTCCTCTTCTCGAGACAGATGGTCCAGGGGTCAGCCAAGGGGTCTTGATTTCTCTACTAACATAGATGCCCCCTGGTCCCTCGAGGTGCCCTTGGTCTAACCTCTGCCTTGCTGTCTTCCCTCCAGATAATCAGCCTTAGACAGATCAAGGAGGTGTTCAACCAGTTCCGGGTGGTTCTGAGGTGAGAGACCCCCACCCCTACCTCATTCCTACATCAGGCTGCCATTTTCATCTCCTGCCATCTGGGCACTTGCCTCCAAGAGCTCCTCTTCTTGCTTGTGGATGAAGAGCCAAATCAGAGTCCTTGGGGGCATGCCTGGGTCCCTGGTGGATATTCAGTGAGTTCATTAATTGGACAGGAGGTGTTTATGGAGTGCCAGCTCTGAGAGTGCCCAGAGCAGGGCATTGTGAATATTCACCTTGTGAATATTGCAACACACACTCCCACCTCAGGAGGCATTTGTGGTTTATTTGGGTGCAAACATACCCATAGTCTGAGCAGCTTATGCTAGGTGGTGTCACTAAAGCTGGTCATGTGATTCCAAGTGGCCTCTTAGAGACAGAACCTAAGACAGAACCCCACATGGTCCCAAGTGAAGCTTACGGTCCTTATCAAGTGTCATCTTGGAGCAGACACACATGACATAAGGTAGCCCTTGTGGGTATGGGGGTCGGACAGTGGGTATATGCAATGGGGCAGGGGGAAGTGAGTCCTTTGTCCTTTTGTCTGGTCTGGTTCATGATGAAGGTGTGGCCCCACACAAGGGGCCTCACCCATATGACTTTTAACCCCAGTACTTGGTTCTTGCCCCAGTGGATTCAGCATGGCCCCAGGTACAAGCTGTTCTCTCTTGCTGTCTCCCAAGCCAACAGGAACAGGAAGTGGAGTCCACTTTGCGCAGGAAGTACACCCTCATTGACAGGAATGACTTTGCAGCCATTTCTGCTATCCAGAAGGTAAGCATAGTTGCTACTTGCCGACAGCACTCACCTCAGATTTCCCATCCTCAGACCTTTGCAGAGCCAGCAAGTATTAATGCATTAAACCAGAGCTAGGATTGCAACAGATAAAGGTAACACCAGAATGAACACAGGTGACCTGTGTTAAGAGTAAACCACTTTTGAATTAAAAATAATTTCCATAAGGTAGAGACATGGATAATAATATTAAAGACGATTTCCTGGAATTAGGTTGGAAATAAGCTTTAAGATCCCCAGAGTATGGAATGAGGTGCCATACTGGTGAGGGGGTGCATGTGGAAAGTGGACATTTGGCAGAGTGGTCAGGGACCGCTCTACAGGGGACAGCCTGAGGCTGGCATCAGCAGCTGTCAAACCTTGGTGTGTATGGTGAACATGTCCACCCTGAGCCTTGGGCCATATACATGTGGGTCCCCAAGGGGTCCAAGCCCTTAATCTAACTCACAGACCTTTGGCTGGCCTCTCTATGTAGGCGGGGCTTGTGGATGTTGATGGCCACCTAGTGGGTGAGCCTGAAGGACAAAACTTTGGACTCGGAGTCGCCCCTTTCTCTACCAAACCTGGGAAGAAAGCCAAGTCCAAGAAGACATTCAAAGAGCCACTCAGGTGAGTGACCTTGCCGCTCTGCCTCCTCAGCAGCTGGCCCTCCTCGGTGGGTGCATGGGAGGATGTGCACTGTTCCCACTTTCCCCCTGGTGTCTCAGCTACTGGGTTGGCACAATGGACGTCACTGCTGCCAATACTAGCAAGTCTGTGGGGCCCGGGCTGGGGCTGGTTTGGAACCGCACAAGAATCATCTCTCGTCCTCACAGCAACCTGGTGAGGTGGGAGTTAATGTCTTCATTACACTGATGAAGAAACAGAGGCTTAGAGAGGGGAAGTCACTCACCAAGGCCATACCACCAATGAGTAGTGGAATGGCAGCAAGAAGCTGGACCAGCTCTCCAGAGCCCATGCCCTCTGGTACTTTATGTTGTACCCCCTCCCCTCACTTCACTAGGGTCTTCCCGCCGACTGGCACTCAGGTCACCTAAAACTCCAGTTCACCTTTCAGGCAAGACTCGTTTGTATGTGCAAGGTGGGAAGAGCATTTAGGTTCACTTAGTGAGCCCTCCCAGGGTGCTGTGTAGTGGTGGGTAAGAGCACAGGCTCTGGAGCTGACGCCTGGGCTCCCTTCCCTGCTCTGCACTTCTCACACCCAAGGGGTCACCCCATGTGAGACATGAGAACCGCTCTGTGCCTGTTTCTGCATCTCCAAAATGGGAATAATAATAATAGCATCCAAGTCATTGAGGTTGTTGTGAGCAAGAGTGTGTGAGCACAGGCCACAGGCCAGAGCTGATTGTAGAAAACTGTTACACGCAGGACAAGAGTCAGGCAGCAGAGGATGCCAGTGTCCCTGGCTTCCTCCTGCCTCTTCATGAGTGCAGTCACACCCCAACCCTCTCTGTTCTGCTTCCGGATAATCAGTGCAGTATTCAATGGGTTGAGGCTCAGTTCCCTGAGCCATACTCGTTGCAAGGAGGAGGAAAGAGGAAGAAACAGATTTTCTATCCTCAGACCTTTGGGAAGAGCCATGGGCATCCTCCTGCCAGTTCGGTCCTCAGATCTGCCTCTTCTCGGAGAAAGGCACCAAGCACTGTCACTTCAGCAGGGAGGACAGCTACTTTTCTGGGAGCTGGTGTGGAGAACAGGGTGTGGACCAGTAAGAACAGCAGGGCAGAGCCATCCTGCTTTACCATTGATCCACAGACAGAACCACCCTGTGTGGGGCTCTGCCAGTCCTTCCCGGGGAAGCCTGTATGACTCAGACCTCAGCAGCCGTGGTGGTTCCTGAGAACCTGTGGCCCATCCTACAGGTCCATACACTTTCAATCCCTGGAGATTGTACCCATTTTTCCCAAGCGTCTCCTGCCAAGACCACCGAGGGCTCTTTGTTCTGATAAAAGGGAGAAAAATGCCCTCTTCTTCCTCCACATCTGCCTGGCTTAGCATCACACTATTTGCGCTTTTACCTAGGCATATGAACAAGATGGGAGCTGAATGAGGTGGGGTTCCCAGTGTAGTCAGTGCTGAGAAAGGTCACTCATCCTGGCATCTGATAACTCACTGTCCATGACTGAACCCTGGGGCTTCCGTGCCTTCTTCCAGCTCCTTGGCAAGAAAGGAAGGTGCCAGCAGCCCTGTGAATGGGAAGGACTTGGATTACGTTTCCACCTCCAAGACCCAGCTGGTCCCATCCTCCAAAGATGGGGATGTCAAAGACATGCTTTCGCGGGACCGGGAAACTTCCAGCATTGAGCCCCTTCCCTCAGACTCCCCGAAGGAGGAATTACGCCCAATTAGGTAATCAGCTAATGTTAGCTTCTGCACCAGATCAAACAAAACCATATGTGATCCTCAACATGTGAAGAGTACCTGCAGATAAAAGAGAAATAAAATAAGAAATAATAGGCAAAGACTAGGAGCACAGTCCCCAAAGAAGAAACATGACTTATGCATCTGCAAAATGATCCAACCTCAGGAGTCATCCAAGATGCACAATTAAACATGGAATCATTTTAGACCCTCCAAATAGCAATTATTTAAATAATTAAAGTTATGTATCTTTTGTACAAGTACTGCATTCAAAAGATTTAAAAATTTTAAAGTATGAAAGAATATAACCTCTTCCCTTTCCTCAAATCACTCAGCCCCTCTCCCTCATGAGTTTTTAAGGATCTATCCTAAGGAAATAGATGTGAAACAAGATTTATGCAAAAGATGTTTATTTCATCATTTATTTAAAAAGCAAAATATATACATTTTTGAAAACCTTCAGTAGCCAACACTAGGGAAAGGGCACTAAGTGAATTGTTCTCTGCCATTGGGTTGTCCGTGAAGAATTTCAACCTATGAACATTTCTAAACATTCAGAGAAGTTGAAATAATTGTACAGCGAACACCTGTACACCAACCATCCTCCCAATTCTACAATTTATATGTTACTATTCTTGTTTCATTCTGCCTCTATCCTTCTATCCCTCCATGTTCTTTTTTTGATGCATTTCAAAGTTGCCCACATCAATCCAATTCCCCTTACCCCAACACTTCATCTTACACTCATTAACCAGAGTTCTCAAAGGGTTTTTAATAACATGAAATGCTTTTTTGAAAAAAGTAAGATGTAAAATTAAACATACTGCATGGCCTTAGCCATTCAAAAATATATCAAAAAGGCCAGGCACGGTGGCTTATGCTTGTAATCCCAGCACATTGGTTGGCCAAGGCGAAAGGATTGCTTAAACCCAGGAGTTGGAGAGCCTGGGCAACATAGTGGGACTCTGTCTCTATAAAAAATTAAAAGGGAGCTGAGCATGGGAGTACATGCCTGTAGTCCGAGCTACTCAGGAGGCTGAGGCATGAGAATTGATTGAGCCCAGGAGCTCGAGGCTACAGTGAGCTGTGATCGAGTCACTGAACTCCATCCTGGGCAACAGAGCATGCTGTCTCCAAAGAAAAAAAAAAAAAAATATATATATATATATATATGTGTATATATATATATATATATTTTATATATGTGTGTGTGTATATATATACATATATACATATATACATATATACACGTATATACATGTATATATACGTATATATGTATATATACGTATATATACACACACATATATAAAATGTTTTATATGTGTGTGTGTATGCATATATGTATATATGCATATATGTATATACACACACACACATATATATATACACACACACACACATATATGAAATCCAGGGCCAGGCACAGTGGCTCATGCCTGTAATCCCAGCACTTTGGGAGGCTGAGGCGGGTGGATTACCTGAGGTCGGGAGTTCGAGACCAGCCTGACCAACATGGAGAAACCTGGTCTCTACTAAAAATAAAAAAATTAGCCAGGTGTGGTGGCGCATGCCTGTAATCCCAGCTACTGAGGAGGCTGAGGCAGGAGAATCGCTTGAACCTAGGAGGTGGGGGTTGCAGTGAGCCGAGATTGTGCCATTTCACTCCAGCCTGGGTGACAAGAGCAAAACTCTGTCTCGAGAAAAAAAAAAAAAGAAAGAAATACAGAAGGAAATACACCACCATATGCCATTGTTCTTTTCTTTTCTTATTGTTGTTTGTTTCTTATACTTTTCCTTGCTTTCCTCACTTTCTGCCATGGGCATATGTCCTTGTATGTGTGCTGAGTAAAACAAAGAGGAGGGAATGATTCACACACAGTTTAGCTCCTGTCTTGGGTAGGTGGTGCCTAGCACTTCTGCCTCCTGGCCACAGAAGTCCCAGGGAAGAAAGATGAAGTGCCTGGTGGCTCCAAGGCAGCCACCTCATTTATCCTCTTTGGTCTCACCTTTTCATCTCAAGGCCCGACACCCCACCCTCCAAACCAGTGGCCTTTGAGGAGTTTAAGAATGAGCAAGGTAGTGAGATCAACCGAATTTTCAAAGAAAACAAATCCATCTTGAATGAACGGAGGAAAAGGGCCAGCGAGACCACACAGCACATCAATGCCATCAAGCGGGAGATTGATGTGACCAAGGAGGCCCTGAATTTCCAGAAGTCACTACGGGAGAAGCAAGGTAAATGTGTTGGAAAGAGGGCTAGGGAGCTTTGGGGTCTCAGAGTCATGCTGGTTGAAGCAGAACAGCCCTTGGCACTAGAGGTCTGAGATGGGAGGGGGCCAGTGGGGGTGCTGGGATGTGGCCTTCACCCATAGGTCAGATCACTTAGCTCTGGTCAGCCCCTGAGAGCCGCAGAGTCCTCCCTGTCAGCCAGCCTCTGCCTGTGGGTCCCTCATTGTTGCATTATCTCAGACCTAGGTGCTGGGCCTTCCACCCCATATGTGCTACTGTCCCTGGTGAAACAGGCCCTTTGTCCTGCAGAGGTATCACTGGGAGATGGGTAGCTGGTGACCTCTACAAGGTCCGTGGGTCTCTGTGTGGTTTCCTCACTGCCCCAGGTGGTCAGATTGAGGTGGGGCTGCTGGTAGGGACTATGAAAAACCAAGTAAGGGAACAAGAATGTGGATGCCAGAGAGCCAAGGGACTCACTTTCAGTAAGGCCATTCCCTATGCTGAATCCCTGACACCCGTGCTGGTCTGTCAGAGTCTTATCTCCTAGAGCTGGTGGCAGGGGGTGCTCCAGGCTCAAAGAGCAAAGAACCCCAACGTGGGGAGGGTGCTCACCTGGTTACTCTGACCCAGTGTCCTTGTCCTGGTGGCGTGCGCCGCCCACACCTGCACTGAGGGCCAAGGCCCACCAAGCTTGCGTGTTCAGATGACTTATCTGAGAGGGCTGGTCAAGTGCAGATTCCCAGCCCCTCAGCCAGTGGTTCTGACTTGGGAGAGATGGAGCAGGGCCCAGGACCTGCATTTTAGTGAGTGACCATTCCAACTCTGGGACAGGTGGTTCAGAGGCCACACTGTTCTTCACACTCCTGGCTCAGTCTTACTGTCTTCTTCCAGACAGGAAACACCACAGGTTACTGGGCTTTCCCTCGCTAAATCACAACCCTGTTCCAGGCCAGCTTCCATGAGTGATCTCCAGATGTCACTTGGTTTATTCCTGCAAGTCAGATGCATCATCTCACTCACAGGGGGTGCATTTTACTCATTTATTTCTCAGAGGAGCAGGGCGTGGTGGCACACACTTGTAATCCTAGCATCTTGGGAGGCTGAGGCATGAAAATCGCTTGAGCCCAGGAGGCAGAGGTTGTAGTGAGGCAAGATTGCGCCACTGCACTCCAGTCTGGGTGACAGATGAAGACTGTCTTGGAAAAAAAATATAATAACAATTAAACAATTATTTCTCAGAGGGCAACTTTATTTTCTAATTCTTGGGGCCATTCTTATCATACCTCACAGACCAATTATGACATGCTATTCCTGAGGGCAAAGCCCTCCACGGGTCTGGGAAGCTGGAGAAGGCCAGTGATGGTGGCTATAGACATACCCCTATCCAGAGCCACAGGGAGAGGACATGGTGAAGATTTTATGGGACAAACAAGCACTTCTTTGTCCTCTCTGCTCACACTTTCTTTGAACATACAGCCCCTTATTACATATTTAAGATAAAATATACGCATGGTATGCTGGCATATCATTTACTCCTAAATACACCTGAAAGTGGACAGTTTCAAAGGATGAGATGAGGAAGACATTAAATTTTTTTTTCTTTTTCGAGATGGAGTTTCACTCTTGTTGCCCAGGCTGGAGTGCAATGGCATGATCCCGGCTCACTGCAATCTCCGCCTCCTGGGTTCAAGTGATTCTGCTGCCTCAGCCTCCCAAGTAGCTGCGATTACAGGCATACCCGCCACCATGCCCAGGTAATTTTGTGTTTTTAGTAGAGATGGGGTTTCTCCATGTTGGTCAGGCTGGTCTTGAACTCCCGACCTCAGGTGATCTGCCCGATTTTCGGCTGGGCGCGGTGGCTCACGCCTATAATCCCAGCACTTTGGGAGGCCGAGGCGGGCAGATCACGAGGTCAGGAGATCAAGGCCATCCTGGCTAACACGGTGAAACCCTGTCTCTACTAAAAATACAAAAAAATTATCCGGGCGTAGGTGATGCACGCCTGTAGTCCCAGCTGCTGGGGAGGCTGAGGCAGGAGAATGGTGTAAAACCCGGGAGGCAGAGCTTGCAGTGAGTCGAGATTGCGCCACTGCACTCCAGCCTGGGAGACAGAACGAGACTCCGTCTCAAAAAACAAACAAAAAAAATTTATCAGTATTAAAAAAAAAACCCCATTTTTGTGCTGTCCCCCCAAAGTAGTTGTTTTTCCACTGATTATTAAAATATTAATAAAATACCTTTATTTTATTGAATTTACTTGAACAGATCAAGTAAACTCATATCTCCTAGGCCAGGCGAAGTGGCTCACGCCTGTAATCTCAGCACTTTGGGAGGCTGAGGCGGGTGGATTGCTTGAGTACAGGAGTTCGAGACCAGCCTGGGCAATACAGTGAGACCCCGTCTCTACAAAAAAACATAAAAAATTAGCTGGGCGTGGTGGCACATGGCTATAGTCTCAGTTACTTGGGAGGTATGGTGAAAGGATCACCTGAGCCCAGAAGGTTGAGGTTGCAGTGAGCCATGATCATGTTACAGCACTTTAGCCTTGGCGACATAGTGAGGCCCTGTCAAATCAATCAATCAATCAATCTCTTAGATACCTTATTATTGACAGCCACTTGTTGACCCAGGAAGGTCAACATATTTGGAACATTAGTCTCTTGTAAAAGAACTTGAGGCCAGTAATTCAAGAAAAAGAAAAAGAAACAAAAGAAAAAAAGAAAAATGTAAAAATGTAAAATCATCTTTAAATTCAACTCTTTTTCTTCCTGGAGATAATCAGAGATCCTCTGGGTAGAACAAAAGATGTTCACAGTTACTCCCCATCTTCATAGAGTACTGTAAAGCCTCTACTCTGTAAAGGATTGTGGCTTATCCAAATAATCACATCAGGGACCTCCCACAGCATAGAGACCACAGCAGATTGCTCTGCATTGAAGGTGAGACACCTGGTGAGGGTGACTCCCACTCCCCACTCCAGATCCCAGATCCCAGAGTCTAGACATTTGCTTTTCCATTAATGACTCCATTAGTGGCTTTTAATGTGTCTCACTTTTTTCTCAATAAACATCAGTGGAAGTGCTAACACTTTCCTCTAGCACCTGGGGGCTGCCTCATGCACCCCAGCCACACACCTCAGGTCACATGCAGAACACACTTACCCTACACTTGGGGATGGCGGTTGATGTGATGCCTTTGCTAAGCTTTCAGGTGCTGTGAGCAGTGGAGAGCAGGGTGAATGGCTTTGCACACCAAATTATTTTGTCTTAACCCAACAACTGTCACTGAACTGACAGACCTTAAAAGATCCATGCAAAGAGACTAATAGCACTGACCCTTGTCCCTGGAGCCCTTTGATAGCTACTCAACACGATATAGATGTCTAATCATCTCTAACAAGAAGGTAGCTGGTGAGCTGCGCATGGTGGCTCACGCCTGTAATCCCACCACTTTGGGAGGCCGAGGCGGGCGGATCACCTGAGGTCAGGAATTCAAGACCAGCCTGGGCAACATGGTGAAACCCTGTCTCTACTACAAATACAAAAATTAGCTGGGCGTGGTAGCACATGCCTGTAATCCCAGTTATTCAGGAGGCTAAGGGAGGAGAATCGCTTGAACTCGGGAGGCAGAGTTGCAGTGAGCCGAGATTGTGCCACTGCACTCTAGCCTGGGCAACAAGGCGAGACTCCATCTCAAAAAGAAAAAAAAAGAAAGTAGCTGGTGGATGTGTGTATCAGCAAGAGACAATTTGAACATCTGCTGTTATTAATAAGGAGCCTTGCCCAAGTGCCTTGTAGTACTAGCCAGTGATGGCAGTTTGTAGATGTAATTTACAAGAAAAATAGACATTTGTATACTAGGGGTGCTTACTAAATATCTTTGGCTACTAGAGTTTTAAATAAAATAAGCATGGAGCATGGGCCTTCTGTACCTTCCCCTGCCCTCTGCTCTTGTTTGCCCTAAAATGCCAGTGTGGCCCCACTGAGCTGAGCTCCCCTCCCTGTGAGATTATGCCCTGGCAGCCTGGCCTTCTTGTGCTTTGCCCATCTCCTTGCCATGGGCCAGCCCTGCCTGTGGTCTCCTGTCTTCATGATTTGCCAGCTCTGTGCCCACCTTCTGGAATCCCTTCCTCCCCCAATTTCAGGTGGACACCTCCTCATTTCCTGACTTCTTCCATCACCTTGCAGGCAAGTACGAAAACAAGGGGCTGATGATCATCGATGAGGAAGAATTCCTGCTGATCCTCAAGCTCAAAGACCTCAAGAAGCAGTACCGCAGCGAGTACCAGGACCTGCGTGACCTCAGGGCTGAGATCCAGTATTGCCAGCACCTAGTGGATCAGTGTCGCCACCGCCTGCTCATGGGTGCGACAGTTGGGAAGGTTGGCCGCCACCTGAGGTACAAGGAGACTCAGGGAGAGGCCACAGCCTGAGTTCTGGAAGCACCCTCAGAGTTTCTCTCTGGCAGAGCCAGGGGCTGGGCAGGGGCTTGAGATGTGTGGTTCCCAGGACTGTGAGGGCCAGAGATGGAGATGGGGACAGGGTAAGACCTTGGAGCAGGAAGTGAACAGATGGTGAGCCTGCAACAGATATAAGACAGATGACAGCACACAGCCCTTACCGGCTTCCTCAAGTTCTGTCTCCTCACCTCCTTGTAGAATTTGACATCTGGTACAATGAGTCCTTTGTCATCCCTGAGGACATGCAGATGGCACTGAAGCCAGGCGGCAGCATCCGGCCAGGCATGGTCCCTGTGAACAGGATTGTGTCTCTGGTGAGCGGCACAGGGGCAGGGGTGTGGCAGTGGTTGAACATGGGGCAATGGGCAGTGCCCCTTGATGTCTGTTCTCAACACAAAGATGGCAGTGTGTGTGGTGCTCCCAGCCTCTCCACAGCCAGCCCAGGCAGGTGGGCAGGTACAGGTCTCTCCTCGGTTATCAAGGAATGGGGGAAAATACCACTCTTACTACTGCCACCTTTCTAAAGCAGTTCATCCTGCTCAGGCAGCAGTTACAGGTTGTCTGTGGGAACACTGACAGACATGGGGGCTGGAGGGCTGTGAGATGCCCTTTTGGTGGCGGTGGGGCGGTGTGTGGCACAAACCCAGCAAGGGACTGCCCTGATGCACACCACAGGCTCTGCTAGGGTATATCCTGACAATACCATGCTAAAGGGACTGTCCTCCCCCAGGGAGAAGATGACCAGGACAAATTCAGCCAGCTGCAGCAGAGGGTGCTTCCTGAGGGCCCTGATTCCATCTCCTTCTACAATGCCAAAGTCAAGATAGAGCAGAAGGTAACTCAGAGGCCTATGTCTCCAGGAGGATGGGGGCCTCAGTGACTAGGAAACCCAGGATCATATTCCCTACTTTAGAGAGGTAGGGGAGGAATGGCACCATTCCAAGGAGATTAGTCACCCTCAGTCAGTGGGTGTCTTCTGCCAACTAGACTGCAATTGGGCTGGACCCTAGAGGAGTCCCACCAACCACGGCCAGGCCAGGACATGGCTGGTGAGTACTGACTAGCCTATGTATGGTTCGCAGAACAAGGCCCAGGGATCCCCTGAGGCTTCCACCTGTCAGGGAGGACCTCTCCAACGGGGTCCACTCTGCACAGGTGGCAGGGGACAGAGGATCACATGCAGCTGAGGCATAGCTAGACATGGCGTTAGCTATAGAGTGGGTGGGGTACTCTCCTCCTCGAGCAGGTTAGGCTGGTGCAGAGGGTCTCCATTCTACTAAGGCCTTGTCTGGAGCCAGAACACAGAGGGCCCTGTGCACTGCACACTCCTCTTTGCACAGAGGCAGTGCTTATACAGCAAGTGGCAGATGCACACGGGGCAGAAGCCCAAGTGAGTTCATTCTTTCGCAAATATTTTTGTAGTTATTTATTAACATACTCATTAGGTGATACATTCAGGTGTTTCAAACATTAAGAAAGCATGAAAGTATATGGCTGGGCACGGTGGCTCACGCCTGTAATCCCAGCACTTTGGGCGGCTGAGGTGGGTGGATCACTTGAGGTCAGGAGTTCAAGACCAGCCTGGGCAACATGATGAAACCCTGTCTCTACTAAAAATACAAAAAATTAGCCAGGCGTGGTGGCACATGTCTGTAATTCCAGCTACTCAAGAGGCTGAGGCAGGAGAATCGCTTGAACCTGGGAGGTAGAGGTTGCAGTGAGCCAAGATCACACCACTTTACTCCAGCCTGTGCAATAAAGCGAAACTCTATCTCAAAAAAAAAGAAAAAAAAAATGCTGGGCACAGTGGCTCTGGCTGGGCACGGTGGCTCACGCCTGTAATCCCAGCACTTTGGGAGGCTGAGGCAGGTGGATTGCCTGAGCTCAGGAGTTTGAGACCAGCCTGGGCAACATGGTGAAACCCTGTCTCTACTAAAATACAAAAACTTAGCTGGGTGTGGCAGCATGCTCCTGTAGTCCCAGCCACTCGGGAGGCTGAGGCAGGACAATTGCTGGAATCTGGGAGGCGGAGGTCCCAGTGAGCTGAGATTGTACCACTACACTCCAGCCTCGGCGACAGAATGAGAGACTCCGTCTCCAAAAAAAAAAAAAAGAAAGTACAAATGCTGTCCCCCTCTATCAGCTTCTGATAGGGCACCCCTGTCACTTGTTTCAGATCCTGGAAACCCCTTCTGACAGGACACCCCATCACTTGTTTCTAGTGTTCCCCTCAGTTTTCTCTCTTTCTTTTTTTTGGGGGGGGTGGGATGGAATTTCACTCTTATTGCCCAGGCTGGAGTGCAATGGCGTGTCCTCACCTCACTGCAACCTCCACCTCCCAGGTTCAAGTGATTCTCCTGCCTCAGCCTCCTGAGTAGCTGGGGGCATGCTACCATGCCCGGCTAATTTTTTGTATTTTTAGTAGAGATGGGGTTTCACCATGTTGGCCAGGCTGGTCTCGAACTCCTGACCTCAGGTGATCGACCCGCCTTGGCCTCCCAAAGTGCTGGGATTACAGGCGTGAGCCACCGTGCCTGGCTTCCCCTCAGTTTTCTGCACCTTGCTTTTTCTACTTAGCAACACATCCTGAAGATCATGCTGTGTCAACCTATTGGTGCTTCTGTGTCTTTTTTTTTTCTTTTCTTTTCTTTTGAGACGGTGTTGTGCTCTGTTGCCCAGGCTAGAGTGCAGTGGCATGATCATGGCTCATTACAGCCTCGACCTCACAGATTGAAGCGATCCTCCCACCTCAGCCTCCCGAGTAGCTGGGACTATAGGCATACACCACATGCCCAGCTAATTTTTTTTTTTTTTGGTAGAGATGGGGTTTTGCCTTGTTGCCCAGGCTGGTCTCAAACACCTAGGCTCAAGTGATCCGCCTGCCCTGGCCTCCCAAAGTGCTGGGATTACAGGCATGAGCCATTGTACCTGGCCGGTTTTTTCTTATTAATTTTTAGGAACTTTTTTTTTTTTTTTTTTTTTTTTTGAGACAGAGTCTCACTCTGTCGCCCAGGCTGGAATGCAGTGGCACAGTCTTGGCTCACTGCAACTTCTGCCTCTGGGCTCAAACTATTCTCCTGCCTCAGCCTCTTGAATAACTGGGACTACAGGCACCCGCAACCACACTCAGCTAATTTTTTTGTATTTTAAGTAAAGACAGGGTTTCACCATATTGGCCAGGCTGGTCTCAAACTCCTGACCTCAGGTGATCCACCCACCTTGGCCTCCCAAAGTGCTGGGATTACAGATATGAGCCACTGCACCTGACCAAGAAATTAGCTCTTTGTGATATGATTTACAACTATTTCTTCCTGTTTGTCATTTGTCTTTTGACTTTCCTTATGGTTTTTGTTTTTTTTTTTTTTTTGAGATGGAGTCTCGCTCTGTCGCCCAACCTGGAATGCAGTGGCGTGATCTCGGCTCACTGCAACTCCGCCTCCCGGGTTCACGCCATTCTCCTGCCTCAGCCTCCTGAGTAGCTGGGACTACAGGTGCCCGCCACCACGCCCAGCTAATTTTTTGTATTTTTAGTAGAGACGGGGTTTCACCGTGTTAGCTAGGATGGTCTCGATCTCCTGACCTCTTGATCCACCCGCCTCGGCCTCCCAAAGTGCTGGGATTATAGGTGTGAGCCAGCATGCCCGGCCGACTTTCCTTATAGTTTTTTGTAGGTATTTTGTTATTTTTAAGAAATCAAGCTTAGTCCATTTAGGCTGCTGCAACAAAATACCTTAGACTGGGGAATTTATAAACAGTAGAAATGGGCTGGGCGCGGTGGCTCACACCTGTAATCCCAGCACTTTGGGAGGCTGAGATGAGTGGATCACCTAAGGTCGGGAGTTCGAGACCAGCCTGGCCAACATGGTGAAACCTCGTCTCTACTAAAAATACAAAAATTAGCCGGGTGTGGTGACGCATGCCTGTAGTTCCAGCTACTCGGGAGGCTGAGGCAGGAGAATTGCTTGAACCCGGGAGGTGGAGGTTGCGGTGAGCTGAGATCGCACCACTGCACTCCAGCCTGGGTGACAGAGTGAGACTCCGTAAAAAAAACAAAACAAAACAAAAAAAACAGCAGAAATGTATTGCTCACAGTTCTGGAAGCTGGCAAGTATAACATCAAGGCATCAGCAGATATGGGCTAGTAAGGGTTTGCCCTCCGCTTCAGAGGTGGTGCCTTCTAGTTGTGTCCTCACACAGCAGAAGTGCAATAAACTAACGAGCTCCCTCAGGCCCCTTTTATAGGGCACTAATCCCATCCCTGAGGGTAAAGCCTTCAAGACCTGTCACCTCTCAAAGGCCTCACCTCTTCATAGCATCACCATGGGGGTTAGCTTTCAACATATGAATTTTGGGGAGACACTGATATTCAGACCATAGCACAAGTTTATCGGTATTCTTTTTCTTAGTTTCTGGATTTTGTGTCATCATTTCCCCTAGTTGAATTCACTCTTTACGTTTAGGATTAAGCTGACATCTTCACTTACCTGATGGCTGTGAGGAGCTGAAGCCCATCCAGAGAGGCTTAAGCATAGGGGTCTCTTACATGGATTCTGAAGGTCCCATAGAGCAGCACGTCCCATCCTGTGCTGTGCACACAAATCACCAGGGGTCTTTTTAGAATGCAGATGGCCGGTAACAATAGCTCGTGCCTATAATCCCAGTACTTTGGGAGGCTGAGGCGGGCAGATCACTTGAGGCCAGGAGTTCGAGACCAGCCTGGCCATTGTGGTGAAACCCCATCTCTACTAAAAATACAAAAATTAGCCAGCCATGGTGGTGCATGCCTGTGCACGCCTGTAATCCCAGCTACTTGGGAGGCTGAGGTGTGAGAATTGCTTAAACCAGGGAGGTGGAGGTTGCAGTGAGCCAAGCTTGCACCACTGCACTCCAGCCTGGGCAACGAAGAGAAACTGTCTAAAAAAAAAAAAAAAAAAAAAAAAAAAGTAGATACTGATGGAGCCTGAGATTCTATATTTTGAATAAACTCCCAGATGATGTCCATGCTGCTAGTCCAGGACCACACTTGGGGTAGCACACTTAGAGGCTTTACCTTAGAACCTGCTCTTTATTAGGTTGAAGACGTTCTTTTCTGTTCCTATTCATTGAGTGTGTATTTTTTTTCTCAATCATGAAGGGAATATTGGAACCGTTATCTTTTTGCATACTGCCTCCCTTTTCTTTCTATTCTCATTCCCAGGACTCTGATTAGATGTATTTTATTTCATTCTGTCCTCTGTATCTCTTAAAATATCTTATGTTTCTTCCAGCTCCTCATTTCTCTATGCTGTAATTTAGGTAACTTTTTTTTTTAGACGGAGTTTTGCTCTTTCACCCTGGCTGGAGTGAAGTGGCGCAATCTCGGCTTACGGCAGCCTCTGCCCCCTGGGTTGTAAGTGATTCTCCTGCCTCAGCCTCCCAAGTAGCTGGGATTATAGGCATGCGCCACCATGCCTGGCTAATTTTTGTATTTTTAATACAGACAGGGTTTCACCGTGTTGGCCAGCCTGGTCTTGAACTCCTGACCTCGTGATCCACCCGCCTTGGCTTCCCAAAGTGCTGGGATTAGAGGCATGAGCCACTGTGCCCAGCCTGGGTAACTTCTTTTTTTTTCCCCCACAAGATGGAGTCTTCCTCTGTCACCTAGGCTGGAGTGCAATGGTGTGATCTTGGCTCACTGCAACCTCTGCCTCCCAGGTTTAAGCGATTCTCCTTCCTCGGCCTCCTGAGTAGCTGGGATTATAGGCATGCGCCACCACTACCGGCTAATTTTGTATTTTTAGTAGAGATGGGATTTTTCCTGTTGGTCAGGCTGGTCTCGAACTCCCGACCTCGGGTGATCCACCCGCCTCGACCTCCCAAAGTGCTGGGATTACAGGCATGAGCCATCGTGCCTGGCATTCTTTTTCTTTTTAATTAAAAACAATTTTTTAAAAATAGAGACTGGGTCTCCCTATGTTGCTCAGGCTGGTCTTCAGTTCCTAGACTCAAGGGATCCTCCTGCCTGGGCCTTCCAAAGTGCTGGGATTACAGGCATGAGCCACTGCACCCAGCCTTTTTTTTTTTTTTTTGACAAGGTCTTGCTCTGTCACCCAAGCTGGAGGGAGTGCAGTGACACGATCATAGCTCACTGCAGTCTTGATATCCTGGGCTCAAGCAATCATCTCACCTCAGCTTCCCAAAGTGCTGGGATCATGGGCGTGAGCCCCTGTGCCCAGATAGTTATTTTAAATAAATTCTTATTTTATGCTTTTTAAAAGGCTTTATTGAGACAGAATTTGCATACCATACAATTCACCCATTTAAAATGTGCAACTCGCCAGTCACGGTGGCTCACGCCTGTAATCCCAGCACTTTGGGAGACTGAGGTGGGTGGATCACTTAAGGTGAGGAGTTCAGGACCAGCCTGGCTAACATGGTAAAACCCTGTCTTTACTAAAAACACAAAAACTAGCCGGGGATGGTGGTGCACACGTGTAATCACAGCTACTCAGGAGGCTGAGGCAGGAGAATCGCTTGAACCCGGGAGGCAGAGGTTGTAGTGAGCCGAGATTGCGCCACTGTACTCCGGCCTGGGTGACAGAGCGAGACTCCATCTCAAAAAAAAAAAAAATTCTAAATCATTAAGCAGAGGAGTCCTGTATTTCTACAGGTCAAAATTCTATTCTCTCATTCCCCAATCTCTATAATTCTCTGTGTTGGCCATTTTTAATGTTTAAGATATGCCCATGCACAGACTTTTTATGCAAATGTTATACTCGAACCATTCCATGTTCTTTCAATTCTATGTTTTAGTTATTTAAATATATACTTTTATATAGGAAACATATAGATCAGATTTTTCATGGTCAAAATCTGTTTCCTGTTTTACTGAGTCTCATGGTGGCTTGACAGTGGCGTGTGTATGTGTGTGTGTTTGTGTGTGTATTGAAATCGTGACCTTGTGTTTGATTGAACTTAAGCTCAAGGAGACCTGAACACATAAATAGAAATTATTTTCCCCCTGAAAAGGTTTGCACTTGCTTTCTGCAGTTACCCATGGGGCATTACCAACCCAGGACCATTTTAACCCTCTTCAAGAATTCCAGTTTAATATGGGAGCTTCAATTCAGACTCCTACTTTGTGGGGAACCTAAGATTCCATGTTCCAAGCTAGTTTTAGCGTTTGCTGGCTTACAGCCCACTGTTTCTGTTTCAGCCTACAGTTTTCACCTGCTTTCTAAGAGCCTAGTGATGCATTAAAAAGGTATAATTTGTGAACATCTGATTGATTGCAGTGGCAAAGAGAGGGCCCTTCTGAATACCTGGCCCCTAACTCCTCTGGAGATAGAACCCTCTTCTTTTCTTTCTGAACCTATTCCCTATCAGAAACTCCCAAGAATGCCCTTGAAACCTATATGCCTCCTTTCAAATATGCCTGCCAGACTGTTTTAAAATAGTTTTACACACTTTCTTTAGGATAAAAGAATGAAAGAGTTTGAATGGATGTTATTTCTCAGAGAATTGGGGCTACTCAGAAGGAATCCTTGTCCACAACCCATGATGTTTGCAGGAGGAATGATAGGGTGAATGTGAGTGGCCTGGTCTGAGTCCCTGCTATGTCTGTCCCTCCTAATAAGTTCCTGTTTTCTCTTCCCTCTGTGTCCAGCATAATTACTTGAAAACCATGATGGGCCTCCAGCAGGCACATAGAAAATAGAACCTCATCGCCAGTACCTTAAAGGACAAGACCAGCAACTCCCACCTACTGTAGTGGAGCTGCTCAACCACCTGCCCAGAGCTGCAGCCCCCTCTACTCCAATGCTGGGACCCAGCACAGAGAACACATTTGGCCTGCATGTTGGGAGGAGCATCCTCCAAGGACAACCTTGCTCATCTCCACAGAGCACTTTGGGTTTTAATTCACTGTCTTATATGCAGGGACAGGATAAAATAACTTTCTAGTTTGGACTTTCAGTGCTCATCTGAGAACTTTGTCTTATTTCCTGTCTGAAAGGACATATTCTCTATGTATGTGTGAGGTCAGAACTGAGTCTCAAGTAGGAAGGCAGAAAAGTAGCTCAGCCAGGCTCCTCCTGGCAGGCCTTTGTCACACTGGTCAGCCCCTTTCCTGGATAGACATCCTAGGGTGGGGGTGGTGAGCTCGGTCTGAGGAGCTCTGCTTCTCACAGCTCCCTCAGACCCTAAGTTCTCTCAAGACATCTTTTCTGTGTTTCTGAGCCAGTGAAGAAGACAGGAGGAGGCCCTCCTTCATTTGGCAACCAGGGGAGGATAAGGTCTAGCCACAGAGACCAGAAAGGGATGAGGCAGAGCTGGCTCCATGTACCAGGGAATAAATGAGCAGCTTCTGGGAGACATGTCCTCTGCATGTTTCCAGAACACCACGGCCTTCCCTACGCAGCATGCACGGCCACCAGGCACCAGGGTGCCTCCCCTCCCCGCTTTCTCTCTCCGTGTAGGCTGCACTGAGCAGAAGTGAAAGTGAACGATTTACCCTGAATAGGAACTGGGATCACTGTCAAGGCTGAGCAGGGAAGAGAGAAGATATCACTCTCTATCAAGTTACCAGGCTGCAGCTTGGGCCCTTGGTGGTGGCACCAAAGGGAAAGAGTTCATTACTTTGCTCAGAGAACAAACTCAGGCCCTCTGGGGCCTTCCAGGCTGACTGATACGCCCCTGGGTTGGTAAACCAAGTCTCCACTGAGCGAAAAGTTTCAGTGCTTCCTTGGAATTGTATCTCACCCCCTCTTCTGTTCTTATGGGTCAAGGCCTTGGCCTGACACTCTGTGGGTGCTCCCCCGTCTGACACCCTCATCAGGGCCTTGAGGTTTCTGTTATTCTTCCAACAGTGGGAGAGGAGGTTCTGCTCACCTGGCAGTCCTGTCATGGGAAGCTGTGAGAGAAAAATACATCACTTCTGATGGGTGATATCTAGCTCTGGGACCACTTTGTATGAGGAAAGATGGAAGGAACTAGGTCTGCTTACCTGAAGAGGAAGAGAAATGTGACAGAGGCCATGAGGGGCTGCCAGGTAGAAGGGAAAGCAAGAGGATGTGGATGTGGGCTGAATGAGTAGCAAACATTTTTCCCAAAGGTTTTGTTGTTATTGTTGTTGTTTTTGAGACAGGGTGTCACTCTGTCATCCAGGCTGGAGTGCAGTGGTGCCATCACAGCTCCTTGCAGCCTCAACCTCCTGGGCTCAATCCTCCCACCCCAGCCTCCTGAGTAGCTGGGACTACAGGTGCGCACCACCATGCCTGGCTAGTTTTTTAAATTTTTTCTGGAGATGGAGTCTCACTATGTTGTCCAGAATGGTCTTGAAACTTCTGGGCTCAAACGATCCTCCCACCTCAGCCTCCCAAAGTGCCAAGGGATTACAGGT
Organism: Homo sapiens; assembly: GCF_000001405.40. Classification (NCBI taxonomy): domain Eukaryota; kingdom Metazoa; phylum Chordata; class Mammalia; order Primates; family Hominidae; genus Homo; species Homo sapiens. Next base: position 47,226,968 of record NC_000003.12, on the reverse strand, counting down.
GTGAGCCACCTCTCCTGGCTAAGATTGTTATCTCAAAATAAGAAGAGGCTTAAAATGAGAGCAGTCCTGGCATGAAGTCATTAGTGAGGGCCCTGCAGCAGTAGGCTGTCTGGCAAGGAGGTTGCACCTGGTTGAAGGTTGAACTGGATAGTATCTATCCAATCAAAAACCCTGTGATTCTGCTCTTCAGCCCATCAGCAGATGGACATGGATTTTGTTGAAGAAAGTGATAGGATTGCCTTGGGGGCTCTGCCCTCTCCCTCCTCCAGCTCCTTTCTCTTCCCCTGACTGATGCTTCCAGGAGTCGATGCTTCCAGTATGGCAGGAAGGTAGGGGTGTTGTGTTCATTCAGATGGGTCTGTCATTCCAGAAAATAGTTCCTGCTGAGTTAATTTGCCAGCCAAGTCACCCCTGGAGGGACTTCCAGTTGCAACAATGTGACAGGTGAGATAATCTGAAAACATTCCTGCTACAAATAGAGGTGCTGACTAAAATATAACATTCTTTTAAATACAGTTGACCCTTGAGGCCACATGTGGTGGTTCATGCCTGTAATCCCAGCACTTTGGGAGGCTGAGGCAGGTAGATCACTTGAGGCCAGGAGTTTGAGACCAGCCTGGCAAACATGGCAAAAACCTGTCTCTACTAAAAATACAAAAATTAGCCGGGTGTGGTGGTGCACACCTGTAATCCCAGCTACTTGGGAGGCTGAGACACAAGAATTGCTTGAACCTGGGAGGCGAAGGCTGCAGTGAGCTGAGATCATGCTGCCGCACTCCAGCCTGGGGAACAGAGATTCTGTCTCAAAAAAAAAGAAAAAGAGAAAAGAAATACAGTTGACCCTTGAACAACACGGGTTTGAAATGCACAAGTCTACTTATACATGGGATTTTTTCAACCAAAGGTGGATTGAAAATACAGTATTCAAGGGATGCAAAATCTGCATATGTGGAGAGTCAACTTTTTGTATGTGCAGGTTCCGCAGGACTGAGTGCAGGACTTATGTGTGGATTTTGGCATATGGAAGGGGCCCTGGAGCCAATCCCACATGTATACCAAGGGACGACTGTACAAAGTAAGATTTGCAAGCAAGAAAGGGAACTGTCAGGAGCTGAACATAAAGGAGGAACTGAAAACCTGAGTGGTCAGCGTGTGAACTGGCTATGTCTTCTAGGGACTAGGAGAAGGTATGTGAGCGGATTGTTACTTTTGAAGGTTAAATGTCCACATAAGTATGAGAAATAAGACGTCAGTTCATGCCATATAGGAAGCTGGAAATGGGACTGCCTGAATAAAGATGGCACCCTGAAGGCTTCATCACTGGTGAAGAGGTGAGCTAGAAAACCGAATGTCTAATTGTCTCCCTAAACATACTTTACCCATAACCTTCCTTAGCCTAATTGCTCAGGCTAAAATCCTTAGTTTTGTACTTCATTCCTCTCTTCTCTCAGACCTCACACTGAATCTATCCAGAAATTCAGTAGGCTTTACCTTCCTCCTATATTCAAAATCTGACCATTTCTCACCACTTCTTGCCTGGATATTGCAACAGCTTCCTGTCTCCTGGCTTCTCCTTTTGCTCTCTATTTCCAGAACAGCAGCCTGGCTGAACCTTTTTTTTTTTTTTTTTCCTCATGCTGGAGAGCAGTGGCATGATCCTAGCTCACTGCATCCTCGAACTCCTGGGTTAAAACAATCCTCCCATGTCAGCCTCCAGAGTAGGTAGGATTACAAGCCACCAGGTCTAGCCCTGGTTGACCTTCTGAAATATGTTAGATCACATTACACCTCTTCTCAAATTTTTAATGGTTTCCTATTTTGCTCAGAGTGAAACCCAAGTCCTTAAAACATCCCACAAGATCCTATATAATCGTGACTTCTATGATTTCTCTACTCTTGTCTCATCTACTGTCCCCTTGCTCACTCTACTCCAGCCACATGGGCTTCCTTACTTTTCCTCCCAACATGCCAGACAGACAGCTCCTGCTTCCAGGCCTTTGCAATGGCTGTTTCCTCTGCCTAAAACATTCTTTCCCTACATGTCCACATGATTCACTTTCCTAAGTCCTTGCTTAAATGTCACTTTTTTCTTTTCTTTTTTTTTTTTGAGTCGGAGTCTCGCTGTGTCTCCCAGGCTGGAGTGCAATGGTACAATCTTGGCTCACTGCAACCTCCGCCTCCCAGCTTCAAGCGATTCTCCTGCCTCAGCCTTCCAAGTAGCTGGGATTACAGGCACGTGCCACCACACCCAGCAAACTTTTGTATTTGTAGTAGAGATGGGGTTTCACTATATTGGCCAGGCTGGTCTCTTGGCCAGGCTGGTCTCAATCACCTGACCTCGTGATCCGCCTGCCTCGGCCTCCCAAAGTGCTGGGATTACAGGCGTGAATCACCACGCCCGGCCCTTTTTTGAGACAGAGTTTCACTCTCTTGACAGGCTGGAGTGCAGTGGTGCGATCTCTGTTCACTGCAACCTCTGCCTCCTGAGTTCAAGCAATTCTCACACCTCAGCCTCCAAGTAGCTGGGATTACAGGCGCGCACCACCACGCCCAGCTAATTTTTTTTTTGTATTTTTTTTTTTTTTTTTTTTTAGTAGAGACGGGGTTTTTCACCATGTTGGCCAGGCTGGTCTCAAACTCCTGACCTCGAGTGGTCTGCCTGCATCAGCCTCCCAAAATGCTGGGATTATAGGCATGAGCCACCACACCCGGCTTTAAATGTCACATTCTGTAGCAGATGCTGTCATGCCTTGACACAGTCCCTTGCACTTGCCATTCCTGCTAATGGCTTCCTAGTGAAAGCATCTGCAACTTTCCACATAAAGGCTTTGTCTACATAGGTGTTCATCTGCTTCAGGGTAGTTCCAAATGCCAGGGAGTTAACGACACCTTTAGGAGCAACCCTCAACCAATAAATCAGTGGATTATTATCTCAACTTTCTCCCCTTTGGGTAGAACAACTCCTCTGGGCATGTTTTCCACTAAATGGAACTTTCCCAGGACTTCCCAGCATAAACACACAAATTCACACATACACGAATGGAGCCAAAGAAAAAAATAGTTGATATATTGTTTGTGGGCTTGTCAATGAAATGATAACATCTTAAAATACTTAGGCTAGGCACAGTGACTCATGACTGTAATACTGGCACTTTGAGTGGCTGAGGTAGGAGGATTGCTTGAGCCCAGAAGTTCGAGACCAGCCTGGGCAACATGGCAAAATCCCATGTCTATAAAAATAAAATAAAAAATTAGCTGGGCATGGTGGCACTCCAACCTGACAACAGAGTGAGACCCTGTCTATATATATATATGTAAATGGAATTTGAGGAGAAAAGTAAAAATAAGAAAACAAAAAAGAAGCATAAAAAAGAATATATGTATGATATATATAACATTATTTTAACAGCTTTAATTTTTTTTTAATGGGCTCAAGCAATCATCCCACTAAAAATCCTGGCTAATTTTTTTTTTTTTAACTTTCTATAGAGACAAGTTCTCACTATATTGCCCAGGTTGGTCTTGAACTCCTGGGCTCAAGTGATCCTCCTGCCTTGGCCTCCCAAAGTGCTGGGATTATAGGCATGAGCCACTGCACCTGGCCTATATTTTTAATAATATATATTATAAAAGTGTAATGAAAAGGATACAATTGAATCAGTATAGCACCCAAAGTTTCTTTCTAGAGGTCTGAGATTCAAGGTAGGACAAAAAGCTCTGGAGAGTCCCTCCTATGTTCCATTATCTTTAATCCAAAGAGCTCAGATACCTCTATTGCTATTTCCTCTGGCACTGCAGGGAAGTTCCAATCCACCTGGTCCGCACTAGTTGGGCCCAGGGAGTATCGGTCTGGGCTTGATTGTTGGTCAGTGGATTGCACTTTTATGAAGCAATACAAAATAGGGACAGATCACAGGCTTTGGGCCAGAGACACCTGAGTTTAGATTGGGATTCTGTATCTTACTGACATTTGACATTGAGTAAGTTGTCTAATTTCTCTGCCTTCCTTTCCTTGTGTATAGAACCATGATCACTGTAGGGCTTTGTGGAATGATGTGAAGTGCACAGCAGGTCCTCAACCAATTGAAACAGCCATGACAGTAACAATAACTATGAAAATAAAGATGCGAATGTACCCAGCATTATGTTTGATAGGTGATTAGCTTGTACACACACACACGCACATACATATACATGCATGCACACATACAACCAATGTTAGTCTCCCTCTCCACTCCCCAAAATGGATTTTGGATTTGAAGAGGCAGCATTTGGGCCAATATTATCTCTCTCCAATTAATGCTGACTGTCATGGCATTTTAAGACCAATCTCTGGCCGGGCACGGTGGCTCACACCTGTAATCCCAGCACTTTGGGAGGCCGAGGCAGGCGGATCACTTGACGCCAGGAGTTCGAGACCAGCCTGGCCAACATGGTAAAACCCCATCTCTACTAAAAATTTTAAAAAATTAGCTGGGTGTTACAGCTGGGTGAAACAGTGAGACCCTGTCTCAAAAAATTAAAAAAAAAAAAGGGCAAACCAATAATCTAAGGGCAAATTCTTATGCCAAACCTTATTTTAAGATTGGACTCTGGGCCAGGCACGGTGGCTCATGCCTGTAATCCCAGGACTTTGTGAGGCCAAGGTGGGCAGATCACTTGAGGTAAGGAGTTCAACACCAGCCAGGCATGGTGGTAGATGCCTCTAATCCCAGCTACTCCGAAGGCTGAGGCAGGAGAATCGCTTGAACCTGGGAAGTGGAGTTGCAGCGAGCCAAGATTGTACCACTGCACTCCAGCCTGAGCAACAAAGAAAGACTCTAAAAAAAAAAAAAAAAAAAAAAAAGACTGGGCTCTGAATAAAGTGAAAAAGAAAACGTGTTATGTACACACACACAACAAAGAAAAAGGGAGGTGCATTTTTGAGCTCTGAGACAGCTGTTCTTAACCCTGGCTGCATATTATGATCAACTGGAGTGCTTTTATAAAATCCTGATGCCTAGGCCACATGTTAGATAAATTAAATCAGAGCCTCTGGGACCTGAGCCTCAGTATGTTTTAAAAGCTCCCCAAGTGACTCTAATGTGCACACTGAGTTGAAAACACCCTTGGCCCCTGCCCCATAGAAGGAAACTTGTATATATATTTGTTCTTCACCTTTGGCATGCACTGTTTACCTGATTAATATGTTGATGAGCCGTTAACCTTAATTAGCAACTATTTCTTTTCTTCTCTTTTCTTTTCTTTTTTTTTTTTTTTTTTTTGAGATGGAGTTTCTCTTTTGTTGCCCAGGCTAGAGTGCAATGGCATGATCTCGACTTGCTGCAACCTCTGCCTCCCAGGTTCAAGCGATTCTCCTGCCTCAGCCTCCTGAGTAGCTGGGATTACAGGCATGTGCCACCACGCCTGGCTAATTTTGTGTTTTCAGTAGAGATGGGGTTTCTCCATGTTGGTCAGGCTGGTCTCAAACTCCCGACCTAAGGTGATCCGCCCGCCTCAGCCTCTCAAAGTGCTGGGATTACAGGCATGAGCCACCACACCCGGCCAATTGGCAACTATTTCATAACACGTACTCTCTTAAAAACAAGCACAGAAGCTTCTCTACTTATAACCTTTCAATTCATAAACTTCCATAGTTTCTTATTATAAAGCTCTGAATAGTCCAAGGTGATATCTGGGTGGTAGCTATGTTGTACATGCTCCACAGGTGATTCTGATTTGCAGTCAATATTGAGAGACAGGCTGGGTGCGGTAGCTCATGCCTATCATCCCGACACTTTGGGAGGCTGAGGCCAGGAGGGTCACTTGAGGCCAGAAGTTCAAGACCAGCCTGGTCAACCTAGTGAGACTCCCCGTCTCTTAAAATATATATATATTGAGAGACATTGCAATAGGTGCTCAATAAACATTTAGATGGATGACTATGGATGAATAGATGGGTGGATCACTGGACAAGGTAGAGCAGGGGTTCTCAACCTTGGTACCATGGACATTTTAGGCCAAATAATTATTTGTTGTTGGGGTAGGGGTGCTGTTCTATGTGTTAAATGGGAGGTTTAGCAGCATCTCTGGCCTTTACCCACTAGATGCCAGTAGCATCCCCCAAACCCCCTACTGTCCATTATGACAGCCAAAAATATCTCTACACGTTTCCAAATATCCCCAGGGAGCAAAATTGCCCCGATTGAGAACCACTTGGATAGATTAATGAAGAGGTAAACAGATCAATGGATGAATGGACGGACAGGTGGTTGGATAGAAGGATCGATGGATGGATGGCTGAATGGATGGATTATATAGGTTGATGGATTGATGAATGGTGGTTGGATGGGGTAGATTAGTGTTGAGTTGATGAATGAGTGGGTGGAAAAATAGATGAATGGCTACGTGGATGAGCGAGTGGGCAAGTGGATGAGTGAGTGGAAGGGTGGATGGATGAAAGATCAGGCCTCGGCCAGGCGGGGTGGCTCACTCCTATAATCCCAGCACTTCGGGAAGCCGAGGTGGGTAGATCATTTGAGGTCAGGAGTTCATGACCAGCCTGGCCAGCATAGTGAAACCCCCATCTCTACTAAAAATACAAAAATTAGCCAGGCGTGGTGGCAGGCGCCTGTAGGCTGAAGCAGGAGAATCACTTAAACCCAGGAGGCGGAGGTTGCAGTGAGCCGAGATAGTACCATTACACTCCAGCCTGAGTGACAGAGCAAGACTCTGTCTCAAAAAAGAAAAAAAAAGAAGAAAAAGAAAAAAAGGAAGATCAGGCCTCATAAACCTAACTGAATGTCTTTGATCCTGAAGTTTTGACTTTGAGGACATTCTTTGCTCTTTGTCCATAACATAGCATAACATGGAGAGTAAATATTTGGCATACAAAATAATTGGAAGGGTAAAATAGGGCTAAATTTAAAATTTCAGACCTTGACATCATGCTATGATGTCACCTTTGGTCAAATCTGATCCAGGAAAAAGCAGACTTGGTAAACCTAACTGAGATAAAATAAAACCAATTATAGCTAAAACTGACCATAGTAAGTTGTTACTAACTGAAAATTGACAAAAAAATAAAATTTCACCACAACATCAAAATATAAAAATTTGACCCAAGAAAACTAGATTTGATAGCAATAAATGCCACAAAATAAAATTCAGATTGAGAAAAGCTATAGTTATATTTAGTATAAAAATGGTCAAAGATTTAAATATTTTAAAATAAAATGTACAATAATAACCTCAATAAAATAGTGTTTAAATATTTGGGTTTTTTCAAATTATTATTTTTGAAAATAAATTTTAAATGAAAAAAATCACTTTAGTAATAATGTGTAGAAAATGTGTGAAGGGATTAAACAGACTTAGTGGAGCCTGCTCAAGAAATATTTTCCCAAATTTATCATTGTCGATATGATCCTGATTAAAATATCTGTATTTCCAAACAGAGTCAAAACATCTGGCTGGTAAAATAATAACAATAATGAGATCAGAAGTTTATCTGGGTAAGAAAAAAAAAGTTTCTCTGGGTAAAATCCAGCTATTGTCTAGCCATTGGGCCTGATGTTCAGAAACAGCTCCCTGACTTTTTTGCAGGTCATTGTTTTTCCGGTTGCTTGGATTTTTTTTTTTTTTTTTTTTTTGAGACGGAGTTTTTGCTCTTGTTGCCCAGGTTGTAGTGCAATGGCGTGATCTTGACTCACCGCAACCTCCAGCTCCTGGGTTCAAGTGATTCTCCTGCCTCAGCCTCCCGAGTAGCTGGGATTACAGGCATGCACCACCACGCCCAGCTAATTTTTTTGTGATTTTAGTAGAGACGGGGTTTCTCCATGTTGGTCAGGCTGGTCTCCAACTCCCGACCTCAGGTGATCCGCCCGCCTCAGCCTCTCAAAGTGCTGGGATTACAGGCGTGAGCCACTGCGCCTGGCCTCTTTTCTTTCTTTTTTAATGAAAATATAGGTTTCTGTAAATATAAAGATTTATAGAAGATAAGTTTGCCCAGAGTGTAGGGAAAAACTGTGAAAGACTTTAAAATGCAACAAAAGATGAAATCTGGTGTCTTCAATAGACAACAACAAGGTGGTATCTAGCAGCCCCTTCCCAATTATGGGATTTTTTTTTTTTTTTTTTTTTGAGACGGAGTCTCACTCTGTCCCCCAGGCTGGAGTGCAGTGGCACGATCTTGGCTCACTGCAGCCTCCACCTCCCAGGTTTAAGCGATTCTCATGCTTCAGCTGGGATCCCAAAGTGCTGGGATTACAGGAGTGAGCCACCGCGCCCAGCCCAGTTATGGGATTCTAAGGGGGCTCTGGCCTTTCATTGTCTTTCGAGTTATTTTCAGTCCAGTAAATTGTAGATAATGGATAGAAATGCAAATGTAATTGCCCCTAGACTTCAAATTCTCTTTCCCCACCCAACCCCTTTTTAAAAAAGGCCAGTTTTACATCTATTTGTAAATTCATTTCAGCATTCCTGACCTATATAAGTATGGTACTTTATTATTTTTTAATTTTTAAAATTGATATCTAGTAGTTGTATGTATTTTGTGGTATATGTGATATTTTGATACATGTATACAATGTATAATGATCAAATCAGGATAATTGGGATATTCATTACCTCTAACATTTATCATGTAAGTGTGGTACTTTATATTCTCCTTTGAACTTGTAAAATCTTACTGGTTCCCTCATTAATTAATGAGTTAAATAAAATTATTGGCTGGGCGCTGGTGGCTCATGCCTGTAATCCCAGCGCTTTGGGAGGCCGAAGTGGGAGGATTACTTGAGGTCAGGAGTTCAAGACCAGTCTGGCCAACATGGTGAAACTCCGTCTCTACTAAAAATACAAAAATTAGCTGGGTGGGATGGTGGCCACCTGTAATTCCAGCTACTCTGGAGGCTGAGGCAGGAGAATCACTTGAACCTGGGAGACGGAGATTGCAGTGAGCTGAGATGGCACCACTGCACTCCAGCCTGGGCGACAGAGCAAGACTCTGTCTCAAAAAAAATAAATAAAAATAAAATAAATAAATAATAATAAATAAAATATTTGCTACATATTCATTTTAACATATGTATGTCAGTCACAATGACAACTTGTTTGAAAAGTTATCCTTTAATAAAAAATACACAGGCATTATTTTTCACTGTTGGAGACAGCATCAATTGGTTCATGTTTTCTGGAGAACAATTAAGTAGTGTATCACCAGAGGCTTGAAAATGTATATATTGGGCCTGGTGCAGTGGCTCATGCCTGTAATCCCAGCACTTTGGGAGGCCGAGCCTGGTGGATCACGAGATCAGGAGATCGAGACCATCCTGGCTAACACGATGAAACCCCATCTCTATTAAAAATACAAAAAATTAGCCAGGGGTGGTGGCATGCACCTGTAGTCCCAGCTACTCAGGAGGCTGAGGCAGGAGAATTGCTTGAACCTGGAGGCAGAGTTTGCAGTGAGCCAAGATCGTGACACTGCATTCCAGCCTGGGTGACAGAGCCAGACTCCGTCTCAAAAAAAAAAAAAAAAACCAAAAAATGTATATATTGGTACATACTTTAGTACACACTTTTTGGATAAAACTTGGCAATACCTTTCAGAATTTTAATTGTCTATACTAGTGGTGTTTCATAAACACATTTTGTTCAAATGTAAATTTTTAATAGTTTTATATTATTCAGATCCCACTGCCGGGTGCAGTGGCTCATGCCTATAATCCCAACACTTTGGGAGGCCAAGGCGGGCGGATCACTTGAGGTGAGGAGTTCAAGACCAGCCTGGCCAACATGGTGAAACTCCGTCTCTACCAAAAATATAAAAAATTAGCCAGGTGTGGTGGCATGTGCCTGTAATCCCAGTTACTCGGGAGGCTGAGGCAGGAGAATTGCTTGAACCCCAGAGGCGGATGTTGCAATGAGCCAAGATCGTGCCACTGCACTCCAGCCTACGTGATAGAGGGAGACTCCATCTACAAAAAAAAAAAAAAAAGAAAAGAAAAGAAACTAGTGGTGGCTTATGCCTGTAATCCCAGCACTTTGGGAGGCAGAGGCAGAAGGATTGTTTGAAGCCAGGAGTTCAAGACTAGCCTGAACAACATAGCGAGACCTTGTCTCTCCAGAAATTTTAAAAATAAGAAATTAGCCAGATGCGGTGGCACACACCTGTGATCCTAGCTACTCAGGAGGCTGAGGTGGGAGAATAGCTTGAGCCCAGGAATTCGAGCCCAGCCTGAGCAACATAGAGAGACCCCATTTCTACAAAGTAAAAAGGAATATTAACTCTCCAAAACGCCCCCTGAAAAAACATGTTTGTTAAGTAAAGCTAATTTTATTAAACTTAAGGAGAACACCAATATGAGAAAGTTGTAATTGTTTTTCAGAAGGGGAGAGTTGGGAGGATATTTTTAGGGTTTTAGGGCCTTAACTTGGATATTTTCAGGAGGGTCTTGCAAAGCAGGAAACTGAGATTAGGCAGAATTTATGATATAATAATTTTGGATTGATGGGCACAGTGAGGCAAAAGTCTTTAAGCAGGTCTTGGTGACTTAGCTTTTAGTTTTTTGCTTTTTTTGAGACAGGGTCTCACTCTTGCCCGGGCTGGAGTACAGTGGTGTGAGCCTCAACATCCTGGGCTCGAGTGATTCTCCCACCTCAGCCTCCTGAGTAGCTGGGGCTGCAGGTGCGTGCCACCAAGCCCAGCTAATTTTTGTATCTTTTGTAGAGACGGGGTTTCACCATGTTGTTCAGGCTGGTCTCAAGCAATCTGCCTGCCTCAGCCTCCCAAAGTGCTGGGACTACAGGCATGAGCCACCACACCTAGTCAGCTTCTAGTTTTTATAAATATGCTCTTTTTGCTAGTTCACAGTCTTATCTTCCAGGAACAAGTTTGTTTGTTGTTGTTGTTGTTGTTTTTGAGACAGAGTCTCACTCTTTCGCCCAGGCTGAGGTGCAGTGGCACCATATCAGCTCACTGCAACCTCCGTTTCCTGGGTTCAAGCAGTTCTCCTGCCTCAGCCTCCAGAGTAGCTTGGATTACAGGAGCCCACCACCATGCCCGGATAATTTTTATATTTTTAGTTGAGACAGGGTTTCACCATGTTGGCCAGGCTGGTCTTGAACTCCTGACCTCAGGTGATCCGCCTGCCTCGGCCTCCCAAAGTGCTAGGATTACAGGCATGAGCCACCGTGCCCAGCCTGGAACGAGTATTTCTTAAAGCAAATAGCTAAGTTATTTTTGCTTGTTCTCAGTATTATTTAATGTAAGGACAGGAAAGTATTCCTGGTCCTAGTATTTTCTAACCCAGGGAAAGGAAATTAATGTTGGTATCAGTTCTGTTTGTCAGGTTTCTGCAAACTATTTTTGTTGTGAGAGGAGATTGGTTGTTAGTAAGTCCTGCTGTGGTGGCATAATTACTGAAAGAAAACAGTGATAAGGCTTGTAGTTGTTGTAGTTAACACCTAACGGATGCCATTTTATCTTTCTTGAGCAACTTGTATAAGTGTATGACAAGCCAGTCCCCAAGTCTGTGCAGGTTACATAATGTCTTTGGCTGAAAATAAATTATGAAAGCAGCTCACTCTGTGATTTGACTAGTAATTTTGTTATACCCTGTGGTGCTAAAGGAATTGTCTGAACAACACCTGAAGGGTATAAATAAAACACTGTATGTTTATTATTCCCAAACCCCTCATGGTCTTCACCATGTGTGTGCCATTGTCAAGAATGCTCAACAAGCATTTGTTTTGTTTTGTTTTGTTTTGTTTTACCAACTTTCCATCCTATAAATATTTCCTTAACCAGATTTACTCTGTTCCTGGCTGTGTGAGACCCAGAACTCTCCTGATGACTGTATGAGTTTTCCATTGTTGATGTAACAAGTTATTATAAACTTAGTAGCTTAAAACAACACAAATTTATTATCTTAGGGTCAGAAGTCTGATGTAAGGCTAAAATCAAGGTGGCAACAAGGGAGAATCAATTTCCTGGCCTTTTCCAGCTTTTAGAGGCTGGCCACATCCCTTGGCTCATAGGCCATTTCTTTCATCCTCAAAGCCATCCCTCTGACCATTCTTCCATAGTCATGTCTCCCTCTGACTCTCCTCTTCAGGCTCCTTCTTCTACCTTTTAGAATCCTTGTGATTATATTGGCTCTATCTGCATAATCCAGGATAATTTCTCTGTTTTAAAATCAGTTGGTTAGTAACTTTGATTCTATCTGCAACCTTAATTTGCTTTTGCCCTGTAATCTAACATATTTACAGATTCCAGGTGTTAGGACATGGGCATCTTCGGGGATGAGTGGGGAAGGGCACATTATTCTGCCTATCAAAGTCACCAAGTGACTAGATGGACTTGCTGATGTCCTGGGCTACCACATGGGCACTGATGACAAGGTCAGGAAAACCAGAAATGATTATAAGGTAGCTATTTTGCCGTTTGGCTGAAGTCAAATTCAAATAATAGATTTGGTAGACTACCAAGGCTGAGACTGAAATTCAGTACATCCCTAACACCCTATGACCCAGCAATCCACCGCGAGAAATTTATCCTACAGAATAAATTACTCACACAACCTTGCAAAGTTATACTACAAGAATGTATACTGCCACATGATTTATAAGAGAGAAAAATTGGAGACAAATATCTATCCATAAAGGAACAGTTCACAAAATATGCTACACCTGTATCCTGGAATACTTTGCAACTTAATGAGGTAAATTTAGGCTGGGCACGGTGACTCATGCCTGTAATCCCAGCACTTTGGGAGGCTGAGGCAGGAGGATCACTTGAGATCAGGAGTTCAAGACCAGCCTGACCAACATGGTGAAACCCCATTTCTACTAAAAATACAAAAATGAGCTGAGTGTGGTGGTGGGTGCCTGTAATCCCAGCTACTCAGGAGGCTGAAGCAGGAAAATTGCCTGAACCCGGGAGGCAGAGGTTGCAGTGAGCCGAGATTATACCACTGCACTCCAGCCTGGGCAACAGAGTGAGACTCCATCTCAAAAAAAATTAATTAATTAAATAAAAGGTAAATGTATAATCTATAGGCTAGGAAGATGTTCATGAACTATGGTAGTTTTTAATTAAAAAGCAAGCTATGGAACAATATGCATAGTATGACACCATTTTACCCTTTATTAATGTGTGTGTCATACACATATGTGTGAGTGCACAGAGCAAAAGGGCTGGAAGGATATTGCTCTGGTCAGAATGTTTGTGTCCCCCCACAAATTCATATGTTGAAACATAATCCCCACTGAGGTGGTATTAAGAAGTAGGGCCTTTGAGGGGTCATTAGGTCATGAGGGCTCTATCTCATGAATGAATGATATCAGTGCCCTTGTAATGAGGCCGAGGGAGCGTGTTTACCCTTTCCACCATGTGAGAACACAATGAGAAGGAGCCATCCATGATAAAGAGAGCCCTTACCAGACATTATCCTGACAGGGCCTTGATCTTGCACTTCACAAACTCTGTGTAAGAAATAAATTTCTGTTGTTTATAAGCCACCTAGTCTAAGGGTTTTTTTTGTTTGTTGGTTGGTTTTTAAAGACAGGGTCTTGCTCTGTCACCCAGGCTGGAGTGCAGTGGTGCAATCACAGCTTACTGCTACCTTGATCTCCTGGGCTCAAGCAATCCTCCCACTGCAGCCTCTCTAGTAGCTGGGACTACAGGTGGTCACCACCATGTCTAGCTAATTTTTTTAAATTATAGTCTTTTATTTTTCCACAACAAAAGCCACATTCAAAAACCTGGCTAATTTTTATATATTTTGTAGATACAGGGTTTCAACATGTTGCCCAGGCTGGTCTCAAATTCCTGGGCTCAAGAGATCTGCCTGCCTCGGCCTCCCAAAGTGCTGGGATTACAGGCATAAGCCACCATATCTGGCCCAGAAATTCTAATTCTAGGAATTGACTAAGGAAAACACTACGATGATGCACTGAGATTTATCTGCAACAATATGCAGCATTATTTATATAAGAGTGAACAATTGTTAGAACCCAAAATGTGGAGGGTGCAACCCAAAATGAGTTGCACATTTATACTATGGAAGAGTATAAATGAAAATAAGCTATTGAAAATAAGATAGATATATTATTAAGCAAAATATATAATAAAACATTATGTATATTGTGTTCCATTTCACTCAAATACATATGCACAAGAAATAAAAAATATCACTCTGCAAATATTTTCAGTAGTTATCTCTGGAGAGTGGGATGTTGGGTGATTTTTTTTTTTTTTTTGGAAGAAGGAGGAGAAAAGAAGTCAGAGGCTCTAGTCATACTCTCTTTTAGGGTTGAACTTCAGAGGATGGTGTATGCAATAAAGGTCCACAGTTTTGGCGGTGGTGTCAGAAGTGCCAGAGTGGGCAGCTCGTCCTAGATTCCCTGGAGCTGCCATTAGAGAGCCTGTGGAGCATTCAGTAATAGCCGACTAACATCCCCCTTCCAACTTGTCACCCCTGCCAACGTGGTGCTCTAGCCAACATGGTGTTCCTCCAACATGGTGCCACCACTAATATGGTGCTATATCCAACAGGGGGTTCCCACCACAGTTGTACTCTATCCCCCATGGCACTAGACTCAACGTGACGTCAGGACCAACATGACCTGAGCCATAGAGTGCCTGTGCCTGAGGAAGGCTATCAGGCAGCAGAGTCTGAGGTCAGCCTCACTGACTAGTGTATCCCAGTGAGGTGCCAGAACAGGGGTAGACTCCAAGTGGTCTGAACAAGTAAGAACCATTCACCTTTCCTGTTCAGGTTTCCTTACTCAGGTTCAAAAATAGAGTTTTGCACACATTTGATTTGTGGTTGTTGAATTTATACCTACTATATTTCCCATTGCACCAGCATTGGCTGGTTTTCTCACTATGAGAAGGAATGTCAAAACATTTAAGCTTATCAACAGGATCAGGTCCTTGGACCTGCATTCTGCAGATTCATTTTCTGCCCCAGGAGCCTGTTACTTTGGCTTTTTTTTTTTTTTTTTTTTGACAGAGACTTGCTCTGTCACCCAAGCTGGAGTGCAGTGGCACAATCTGGGCTCACTGCAACCTCCACCTCCCAGGTTCAAGCGGTTCTCCTGCTGCAGTCTCCTGAATAGCTGGAATTGCAAGTGCACAACACCACAGACAGCTAATTTTTGGTTTTTAGTAGAGACAGGGTTTCGCCATGTTGGCCAGGCTGGTCTCGAACTCCTGACCTCAAGTGATCCACCCACTTCGGCCTCCCAAAGTGCTGGGATTACAAGCATGAGCCACTGTGCCTGGCCACTTTGGCCTTTCTTGAAGTTTTCCCCTAGAGAGATGTTTTAGGGCTTTTTCCTTCAGAATGCCCTCTTCAGGAATAATTATGACTCTGTTCTTCCTAAATTTACCCGTGTCTTTGGCAGCATTTTGCCACATAGGTTTTTCTATAACTAACCCCCCCTTTTATAATTTTAAGTTCTTTGCCCTTTGAAAGACCTTTTATTTACTAATTAATTTGCAAAGAGTGCTTTAGTTTACTCATTAACAATGACCACTGCTCTTGACAGACTGTATACTCTTATTGTACAATCCATATTTTAACCACATTGAAGAAAATTTAAGAAAAACACAGTCCTCTTATATCTCCCACCTAACACATCAAATTTTTCCAGTTTACCTCGGAACCAAAACAGACTCTGACTTGTTGAAATCAATGTTCTAGCTTTTGTACCTAAAATGCTATTATACACATCTCCACATGGTTTGTCTTCGACATTGCAAGTTCTGTTGATTGCCTGGTATTTCATCACACTGATAAATTAATGTTTTTTTATAAAATTAAAAAAAAATAAAATAGAGACAGGGTCTTGTTATGTTGCCCAGGCTAGTTTCAGACTCCTGGGCTCAAGCAGTCTCTTGCGTCAGCCTCCCAAAGTGCTGGGATTATAGGTGTGAGCCACTGCATCCAGACAATTAGCATCTTTTGAGCCATTTTCCAAGTATAGGCAGTTTGATCCTTTAAAAAGTGCTCTGCAATGGCCTCAATATAGGAAATTAAACAAGGCCACACAGTGACTACAGATTTTTTTTTATTTTTTATTTTTTGAGATGAAGTTTTGCTCTTGTTGCCCAGGCTGGAGTGCAATGGTGTGATCTCAGCTCACCGCAACCTCTGCCTCCCAGGTTCAAGCGATTCTCCTGCCTCAGCCTCCCGAGTAGCTGGGATTATAGGCACGCGCCCTTGCCCGGCTAATTTTGTATTTTTAGTAGAGACAGGGTTTCTCCATGTTGGTCAAGCTGGTCTCTAACTCCCAACCTCAGGTGATCCGCCCGCCTTGGCCTTCCAAAGTGCTGGGATAACAGGCGTGAGCCACCGCACCCAGCGACTACAGATCTTTAAACAAAAAGAGCTCTAAAGGGAAAATCAAATTTTGATTTTACACTATTCAAAAAAATGAAAACTATTAAACTATTAAAACTAAAAAATCATGAAACTGTTAATGAAAAGGTCTCTCTTGTCAACTTCAATGTCAAATAACATTCAACACTAGTAAAAATTAGTGTATGTGCAAACTAGGCATAAATAATAAAAGAAGCTGTGTATGGTTTATTCGTGAAAACCACACACACACACACACACACACACACACACACACACACACACACACATATATATATATATATATATATATGAAAAAAAGAGTGAAACTAAGTTAAAACCTGGGCACTCTGCCCCCAAGATCTGAATTCAGATAAATAAGAGCAGGGTGGTGGGAGAAATGACAATTTTTTTTCAACAATTTTGCCTCTTCCATCCCTTGACTTGCCCTAGAATGCTTACCTCTTATTAGAGAATCACTCGAGAGTGAGCAGAGACAGTATGGGTAAGAAATTCAGTTCTAGATGCTAAAAATGTCTCTCTACATATGTTTAACATAAGCCAAGTCTTTAAATGTGCATTCCTGGAATGAAAAGGAGTATAGTTATTGGCAGTGATTCTTTTAAATATAATTGAAATGTTTTAATGGGACTACTAAATCTTTCCAGGTACATTGGGTAAAGTATCCAGATGAAACTTTTATGTGATTTCTTTCAGTTTGTTGTTCATTATTCAATAAGGTAGTTAAAATCATTCTAAACAAATCATGTCACAAAATATTTATTACAGTAAATTCTTATTTATCTTAAAAATTGTTAAATATTTTCTATCTTCTGTTGATTAGTTTTTAGCAGTAAATATCTTTATCTTTTATTAAATACATTGGAAAATATTACCTAATGAAAATAATGGAGTTAGGCTGGGCGCAGTGGCTCATGCCTGTAATCCCATCACTTTGGGAGGCCGAGGCAGGTGGATCACAAAGTCAGGAGTTCGAGACCAGCCTAGCCAAGATGGTGAAACCCTGTCTCTACTAAAAATACAAAAATTAGCCAGGTGTGGTGGCACATGCCTGTAATCCCAGCCACTTGTGAGGCTGAGGCAGGAGAACCGCTTGAACCCAGGAGGCGGAGGTTGCAGTGAGTGGAGACTGCGCCATTGCACTCTAGCCTGGGCAAGAGCAAAACTCCGTCTCAAAAAAAGAAAAGAAAAGAATGGAGTTGTTTATAGTTTTTCGACTTGATTTTTATTTAATTTTTTTCAAAAACCAAACACTAGAATTTGGTGGGATTTTTTTTGTTGTTGTTCGCTTGTTTTTGAGACAAGGTCTCACTCTGTTGCCCAGGCCAGAGTACAGTGGTGTGATCATGGATCACTGCAGCCTCAACCTCCCCAGGCTCAGGTGATCCTACCACTTTAGCCTCTCACATAGCTGGAACTACAGGCATGCATCACCATGCCCAGCTAATTTTTTTGAAGAGACAAGAGTTTTGCCATGTTGCCCAGGCTGGTCTCCAACTCCTGAGCTCAAGCTATCTGCCTGCCTTGGCCTCCTAAAATGCTGGGATTACAGGCATGGGCCATCATGTC
Source organism: Homo sapiens (assembly GCF_000001405.40). Lineage (NCBI taxonomy): Eukaryota > Metazoa > Chordata > Mammalia > Primates > Hominidae > Homo > Homo sapiens. The sequence goes on along the minus strand of NC_000003.12, from coordinate 47,209,032 downwards.
TGGCCACACCAGAATTTGAATCACTTACACATACACATATGCACAATTTACCAGGGAAATCATGCAGTTATCATATACTCCTTGCTTCAAAAATAATGTATAATTTGGCCAGGCCCATCTCAGAAAACAAACAAACAAACAACAAAAAATTAAGCAGTGAGAAACAGTACATTGATGTTCTACCTTGTTTTTAATAAAATAAAAGTGATAACATAATTAGACCTATATAATTTTAATCCTGATGATAGGATTTAGTAACCGATTTATAAGATTTATTTATTTCCTATTGGTTACAATCACATTCCTTGAAATAAATGCTAACACGGCCGGGCACAGTGGCTCATGCCTGTAATCCCAGCGCTTTGGGAGGCTGAGGCGAGCAGATCACAAGGTCAGGAGTTCGAGACCAGCCCGGCCAATATGGTGAAACCCCGTCTCTACTAAAAATACAAAAATTAGTCAGGTGTGGTGGCAGGCGCCTGTAGTCCCAGCTACTCAGGAGGCTGAGGCAGGAGAATCGCTTGAACCCGGGAGGCGGAGGTTGCAGTGAGCCGAGATTGTGCCACTGCACTCCAGCCTGGGCGACAGAGCGAGACTCCGTCTCAAAAAAAAAAAAAAAAACTAACACATTTATTTGAGGTAAAAAATGAATATTTTTCTTCTAACAGAAAGTAATTCTGATTTGACTGAATGACAGAGAAGACGAGCATTACCAACTGGATTGTAGGGCTGACATTTTCCACTCTTAAATGAGGTAACATTGCAGTTCCAAAGTCAGGAATTGTTTTATATGTAAGATAGTCAGTAAAACTTTATGATTTAGAAACAAATCAGTAAAACTTTATATTAATAATTTAGAAATAAATTAGTGTTTTTTTTAGTGTTGGTAGGTTATACACTAATCAGTACATCAAGTCTGAGGAACTTGGCTGGGTGCAGTGGCTCGTGCCTATAATCCCAGCGCTTTGGGAAGCTGAGGCAGGTGGATCACCTGAGGTCAGGAGTTTGAGACCAGCCTGGCCAACATGGCGAAACCCCGTCACTACTAAAAATATACAAATTAGCCGGGCATGGTGGTGTGTGCCTGTAATCCCAGCTACCAGCAGGGCTCAGGCAGGAGGATCATTTGAATCTGGGAGTCGGAGGTTGCAGTGAGCCAAGATCTTGCCACTGCACTCCAGCCTAGGCAACAGAGTGAGACTTTGTCTCAACAACAACAACAACAACAACTACAAAAAAAAGTCTGAGGAACTTCTGATAAGATTTGAGGGGTTCACAATAAGATTTTTTTTAATTTTTGTGGGTACATAGTAGGTGTATATATTTGTGGGTTACATGAGATATTTTGATACAGGCATGCAATGCATAATCACATCAGGCTAAATGGGATATCTGTCACCTCAAGCATTTATCCTTTGTGTTACAAACAATGCAATTATTTTTTTTTATTATTTGAAAATATACAATTGAATTATTATTGACTGGCCGGGTGCAGCGGCTCATGTCTGTAATCCCAGCACTTTGGGAGGCCAAGGCAGGTTGGATCACTTGAGGTCAGGAGTTCGAGACCAGCCTGACCAACATGGTGAAACCCCATCTCTACTAAAAATACAAAAAATTAGCCAGGTGTGGTGACAGGCACCTGTAATCCCAGCTACTCAGGAAGCTGAGGCAGGAGAATCATTTGAACCCAGGAGGTGGAGGTTTCAGTGAGCTGGGATTGTGCCACTGCATTCCAGCCGGAGTGACAGAGTGAGACTACATCTCCAAAAAATTATGTATATATTATTGAGTATAGTCACTTCAGGAATGGTTAATGGGTACAAAAAAATAGTCTCGGGAATGGTTAATGGGTACAAAAAAAATAGTTAGAAAGAATAATACCTAGTATTTGCTAGTACAACAGGGTACTTTCCAGCCTCTGGTAACCATCCATCTACTGTCTGTCTCCATGAGTTCAATTATTTTAATTTTTAGCTCCCAAAAATAAGTGAGAACATGCAAAGTTTGTCTTTCAGTGCCTGGCTTATTTCACTTAACATAATGACCGCCAGTTCCATCCATATTGTTGCAAATGACAAGATCTCATTCTTATAAGGATTTTTATACAAGGACAGGATGTAAGACATGAATCACAAGACCTTCCCCAGACAGCTAATTTGAAAATCTGTCAAATGTGACCTGTAGGTTATCATTTTCCCCATTCAATCAAAAATCTTCTCGTGGAAGCATTGATGAGCAATCTCTGCTAAGGTTAGGGTGTTTTTTTTTTTTTTTGATACAGAGTCTCACTCACGATCTCAGCTCACTGCAACCTCCGCCTCCTGGGTTCAAGAGAGTCTCATACTTCAGCCTCCCAAATAGCTGGCTACAGGCATGTACCACCACACCCAGCTAATTTTTTGTAGTTTTAGTAGAGAGCAGGTTTCACCATGTTGGCCAGGCTAGTAGTCCTGCCCTCAAATGATCCTCCCACCTCGGCCTCTCAAACTGCTGGAATTACAGGCGTGAACCACAGTGCCTGGCAGTAGATTTTTTTTTTTTTTTAATATTTCAGCATTGGGAATGCTCATTTCCAGGAAGTCATGTCTTTTGATTTGGAGAAAGAACCTTGTTATTGCAGGCCGGATGTTATGGCTCATGACTGTAATCCCAGCATGTTAGGAGGCCGAGGTGGGAGGACTGCTTGAGCCCAGGAGTTCAAGACTAGCCTGGGCAATATAGTGAGACCCTGTCTCTACAAAAATAGAAAAACATTGGCTGGATGTGGTGGTGTGCACCTGTAGTCCCAGCTACTCAGGAGGCTGAGGTGATAGGATCCTTTGAGCCTGGGCAGTCGAGGCTGCAGTGAACTGAGATCGCACTACTGTACTCCAGCCTGGGCAACAGAGCAAGACCCTGTAGCAAAACAAACAAACAAAAAGAACCACCTCGTTATTTCAGGCAGGCCAGGTTGTTAGTAAAAAGGGGCCCAGGGGTCCATCATGACAGGAGGCTATATGTTATTTTTTGAATAATAAATTATCTCTAGTCTCTGGGGGACTATGATTTTGGCCTTCCTTAGCCATTGATTGTTTATGAATTTTGCAGAACTTAGGTTGAAAGAAAGGTAAATGTTTTAATTTTCTTTGTTTTGTTTGTTTGTTTGTTTTTTGAGACAGGGTCTCACTCTGTAGCTCAGGCTGGAGGTCAGTGGCACAATCACAGCTCATTGCAGCCTTGACCTCCCTGGGCTCAGTGATCCTCCCACCTTGGCCTCCCAAGTAGCTGGGACTACAGGCACACTCCAGCACGCACAGCTAATTTTTGTATTTTTTGTAGAGACATGGGTTTACTACGTTGCCCAGGCTAGTCTTAAACTCCTGGTCTCAAGCGATCCACTTACCTTGGCCTCTCAAAGTGCTGGGATTATAGGCATAAGCCACCATGCCTGGCCAATGCTTTAATTTTGTTTATAAAAGTATATGTTAGCCTGGACAACATGGTAAAACCCTGTCTCCACAAAAAAATACAGAAATTTGCTGGGCGTGGTGGTTTTCACCTGTGGTTCCAGCTACTTGGGAGGCTGAGATGGAAGGATCACTTGAGCCAAGAAGGTCGAGGCTGCAGTGAGCCGTGATTACACCACTGCATTCCAGACACTGTCCCAAAAAAAAAAAAAAAAAAAAAGAACCAGTAATGTTTTTAAAAAAAGTCAAAAAGTCATAAAAATCATCTTAGCATTTTATCAGTTTAGTCTCATGTAATTTTGTTTTGTTTGGTGTTGGGTTAGCAATCTTTATGAATGTATTAGATTTCATTAGAGTTTTTGAAATTTTTCTTTAGTCTATTAATCTTAAAGTTATTAGAAACCTGTGTTTAGGAGTACTTGTTAGAGTCTTTTATGAAAAGCAATTTTGGATTATAGCTGATTGTAAATGTTTTTAGAGAAGAATTTAAAATAATGGCTGTGCCTGGGCAACATAGTGAGACCCTGTCTCAAAAAATAACAACAATAATAATAATGGCTGTGGATGACAAAAACTTAGAATAGCCATGGTCAGAGTCTGATGAAAGTTTTTAATTGACAATTGCTACATTTTTATTATATGTAGCATTTTAACATAAAAATTAGAATTATGACTGACAATATCACATCAGGACTATTAGACCTTTATAAATGTTATATGACCTTTAGAATAGTTATATTAATGATATATCTATGTAACTTTAGAAAATATTTAACATAATTAAAATTATGACTGATAACATTAGATTTTTATGAATTTATATAATTTTAAGAACATTTATATTAATAACATACCCATTAGATGTAACTAAAAGAGGATTTAGTATTATTTATCAAAACAAGTTGAATTGTTTAAAAGACTTAATTTAGGATTTTGATCTTGGAGAAATTTGTAAAAGATGTCAAAAGGCTTAAAACACTTGATCAAGATAGAACTATATGGCTGGGCCTGGTGGCTCACACCTGTAATTCCAGTACTTCAGGAGTCCAAAGCATGAGGATTGCTGAGCCCAGGAGTTCGAGACCAGCCTGGGCAACATAGGGAGATCCCCATCTCTTAAAAAATTAAACAAAAATTACCCAGGCATGGTGGCATGCACCTGTGGTCCCAGCTACTTGGAAGGCTTAAGTGGGAAAATTACTTGAGCCCAGGAGCTTGAGGCTGCAGTAAGCTGTGATCATGTTACTGCATTGCTGCCTGAGCAACAAGCCAGACCCTGTCTCAAAAATAAAATAAAAACAACAACAAAACCCACAAAAAACCTACACAGATAATACAGAAATTATTATTATTGTTATTATTATTATTATTTTGAAATGGAGTCTCTCTCTCTCTCTCTGTTGCCCAGGCTGGAGTGCAGTGGCATGATCTCAGCTCACTGCAACCTTTGCCTCCTGGGGCTCAAGGGATCCTCCCACCTCAGCCTCCTGAGTAGCTGGGACTACAGGCACACACCACCATGCTTGGCTAATTTTTGTATTCTTTGTAGAGACAGGGTCTCCCTATGCTGCCCAGGCTGGTCTCCAATTCCCAGACTCAAGGGATCCTCCTGCTTCAGTCTCCCAAAGTTCTGGGATTACAGACGTGAGCCACAGTGCCCAGCCTAGAAGTTATTTTTGTTGTTTTTGTTTGTTTGTTTTTTGAGACGGAGTCTCACTCTGTCATCCAGGCTGGAGTACAGTGGCACGATCTCGGCTCACCACAATCTCCGTCTCCTGGGTTCAAGTGATTTGCCTGCCTCAGCCTCCCGAGTAACTGGAATTACAGGTGCACTCCACGACACTTGGTAATTTTTTATATTTTTGGTAGAGACGGGGTTTCACCATGTTGACCAGGCTGGTCTCAAACTCCTGACCTCAAGTGATCCGCCCACCTCGGCCTCCCAAAGTGCTGCGATTACAGGTGTGAGCCACCCCACCAGCCTAGAAGTTATTTTGATAAAATGCAGAATATTTGGTTTTGAGGCCAGTTACCAAAATGGTAAAGAAAAACCTCTTGTAGTGCAATTGTATGGGAATTGCCCTACTAAATGGGAAGCCCATTTAGATAACCTGGAAGTCAAACTTAACATTAAAAAAAAAAAAAAAAAAAAAAAGAGGGTGGGCCTGGCGTAGTGGCTTACGCCTGTAATCCCAGCTGTTAGGGAGGCCGAGGCTGGCAGATCACCTGAGGTCAGGAGTTTGAGACCAGCCTGGCCAACAGGGTGAAACCCATCTCTACTAAAAATACAAAAATTAGTCGGGCGTGGTGGTGGGTGCCTGTGATCCCAGCTACTCCGGAGGCTAAGGCAGGAGAATTGCTTGATCCCAGGAGGCAGAGGTTGCAGTGAGCCGAGATGGCACCATTGCACTCCAGCCTGGGCAACAAGAGCGAGACTTTGTCAAAAAAAAAAAAAAAAAAAAAAAAGAGGGTGCTCACATTAATCAGACCCAGGATGAGTGTGTCTAGGGTTATAAATGTATATTAAATCATAAAGGAATGTAAATAAGAAAACTAGTATCTTGAGCAGTGGGATATATGGCTCTTAGTAACAGCATGGGAAGTTTTTTGGTTATGTGGAACAATTTAGATATATCAAGAAAAGCCTAGAACACAGAATCAAGTTATACTGGAGGAAAACATTGCCTATTTAGACCTTCAAGACAAATGTTTTAGTATTAGCCATCACAGTAGGGGTAGAAAAAGTTACACAAAAAGTTCACAAAAAGGTTGAAGGAGAGAGTTAACTCAGCTAAGCAAAAAGATATACCTTTTTATGGAAAAAAGGAACAGAAGACAATGATGTATGTAACCTGTCAATCATATGTAGTGAGGCATAGAAAAAGCTGAATTTTTTAGATATAAATCTGGTAAGTTTTAAACAGAAACAGATTTTTTTTTTCTTTTGAGACAGGGTCTCACTCCGTCATCCAGGTTACGTGTTGAAATCACTGCTTACTGCAGCCTTCACCTCACTGCAGCCTCGACCTCCTGGGGCTCAAGCAATCCTCCCATCTCAGCCTCCCAAGTACCTGAGACCACAGGTGTGTGCCACCACGCCTAGCTATTTTTTCTTTTGCTTTTCTTTTTTTTTGGGAAACAACAACAACAACAACAAAAGCCACCATGTTACCCAGGCTAGTCTTGAACTCCTGAGCTCAAGCAATCCTCCTGCCTCAGCCTCTCAAAGTGCTTAGGTTATAGACGTGAACCACCGCGCCTGGCATCATTTTGTTTCTTATTGTCAGTTTAGAAAAATTTGTTGGATCTGAATATCAGCAGTTTTGTGTTTTGTAGTTGTTCTGTTTGTTCTTTTTGTTCCAAATTTAATTAATATTTTAACCTATTGAGAGAAAGAAATATGCACATTGTGAAATTCTAAAACTCTCTGCCTAAGAGATGTATGGGAGCCAAGGGAACCAGTAGAAAGGGATGCGTTCATATCACAGGGATCGAAGGAGGAGGAGCAGTTGGAGGCAAAAGGGAGAAAACCTCCAAAGTCTTTTTCAATTTAGAAATAGTTTTCTTTATTTTTCTTTTTTGTTTGCCTCAGTTTCATCATCTGTAAGAAATAATTTTAAATATATTTACCTTTTGAATGGGGCAAATTTTTTTTTAGAATGTATCTTAAAAGCTTTTAGGTGTTATTGGAATTAAGTCTCCCATTCTATTTGGTTCTATAACCAGCTTTTCTAATTATGCGTGCAAATAAATTATTTTAGGCACATTCAAAAGATCCCCATTTTGGCCATTGCTGTTTTATAACCAATCTGGGTTAGGTAAGTAGAAGGACCCATAAACATTATTCATAAAACCTAGCTGGCGCATCTTCAGTTTTAGAGGACCCCTTTTCCATCCTGGTTGTTTTGAATGAAACAAGCTATGTAGTGGAGCAAGAGCACGCTCATGCAATTGAAAAAGGAGGAAGCTAAGGAAAAGTTGTCTCACACCAAAACCCCAGTGAGACAATTTACAGAGGTCCCATTTTATCCTAGCCTAGAATTCAACAGAAACTCTTGCCTTGAATTCACAGCAGTAACTCTGATTCTGAGAGAGTCATTGTACCTCCTAGCCAAGGAGGAAACTAGCTTCAATAAACCAGGACCTCAACTAATTAGCCAGGCATGGTGGTATGCACCTGTGGTCCCCAGCTACACAGGAGACTAAGGAAGAAGGATCTCTGGAGCCTAGGAGGCAGAGGTTGCAGTGAGCTGAGATCACACCATTGCACTCCAGCCTGGACAGCATAGTGAAACCCTGTCTGAAAACAAAACAAAACAAACAGAACTTTGACGAAGACACGAAGTTCATTGAATTTTTTTTTTTTTTTTTTTGGAAACAGGATCTTGCCCTGTTGCTCAGACTGGAATACAGTGGCTCCATCACAGCTCATGGCAGCCTTGACCTTCCGGCCTCAAGAGATCCTCCCAAGTAGCTGGGACTAGAGGCCCATGCCACTAAACTCAGCTTTTTTTTTTTTTTTAGACGGAGTCTCGCTCTGTCCCCAGGCTGGAGTGCAGTGGTGCGGTCTTGGCTCACTGCAACCTCCGCCTCCTGGGTTCAAGCAATTCTCCTGCTTCAGCCTCCCGAGTAGCTGGGATTACAGGCACGCACCACCATGCCCCGCTAATTTTTGTATTTTTAGTAGAGATGGGGTTTCGCCATGTTGGCCAGGCTGGTCTTGAACTCCTGACCTCATGATCCGCCCGCCTCAGCCTCCCAAAGTGTTGGGATTACAGACGTGAGCCACTGTGCCTGGCCCCACTCAGCTAATTTTTGTACGTTTTGTAGAGACGGAGTTTCACTATGTTGCCCAGGCTGGTCTTGAACTGCTGGGGTCAAGTGAGCTGACTGCCTCAGCCTCCCAAAGTGCTGGAATTACAAGCATGAGCCACTGTGCCCAGCCTGATTTTGGTAGAAACTCACCTGTAGCCCAGCAGGGCATCCAAGTTCGGGAACACAGTGGATTTGTTGCCCGTACATGCACAAAGGCTGGAAGCTGCTTTTGGTCTAGGGAGGTCACTCTGAAATCCTGCCACCTATGTCATTTTGCCAACCAAAATTAAGGTTGCTGAGGCAGAAATAATTTGATAAAGGTTATTGGAAGCCAAATGTGAGGATAAACCTAGGAAGATAAATAAACAAAGTTGGACGTGTTCTAAACTGTTATAAATTGGAATGGGTTTTTTTGTTTTATTTTGAAACAGTCTCTATCGCTGAGGCTGGAGTGCAGTGGTGCGATCTTGGCTCACTGCAACCTCCACCTCCTGGATTCAAGTGATTCTCCTGCCTCAGCCTCCTGAGTAGCTGGGATTATAGGCTCCCACCACCACGCCAGGCTAATTGTTTTGTATTCTTAGTAGAGACGGGGTTTCACCATGTTGGCCAGGCTAGTCTCAAACTCCTGACCTCAAGTGATCCACCTGCCTTGGCCTCCCAAAGTGCTAGGATTACAGAGGTGAGCCACCACGCCTGGCCTGGAATTTTTTTTTTTTTTTTTTTTTGAGAAGGAATTTCCCTCTGTCGCTCAGGCTGGAGTGCAGTGCAGTGGCGCCATCTCGGCTCACTGCAAGCTCCACCTCCCGGGTTCACGCCATTCTCTTGCCTCAGCCTCCCGAGTAGCTAGGACTACAGGCGCAAGCCAGACACTACGCCTGGCTAATTTTTTTTGTATTTTCAGTAGAGACGGGGTTTCGCTGTGTTAGCCAGGATGGTCTTGATATCCTGACCTCGTGATCCGCCCGCCTAGGCCTCCCAAAGTGCCTGGCCTGGAATGTTTTTATAAGAAATTTTAGGAGAAGCGATGGGGACTCCATATCAGAGCCCCCTCTCTCTCTCTTTTTTTTTTTTGAGACGGAGTTTCGCTCTTGTCACTCAGGCTGGAGTGCAATGGCACTATCTCGGCTCACTGCAGCCTCTGCCTCCCGGGTTCAAGTGATTGTCCTCCCTCAGCCTCCCGAGTAGTTGAGATTACAAGCATGCACCACCACGCCCAGCTAATTTTTTTTTTTTTTTTTTAAGAGGGAGTCTTTCTGTGTGCCTAGGCTGGAGTGCAGTGGCGCCATCTCGGCTCACTGCAAGCTCCGCCTCCCCGGTTCACGCTATCTCCTGCCTCAGCCTCCCGAATGGCTGGGACTACAGGCGCCCGCCACCACGCCCGGCTAATTTTTTTGTATTTTTAGTAGAGATGAAGTTTCACTGTATTAGCCAGGATGGTGTCAATCTCCTGACCTTGTGATTCGCCCGCCTCGGCCTCCCAAAGTTCTGGGATTACAGGCACTGTAAAATTGCCCAGCAATTTTTTTATATTATTAGTAGACACGGGGTTTCACCGTGTTGGCCGGGCTAGTCTCGAACTCCTGACCTCAGGTGATCCACCTGCCTTGGCCTCCCAAAGTGCTGGGATTATAGGCGTGAGCCAACGCGCCCAGCATTTTTTTTTTTTTTTTAGAGACAGGGTCTTGCTCTGTCACCCAGGCTTGAGTGCAGTGGAAAATCATAGCTTGCTCTAACCTCACGGTTCTGGGATCAAGCGATCCACCTGCCTCAGCCTCCCAAGTAGTGGGAGTACCGGTGTATGCCACCACGCCTGGCTAATTTTTTTTTTTTTCGAGATGGAGTTTCACTCTTGTTACCCAGGCTGGAGTGCAATGGCGCTATCTCAGCTCACCGCAACCTTCGCCTCCCAGGTTCAAGCAATTCTCCTGCCTCAGCCTGCCGAGTAGCTGGAATTACAGGCATGCACCACCACGCCCAGCTAATTTTGTATTTTTAGTAGAGACGGGGTTCTTCCATGTTGAGGCTCGTCTCGAACTCCTGACCTCAGATGATCCGCCTGCTTCAGCCTCCCAAAGTGCTGGGATTACAGGCGTGAGCCACTGCGCCCGGCCAGGCTAATTATTTTTGTACAGACAGGGCCTCACTATGTTGCCTAGGCACAGCATTATTTTTAATTCTTCTCTAAAAATTCTACGCTTATCCCAAAGCCTTGGGATTACAGGCGTGAACCACCACACCAGGCAGAGTTATCTTTGTCTTTTTCCACTAGAGGGTATAATATAGAGGGTCAATCATTGGCTACAGATTACAACATATAGGCTAAAATGTTTTACATATAAGATAATCAGTAAAACTTCATGATTTAGAAAGAAATTAGTGTCTTTTTCAGTCTCAGTAGATACATATTAATTAGTATGTCAACAGTTTGAGGAACTCACATTAAGGCTGAGGAACTCAGGTTAAGAGAGAAGGTTCTTGGCCAGGCGTGGTGGCTCAAGCCTTTAATCCGAGCACTTTGGGAGGCTGAGGTGGGCAGATCACCTGAGGTCAGGAGTTCAAGACCAGCCTGACCAACATGGAGAAACCCCATCTCTACTAAAAATACAAAAAATTAGCTGGACGTGGTGGCACATGCCTGTAATCCCAGCTACTTGGGAGGCTGAGGCAGGAGAATTGCTTGAACCCGGGAGGCGGAGGTTGTGGTGAGCTGAGATGACGCCATTGTACTCCAGCCTGGGCAACAAGAGCAAAACTCTGCCTCAAAAAAAAAAAAAAAGGTAATTTTTTCTTTTTTTTTTTTTTTGAAATGGAGTCTCAGTCTGTCGCCCAGGCTGGAGTGCAGTGGCGCGATCTCAGCTCACCGCAAGATCAGGCGTGAGCCACCGTGCCCTGCCTGTTTTGTTTTGTCTTTTTGAGACGGGGTCTCGCTCTGTTATGCCCCAGGCTGGAGGAGTGCAGTGGCTCACTGCAGCCTTGAACTCCCCCGGCTCAAGCAATCCTCCCACTTCAGCCTACCAAGTAGCTGGGACTACAGATGGCACCACCACAACCACAAAATTTTTGAATTTTGTGTAGAGATGGGGTTTCACCGTGTTGCCCAGGCTGGTCTTAAACTCCTGGGCTTAAGTGATCTGCCTGCCTCAGCCTCTCAGAGTGCTGGGATTACAGGCATGCCAAGATTTTTTATTAAGGGACAGAATGTAAGCCAAGAATCCTAAGACCTTTTCTAGGCAGGTTAATTTGGAAGCCTGCCAAATGTGACCTGTAGATTATCAGTAGTTTTGTTTGTTTGTTTTTGTTTTTTTAGAGACAGGGCCTTGCTCTATCACCCAGGCTGGAATACAGTGGCACGACTGATCATAGCTCCCTGCAGTCTTGATCTCCTGGGCTCAGCGATCCTACTGTCACAGCCTCCTGAATAGCTAGGATTACAGCCACTTGCCATCACACTTGGCTAATTTATCTTTTTATTTTTGTAGAGGTGAGGTCTCACTAGGTTACCCAGACTGGAGTAATAAATTTTGAAATCAGGAATGTGAGTGCTGGTCAGTTGATTTTTGATTAAGGTGCTAAATCGGCTGGGTGCAGTGGCTCATGCCTGTAATCCCAGCACTTTGGGAGGCTGAGGTGGGCGGATCACTTGAGGTCAGGGGTTCAAGACCAGCCTGGCCAACATGGTGAAACCCCATCTCTACTAAAAATACAATAATTAGCCGGGCATGGTGGCGGGTGCCTGTAATCCCAGCTACTCGGGAGGCTGAGGCGAAGAATTGCTTGAACCCAGGAGGCGGAGGTTGCAGTGAGCCGAGATCGCACCACTACACTCTAGCCTGGGCGACAAGGTGACACTCTGTCTCAAATGAACAAACAAACAAAACAAAACAAAACCACTTCTATAAGAAAACATGGGAGAAAATATCTTGTGACTTTGAGTTGGGCAAAGAGTTCTTAGATACGACATCAAAAACATCATCCGCTGGGCGCGGTGGCTCATGCCTGTAATCCTAGCACTTCAGGAGGCTGAAGCAGCAGATTGCCTGAGCTCAGGAGTTCGAGACCAGCTTGGGCAACATAGTGAGATTTTTGCATTTTTAGTAGAGACTGGGTTTCACCATGTTGGCCAAGTTGGTCTCAAACTCCTTACCTCATGATCCACCTGCCTCAGCCTCCCAAAGTGCTGGGATTGGCGAGGGGGGCCAACGCGCCTGGCCAAAAAATGATTTTAAAATTAGCTAGGTGGCCGGGCGCGATGTCTCACGCCTGTAATCCCAGCACTTTGGGACGCCAAGGCGGGCGGATCACAAGGTCAAGAGATCGAAACCATCCTGGCCAAAATGGTGAAACCCTGTCTCTACTAAAAAAACAAAAAATTAGCTGGGCGTGGTAGTGCGCGCCTGTAGTCCCAACTACTCGGGAGGCTGAGGCAGGAGAATCGCTTGAACCCGGGAGGCAGAGGTTGCAGTGAGCCGAGATCGCACCATTGCACTCCAGCCTGGGCAAGAGAGCCAGACTCGGTTTCAAAAAAAAAAAGTCAAACTCATGGTAAGAAAAAAAAAATTAACATATGGTCCAGTAATTCCTCTCCCAGGTATATATACAAATAATCAAAAGTACGGATTCTAACAGATATTTGTACACCCATGTTCATAGCAGCATTATTCACAATAGCCAAACTTTTTTTTCACAGAATATAATTTATTTTCATGTTTATACAAGAATTATTTTGCATTAATATCAGTTATCTACAACTTACAGAGTTGTAAAGTAGCTCAAAGGCAATGATAGAGTGATAGAGTTATATTTAGATTACCTGTAAGAGTGTGCACTAAAAATGCATAGCTTTTTATTAGAGACACCAAGTCCTCTTTTCTGCCTATTCCAAAGTTCCTTACATTGTCACATTCTGGTTGATAGGTTACCTCCATCTCTGATTACTTACTGTATATTTGTGAATCTTTTCGCCACAAGCTACAGATTGAGCATCTCTATCTTGTACTATTTTTGTCTCCCCATTTTTCCAAATATAGTATTAGAAGAAAAACTGGTGCTTCTTAACTATAATACTTAGTGTAATTAACTTTAAGAACTCAAATATGCAACAACAGATAAATAGGTAAACAAAATGTAATATATACATACAATGGAGTACTTGTTCAGCCTTAAAAAGTAACGAAATTCTGATACATGCTACTAAATGGACGAAACTTGAAAACATTATGCTAAGTGAAATAAGCCAGACAAAAAGAACAAATACTGTATGAGTAGTCAGACAGAAGTAGAATGGTGTTTGCCAAGGGTAGAGAAAGGAGGGAATGAGGAGTTATCATGTAATGAATACAAAGTTCTTGTTTGGGATGAGGAAAATGTTCTGGAAATGGATAGTGGTTATGGCTGCATAGCAATGTGAATGTACTTAATACTACTAAATTGTATACTTTATGGCAAAAAGAGAACATCAGAAATGTACGAAAAGGAGGATACTGCACGTGTAACTAAGCTCACTCAGCAGTTAAATGCCTGTAGTCCACAAGCCTTACATCAGATGTGATTCAACCTCCTATTGTGCCTAAATTAGAAATGATTTCTTGGCTGGGCTTGGTGGCTCATGCCTGTAATCCAACCAATTTGGGAGGCCAAAGCAGGTGGATGACTTGAGGTCAAGAGTTTGAGACCAGCTGGGCCAACATGGTGAAACCCTGTCTCTACTTAAAATACAAAAATTAGGTGGGCATAGTGGTGAACACCTGTAATCCCAGCTACTAGGGAGGCTGAGGCAGAAGAATTGCTTGAATCCGGGAGGCGGAGGTTGCAGTGAGCAGAGATCGTGCCACTGCACTCCAGCCTGGGCAACAGAGCAAGACTCCATCTCAAAAAAAAAAAAAAAAAAAGAAAGGAAAAGAAAAGAAAAAAGCTGTTGGCTGATGTGTTTGAAGGAGAAAAGGGAGAAGCTGATTATATTTTATTTAATTCCTTGATATTATCTGATAGCATTCAATAGTGGAAAGAACATAGCTGTGGAATAAAAAAGCCCTGGATTCAGGCCAGGCATGGTGGCTCACACTAGCATTTTGGGAGGCTGAGTCAAGAGGACTGTTGAGGCCAGGAGTTTGCGACCACTCTGGCCAACATAGCAAGACCCCACCTCTATTATTTTTAAAAAAGCCCCAGATTCAAGCAGTTTTAACACAGAGAGACTGAATATGCAAATGGACAATAGCAAGACCGTATATAAAAATAGGACTCTGATACATAATCTGCAGCCACCAGCCCAAGAAACCAACCCATTATCTACAGTAACTAGCCTACTATCTATAAGTCAGACTTGAAGGAAATCAGACCCCTATCTTTAGCAACCAGTCCAGGAAGCCAAACAACAACCCTGTAACAATCAGCCCCAAACAGCCAGGACTTGAATAATAACAGATAGCTTACGTAATTTTTGTCCTTGCTTCCAATTTAGGACCAATGAAAGAAAGCCAAATATCCATATAGGATGTCCCACTTCTGATTAGACCACTCATGGGTTCTAATTGAGTCACACCTGAAGTCTTCCCTTTTTTCCACCATAAAGCTTTCCCACTCCTTTGCCTGACTTTGAGTCTCTGCCAAAACATGTGATGATGTCTGACTCCTTTGCTATAGCAAGCTCTGATGAAATCGCTTTTGCCTGTTCTTATTTGGTTGGTCTTCATTTATTTCCACACCACATATAAGCTACATGACTCTATATTGGGAAAAATGCCTCCTCTACCTCATAGGGCCTAGCAAAATGCTAAGAACAGTTAAGCTCCACATCCCATTCTCTGACATCATCACAAGCCAGCCTGTAAGGCCACTTAACTACACAACACAAGAAACCAAGATCTATGAGGTTGTGTTCCTCTCAGGGTATCTTAATTACTGAAACCCAAAAGGTTTAATTTACCCTAGCACAGTTTTTAAGTGTTGTAATGACAGTAACACAGGCTAACAGCCAGAGTTAATTGTCTATCACCCTTCTTTGGTGGTTCAGTATTTAAGGTTTCGTGATTTTTTTTTGCATCAAAAATTCAGTCAAAGCTGAATTTAATAATTTTAAGTCTCAATCTGAGATTGCAAATTTCTCGGCGATTGTACAAAATGTCCCCTTGGGCCAGTTTTAAATTAGGCCCATGCAACAAAAATGCACATTTCAGGCCGGGCGCGGTGGCTCACACCTGTAATCCCAGCACTTTGGGAGGCTGAGGCGGGCGGATCACGAGGCCAGGAGATCGAAACCATCCTGGCTAACACAGTGAAACCCTGTCTCTACTAAAAATACAAAAAATTAGCCGGGCGTGGTGGCGGGTGCCTGTAGTCCTAGCTACTTGGGAGGCTGAGGCAGGAGAATGGTGTGAACCCGGGAAGCGGAGCTTGCAGTGAGCCAAGATAGCGCCACTGCACTCCAGCCTGGGCAACAGAGTGAGACTCCGTTTCAAAAAAAAAAAATGCACATTTCATTTGAAAGCTTTTGTGCAGGTGTGCCCAAGCAGTCAAATCCAATTAAACAGGGCCAAATGCCTTAATAGTTGAAGACTTTCTTTTTCATCAGGATGTCTCTAGAGAGATTCCAAGTAAATAAAATAGTGAAATCCCAAGACACCTTTTGTTTACACAAGCTAAGAAAGATAGGTATTAAGTAATTTGGAAGAATGATCAAGGGTGATTGGATTCATTACAGCACTGATTCTATGGGGGAGGTGCCAACCATATTGCCCTTGAGGAAAAGTAGTACCTTGACTTCAGCAAAGAGCCACAGGGTTCTTGGTTGAGGGGAGAACAGGGGGGGCAATGATTCTGAGGTGTAAGTGTGTGAAATGCATGGGGGGAAAGTATAGAAGGCATTGGGACATATAAAGGCATACTGATGAGTGGTGAGGGGCAGAGGGTTCAAATGCTTGGCTGAAGAAATATAAAGGTGTTAAGAAAAATTATTTCAGCCAGGGCATGGTGGCTCACGCCTGTAATCCCAGCACTTTGGGAGGCCGAGGCGGGTGGATCACCTGAGGTAGGGAGTTCAAGACCAGCCTGACCAACATGGAGAACGCCCATCTCTACTAAAAATACAAAATAGCCGGGCGTGGTGGCGCATGCCTGTAATCCCAACTACTCAGGAGGCTGAGGCAGGAGAATCACTTGAACCCAGGAGGTGGAGGTTGTAGTGAGCCGAGAGTGTGTCATTGCACTTCAGCCTGGGCAACGAGAGTGAAACTCCGTCTCAAAGAAAAAAAAAAAGAAAAATTATTTCAAACGTGGGAACAAGATAAAAGGTAGGTGGCATGTACTTTCAATGTCATACTGGAGATTGAGAGACATGATAGTCTCATCCAAGAATAATTTAGTTATCCAGGCTAAGGGAATGTGCTTTTGTTTGTTTTACTTGTTTTTTTTTTCTTTGAGACAGTCTTGCTCTGTCACCCATGTTGGAGTGCAGTGGTGCCATCTCGGCTCACTGCAACCTCCACCTCCCAGATTCAAGCAATTATCATGCCTCAGCCTCTCAAGAAGCTGGGATTACAGGCATGCGCCACCACACCTGGCTAATTTTTGTATTGTTAGCAGAGACGGGCTTTCACCATGTTGGCCAGGCTGGTCTTGAACTCCTGACCTCAGGTGATCTACCTGCCTTGGCCTCCCAAAATGTTGGGATTACAGGCATGAGCCACTGCACCCCACCTGACTTTGCTATTTATTATCCATTAACTTAGACTCTGAAGTTGTATGCTACATGTTATCCAATAGAAAAGATAGCCCTAAAGGTTAACAGTTTACTGCCCTATGTATTTAAACATAAACTGATTTAGACATAAACCAGTTTTATATCTAATCTAGTACTTTAACACCTCTTCCCTGCTAATAACATTACTTCTTCTTCTTCTTCTTTTATTTTTTAAGAGATAGAGTCTGGCTCTGTTGCCTAAGCTGAAGTGCAGTGGTGCCATCTTGGCTCCCTGCGGCCTTTACCTCCTGGGCTCAAGCAATCCTCCCACCTCAGACTCCTGAGTAGCTGGGACTACAGTCACCCACCACCATGCCCAGATAATTTTTTGTATTTTTTGTAGAGATGGGGTTTTGCCATGTTACCCAGGCTAGTCTCAAACTGAACTCAAGTGATCCTCTCGCCTCAGCCTCCCAAAGTCCTAGGATTACAGGTGTGAACCATCACATCTGGCCATTCCTTCTTAAATATCTGTGAATACTTAGTTCTTCAACATGCTCTTTGAACCAGCTTTACTTACCATCTTATCGGTTCCCTTATAATAAGTTAATAAATACTTGACACATGTTCATACTATATTTGTATGAGTCATGTTTTCAACTTTTTGAAAATTATACCTTGACAGGGTTCAAACTGTGATGATCCAAACTAACCAAGGTTAAGGGTACTTTGTGAAAAAAAGCAGTCCTCACTCCACCAAGGAGCCCAACTCTAAATTGTCATTGGATTCCTCCTCTTTCTTCATGGATTTGTAAAGGACTAAATTTTAAGAACCTGGGAAAATGTATTCCAGGCTGGGCACGGTGGCTCACACCTGTAATCCCAGCACTTTGGGAGGCCGAGATGGGTGGATCACTTGAGGTCAGGAGTTTGAGACCAGCCTGGCCAACATGGTGAAACCCTGTCTCTACTAAAAATACAAAAATTAGCCAGGCGTGGTGGTGCATGCCTGTAGTCCCAGCTACCTGGGAGGCTGAGGCAGAAGAATGGCTTGAGTCCTGGAGGTGGAGGTTGCAGTGAGCTGAGATCGCACCATTGGACTCCAGCCTGGGCGACAGAGTGAGACTCCATCTCAAAAAAAAAAAAAAAAAGAAAGAAAAGAAAATGTATTCCAAGGGAGAGAGGAGCTCTTTCCCAAGGACCACTGTGATATTACACCATAATACAAACCTCAGGCCAGGCGTGGTGGCTCATGCCTATAATACCAGCACTTTGGGAGGCCGAGGCGGGAGATCACTTGAAGTCAGCAGTTCGAGACTAGCCTGGCCAACATGGCAAAACCCTGTCTCTACTAACAATACAAAACTTAGCAGGGTGTGGTGGCAGGCACCTGTAATCCCAGCTATTCGGGAGGCTGAGGCAGGAGAATTGCTTGAACCTGGGAGCCAGAGGTTGCAGTGAGTCGAGATTGTGCCACTGCACTCCAGCCTGGGTGACAGAGCGAGATTCCATCCCCCCCACCAAAAAAAATCCCAAAAAACAAACTCCAGGTTTGTACTCACAGACATGGCAGGTAAGTGAGGCATCCTCACATGAGCATGTGTTTAGGAATGATTTCAGGCAGTCTTTCATCTTAGACCCTGCTTTGGTTAACTGCTGTTCCATTATTATAAGTCCACGTTAAGATATTCAGATGCTTGCCGGGCACGGTGGCTCGCGCCTGTAATCCCAGTACTTTGGGAGGCCAAGGCGGGCGGATCACTTGAGGTCAGGAGTTCAAGACCAGCCTGACCAACATGGAGAAACCCCGTCTCTACTAAAAATACAAAAAATTGGCCGAGGGTGGTGGCGCATGCCTGTAATCCCAGCTACTCGGGAGACTGAGGCAGGAGAATTGCTTGAACCTGGGAGGTGGAGGTTGCAGTGAGCCGAGATCACGCCTTTGTATTCCAGCCTGGGCAACGGGAATAAAACGACGTCTCAAAAAAAAAAAAAAAAAAAAAAAAAAAAAAAATATATATATATATATATATATATATATATTCAGATGCTTATAATCTAGCGCATAGAGCTGATTGGCTACTGCTTGGGTTCTCTGTAGTACAGGAAGGAACACCCCTCTTGTCTTCTAGTATGGTCCGCAAAGTTACTAACAAACTCACCAATGGAGCTAGTAATGTTCACTGCCTGAAAAGACCCTTTCCTGCCTCCTTCTTTAAATTTTTTTTTAAAATTTCTGCCTCCTTTTTTGTCAAATAACTGTTCATCATTTAGTGCTCAGCTTATATATCACCACCTTTCTCAACTCTCCCAGGCAGAGAGGTACTTCGTTTTCCTTTAGCACTCTGTTGCCATCTTTACAGTACTTTACAGCATTTTTAATACAGTAGTGCTCCTTATTTGTTCATTTTATTTATTTATTTATTTTTAGATGGAGTCTCACTCTGTTGCCCAGGCTGGAGTGCAGTGGCACAGTCTCAGCTCACTGCAACCTCCGCCTCCTGGGTTCAAGCGATTCTCCTGCCTCAGCCTCCCGAGTAGCTGGGATTATAGGTGCCTGCCACCATGCCTGGCTTTTTGTATTTTTAGTAGATACGTGGTTTCACCATCTTGGTCAGGCTGGTCTTGAACTCCTGACCTTGTGATCCACCCGCCTTGGCCTCCCAAAGTGCTGGGATTATAGGCGTGAGCCACCATGCCCGGCCTTATTTTATTTTTTTACAGATAGGATCTGGCTCCATTGCCCAGGCTGGAGTGCATTGGTGTCTTGCTGTGTCACCCAGGCTGGTTTCAAACTCCTGGGTTCAAGTAATCTTCCTCCCCTCAGCCTCCCAAAGTGCTGGGACTTCAGGCATGAGCCACCATGCCCAGCCCTCCTTATCTGTTTAGAAGTGTTTCTCCAGTTAGTTTGGGAGCTTCCCAAAGGCAGGAATTATCTCGTTTATCTCTGTATCCTCTATTTATTTTTTCCCTTTTTTTTTTTTTGAGACAGAGTCTCACTCTGTCACCCAGGCTGGAGGGAGTGGTGTGATCTCGGCTCAATGCAACCTCCGCCTCCCAGACTCAAGCAATTCTCCTGCCTCAGCCTCCTGAGTAGCTGGAATTACAGGTGCATGCCACCACGCCCAGCTAATTTTTGTATTTTTAGTAGAGACGGGGTTTCACCATGTTTGCCAGGCCGGTCTTGAACTCCTGACCTCGTGATCTACCCACCTCGGCCTCCTAAAGTGCTAGGATTACAGGCATGAGCCACAGTGCCTGGCCTGTATGCTCTATTTCTATCCATAGTGTTTAGCATGTAAAAAGCATTCAATAAATTGCTGTCAAAGGAACATTTTTTTCAAAAAAGTTCTATTGGCAGATGCTATTACTGGGAACCAAAAAATAAAAATAAAGGATGTTGATAGGGAGAAGCAGAAATCTACTTTACTAATTTAACCTACTTTACTAATCTAATTTACTACTCCAAGCTTGGGGTTTATTTCAACTTGTTTAGGTTTCTCATGGTGGGGATGAAATGTTGTTGGGTTAAATGAAACAGTAGAAAAATATAACATTTGTATAAGTCAGTAAAAATTAGCCTTTTGCAGTAAGATCTGAACACCAATTCTCTAGATAGAAACCATCTTCTCAATTTTTTTTTTTTTTTTTAAAAGCCCGAGGTGGGCCGGGAGCAGTGGCTCACTCCTATAATCCCAGCACTTTGGGAGGTGAGGCGGGCGGCTCACGAGGTCAGGAGTTCGAGACTAGCCTGGCCAATATGGTGAAACCCCGTCTCTACTAAAAATTCAAAAAAATTAGCTGGGTGTGGTGGCACATGCCTGTAGTCCCAGCTACTTGGGAGGCTGAGGCAAAAGAATCACTTGAACCCAGGAGGTGGAGGTTGCAGTGAGCTGAGATCGCACCACTCCACTCCCGCCTGGGCGACAAAGAGAGACTCCATCTCAGGAAAAAAAAAAAAAAAAAAAGCTCAGGTGATCACGAGGGTGGATCACAAGGTCAGGAGTTCAAGACCAGCCTGGCCTACATGGTAAAAACCCGTCTCTACTAAAAATACAAAAATTAGCTGGGGCTGGTGGTGGGTGCCTGTAATCTCAGCTACTCAGGAGGTTGAGGCAGGAGAATTGCTTGAACCCAGGAGGCGGAGGATGCAGTGAGCTGGTATCATGCCACTACACTACAGCCTGGGTGACAGAACAACACTCCATCTCAAAAAAAAAAAAAAAAAGCATAGGAAGTGATTCTATAATACCTCCTTGTAGCGTACATGAGTCTTCTTTCTGAGAGAGATATAGTTGTGAGTGCTATCTGAAGAGGCAGAAATGAGACAGTGTCAGAGGGATGAAATGACATAAAAATGTCTATACACGTGGGGGAATTGGCTATGCTGAATTACATTCATAGGGTAGAGTTAAATATAATAGTATGAACTAAATTTACAGAAGCTGTGCATGTTACAATGGGGTTAAAAGATGGAGTTTGTGAATATTAGACAAACAATTTCTAGTTAAAATAATATACCATTTTTTTATCTCAAGCACTAATAATTTTATATTTGCTGTTTGACACTAATAATCTTGTATTAGCTAAAATTTGGCACAATAGATCCAGGTATTTACAGCACAGGGAATATACAAAATATTAGCAATATATATTCTGTATTTTGATGGGCTTGACTTCAGAAGTTGTAACTAGAAAATTCTACATTTCAAACAGATATATTTTATCTGTGAATTCAGAAAAGGTTCTTTTCCTAAGAGGAATCCATACCCTAATAGTCCATGGGAGGGCTTGAAGGAGACACCATTTACTAAAACTGTAAGGAATGAATTGGTGAGGGGACACCAAGCATCACTAAGTCAAACAGTGGCTTTTCTCTGTAGGTCAGGGTTGAAGTTAGAAGAAGCCATTAATCTGGGCTCTCTAATAGCAATGTGAATAACAATAATTGTGCACACCCCCATAGATATCAGATAGCTTAACCATTAAAAGCCAGGTGGATATAATCATAATGACTGGCAAAGTCAGCATGGTAGCCAAGGGAACTTGCACAGATGGTTAAAAAGATAATTTTTATTTTATTTTTTTTTGAGACAGAGTCTCACTCTGTTGCCCAGGCTCCTGTGTAATGGTGCCATCTTGGCTCACTGAGACCTCCACCTCCCAGGTTCAAGCGATTCTCCTGCCTCAGCCTCTTGAGTAGCTGGGATTACAGGCGTGCACCAACATGCCCAGCTAATTTTTTTGTATTTTTAGTAGAGATGGGGTTTTGCAATGTTGGCCAGGCTGGTCTCCAACTCCTGGCCTCAAGTTGTCCACCTGCCTTGGCCTCCTAAAGTGCTGGGATTACAGGCATGAGCCACCACGCCCAGCCAAAATATACAACTATCTTAAAGACATCAGGGATAGTGTACTCCTTATATCCCCATTTAATTAACCAATACGACCCCCAAAAAACATCAGATGGATCCTGGAGAAAGACATTTGGACTACTGCAAACTCAGTCAAGTAGTAGTCCCAAATGCAGCTGCTGTGCCAGATGTGGTATACTGGCCTAGGCAGATTATCACAGCCTCAGGAAGATGATATATGGCGATTATTCTGCTGAGTGTGTTGTTTTCCTGCCCCTGCCAGATATGAGAATCAGAAACAGTTCACATTCACTTGGAATGGACAACAGTATACATTTCAGTGTTGCCCAAAGTTATCTTACCTCTCCTGCCTCTGTCAATCTATAAACTGAAGAAAAATAAATAATCTGGCTATCCTTCAGAATACTATATTCAGAATACTATAGGTCTGTTATATTGATGGCATTGTACTAAACTGATCAAATAAGTAATAAGTGGCTAGCATGATATAGTCCTTTGGAAGATTCATGTTACAATGAATAGGAGATAAACCCTATGGCAATTCAGAGGCCCACCACATCAGTACATTTTTTTTTTTTTTTTAGATGGAGTCTCGCTCTGTCACCCAGGCTGGAGTGCAGTGGCATGATCTCGGCTCACTGCAACCTCCACCTCCTGGGTTCAAGCGATTCTACTGCCTCAGCCTCCTGAGTAGCTGGGATTACAGGCGTGCACCACCACGCCTGGCTAATTTTTGTATTTTTAGTAGAGATGGGGTTTCACCATGTTGGTCAGGCTGGTCTCAAACTCCTGACCTCGTGATTCACCAGCCTTGGCCTCCCAAAGTGCTAGGATTACAGGTGTGAGCCACTGGGCCCAACCCAGTAAAATTTTTAGGGTCCCAGTAATCTGGGACATTTCCTCCAAAATAAAAAACAAATTATTGCATCTTCCACTTTCTACCACCAAGAAGAAAGCACCAGACATTGTCATAAACACTCAATATGCTCACTCTTTTTAACTTCAGCTACTCTAATAGGTGTGTAGTGGTATTTGTTCTGATTTAAATTTGCATTTCCTCTATGACTAATGATGTTGAGTATCTTTTTATTTGCCATCAGTGCATCTTTGGTGAAGTTACTGTTCAAATCTTTTACCCATTGCAATGGACTGTTTGTGTCCCCTCAAAATTCATATGTTGACATCCTAATCCCCAAAGTGATAGTATTAGGAAGTAGGGCCTTTGGGAGGTATTTGGGTCATGAGGGTGGAGCCCTTGTGAATGGGATTAGTACCCTTCCTTTAAAAAGGAACCCTTATAAAAGACTACACATTGGGTGCAGTGTATACAGTCTGGGTGACGGGTGCACCAAAATCTCACAAATCACCACTAAAGAACTTACTCATGTAATCAAACACCACCTGTTTCCCAATAAACTATGGAAATACATTTTTTTAAGTTAGAAAATAAATAAAAAATAAAAAGGAACCCCAAGCCAGGTGCAGTGGCTCACACCTAGAATCCTGGCACTTTGGGAGGTTGAAGTGGGAGGACTGCTGGAGGCTGCAGTTCAAGACCAGCCTGGGCAACATAGTAAGACCCCATCTCTATTATTAAAAAAAAAGAGGCCAGGCGTGGTGGCTCACGCCTGTAATCCCAGCACTTTGGGAGGCTGAGGTGGGCGGATTACGAGGTCAGGAGATCAAGATCATCCTGGCTAGCACAGTGAAACCCCATCTCTACTAAAAAATAGAAACAATTAGCCAGGCATGGTGGCAGGCGCCTGTAGTCCCAACTACTTGGGAGGCTGAGGCAGGAGAATGGCGTGAACCCAGGAGGCAGAGATTGCAGTGAGCCAAGATCATGCCACTGCACTCCAGCCTGGGCAACAGAGCGAGACTCCATCTCAAAAAAAAAAAAAAAGAAAAGAAAAGAAAGGGGGCTGGGCTCAGTGGCTTATGCCTGTAATCCCAGCACTTTGGGAGGCTGAGGCAAGTGGATCACCTGAGGTCAGGAGTTCAAGACCAGCCTGACCAACATGGTGAAACCCCCTCTCTACCAAAAATACAAAAATTAGCCGGGCGTGGTGGTATGCACCTGTAATCCCAGCTACTTGGGAGGCTGAGGCAGGAGGATCGCTTGAACCTGGGAGGCGGAGTTTGCAGTCAGCCGAGATCGTGCCACTGCACTCCAGCCTGGGTGACAGAGCGAGAGTCCATCTCAAAAAAAATAATAATAAGAAGAAAGGGATCCCAGAGAGTGTCTGTTTCTGCCATATGAGATACAGTAAGAACATAGTAGTCTGCAATCAGAAGAGGGCCCTCACCAGAACATGAACATGCTGGCACCAAAATCTCAGACTTCCTAGCCTCCATAGCTATGAGAAATAAATTTCTGTTGTTTAAGCCACCCAGTCTATGGTAATTTGTCATAGCAGCCTGAACCAACTAAGAGTTGTGTGAACATATTTGTAATAGCTGCTTGGAAGTATTTGTATGCTAGGCCAGGTGTGGGGGCTCCCGCCTATAATCCCTGCACTTTGGGAGGCTGAGGTGGGTGGATCACTTGAGGCCAGGAGTTTAAGACCAGCTTGGCCAATATGGCGAAACCCCATTTCTGCTAAAAATACAAAAATTAGCTGGGTGTGGTGGCGCATACCTGTAATCCCAGCTACCTGGGGGGCTGAGGCACGAGATTCATTTGAACACAGGAGGTGGAGGTTGCAGTGAGCCGAGATTGTGCCACTGCACTGCAGCCCAGGAAACAGTGCAAGATGCTCTCAAAAAAAAATAAATAAATAAATAAAAGGCCCGGCGCGGTGGCTCACGCCTGTAATCCCAGCACTTTGGGAGGCTGAGGTGGGCGGATCTCAAGGTCAGGGGTTCAAGAACAGCCTGACCAACATGGTGAAACCCCCGTCTCTACTAAAAATACCAAAATTAGCCGGATGTGATGGTGTGCACCTGTAATCCCAGCTACTCAGGAGGCTGAGGCAGAATTGCTTGAACCCAGGAGGCGGAGGTTGGCAGTGAGCTGAGATTGCACCTTTGCACTCCAGCCTAGGCGACAGAGTGAGACTCCGTCTCAAAAACAAACAAACAAAAAAAAGTATTTGTTTGTCTACTAAAGTCAACATCTGGGCTCTTCAAAGGCAGTTTCTATTACCTGTTTTGTTTTCTCCTGTGTATGGATCACACTTTCATGTTTTTTGCTCATCTTGTAACTTCGTGTTACAAAGTGGACATTTTAAATAATATATTGTTAGGCCGGGCATGGTGGCTCACGCCTGTAATCCCAGCACTTTGGGAGGCCGAGGCGGGCAGATCACGAGGTCAGGAGTTTGAGACCAGCCTGGCCAACATGGTGAAACCCCATCTCTACTAAAAATACAAAAATTAGCCAGACAGAGGTGGGAGTTGTAGCTCATGTGAGTCAGGGAACCAAGTTCCAGCCCAACTTGGTCTTCTTCATACCCTGTTCCATGATTATGACTTGATAAAAAAAAAGAAAAATATAAATCTTTTTTTTTTTTTTTTTTTTTTGACAGAGGAGGCTGAGGCAGGAGAATTGCTTAAACCTGGGAGGTGGAGGTTGCAGTGAGCCAAGATCATCCCACTGCACTAAGCCTAGGTGACAGAGCAAGACTCTGTCTCGGAAAATAATAATAATAATAACAATAATAATATATTGTAGCAAGTCCATGTCCTGATCTCTATTCCCACTCTCTCCCACCCACCACCCTCCCCTCTAGACTTTTGCTGTTGTTTCCTTGTTTTCTTCTGTTAACCAAAAGGAAAAAAACTGAGGAAAAATTAACTAAGTACAGAGTCTGTTTGGGCCAAGTTAATGGACTACAACCCAGGAGCACAGATTCAAGTTGCCCTGAATATACGCTCTGATTAACAGCAGTTATAAGTGGGTTTTTAAAGGAATATAGAAGAGGCAATTTCTAAGTTGCTTATCAAGAATTTATGTTAGGGCCGGTCATGGTGGCTCACCTCTGTAATCTCAGCACTTTTGGAGGCTAAGGTGGACAGATTACCTGAGGTCAGGAGTTTGAGACCAGCCTGGCCAACATGGTGAAACCCTGTCTTTACCAAAAATACAATTACTGGGGCATGGTAGCATGTGCCTGTAATCCCAGCTACTCAGGAGGCTGAGGCAGAAGAATTGCTTGAACCCGGGAGGCGGAGGTTGCAGTGAGCCGAGAATGCAACACTGTACTCCAACCTGGGCAACAGGATGAGACTCTTGTCTCAAAAAAAATAAAAAAAGAATTTATGTTAAAGTAATATAAGCTATTGATTGGCTGTACATTGTTCTTTATATCACAAATTCCAGGAACAGGAAGATAATGGCTGAGGCTGGGCATAGTGGCTCACACCTGTATTTTCAGCACTTTGGGAGGCTGAGGCAGGTGGATCACTTGAGCCCAGGAGTTGAGACTAGCCTGGGCAACATGGGGATACCCCATCTCTACAAAAAATACAAAAATTAGGGCCGGGCACGGTGGCTCACACCTGTAACTCCAGCACCTGAGGTCAGGAGTTTGAGACCAGCCAGTCCAACATGGTGAAACCCTGTCTCTACTAAAAATACAAAAATTAGCCAGGCGTGGTGGCATGCACCTGTGGTCCCAGCTACTCAGGAGGCTGAGGCAGGAGAATTGCTTGAACCCAGGAGGTGGAGGCTGCAGTGAGCTAAGATGGTGTCACTGCACTCCAGCCTGGGCAACAGACTGAGACTCCGTCTCAGAAAAACAAAAGGAAAATTTGCCAGGTGTAGTAGTGCATGCCTGTAGTCTCAGCTACTCAGGAGGCTGAGGCAGGAGGATTGCTTGAGTCCAGGAGGTCAAGGCTGCAGTGAGCTGTGATTGCACAACTGCACTCCAGCCTAGGTGACAGAGTGAGACCCTGTCAAAAGAAAGATAAAAAAAGATAATGGGTGAGGCAGTCAGGAACCTACAGGGAAGAAAAGAAATAACAGGCCAGGCACGGTGGCTCACATCTGTAATTCCGGCACTTTGGGAGGCTGAGGTGGGAAGATCACGAGGTCAGGAGATTGAGACCATCCTGGCCAACATGGTGAAACCCCGTCTCTACTAAAATACAAATAATTAGCCGGGTGTGGTGGTGCACACCTGTAGTCCCAGCTACTAAAGAGGCTGAGTCAGGGCAATTGCTTGAACCTGGGAGGTGGAGGTTGCAGTGAGCCGAGATCACGCCACTGCACTCCAGCCTGGCAACAGAGCAAGACTCTGTCTCAAAAAAAAAAAAAAAAAAAAAAGAAAGAAAGAAATAACAAAATGCCTTTAAACCATTGTCCCCAGGCATGAGTGCAGGAGTGTGTGGCTGAAGTCCCATATTCATGTGTTTTTTTTTTTTGTTTTTTTTTTTTTGAGACAGGATCTGTCTCTGTTGCTCAGGCTGGAGTGCAGTGGCGCGATGTTGGCTACTGCAACCTTTGCCTCCCCAGCTCAAGCAATCCTCCTACCTCGGCCTTCTAAGTAGCTGGGACTACAGGTGCATGCCACCATGCCTGGCTAATTTTTTTGTGTTTTTTTGTAGAGATAGAGTTTTGCCATATTGCCCAGGCTGGTCTTGAACTCCTGAGCTCAAGTGATCTGCCCACCTCAACATTCCAAAGTGCTAGGATTCCAGGTGTGAGCCATGGCGCCTGACCACTCATGTCTCTTTGTGCCTGATAAGTTTTGCATACCTCATGTACCTCAGACTGCTCTGATTTTTTTTCTCATTTCTCTCTTTTGATTGAAACCTTTCTCTTCTGAAAGCATTGATGTTCAACATTTTAGATGTATGTTTCTCCCATGTAGCTGGGAAGGCTCATTCCCAGGTAACCTTGTTCCATGTCAGAGGAAGAGAGGAGAGGTATTGTGGCTTATGAACTTAGTGATGTCTCAATGCTGAATTGATTAACAAAAAAAAGAGACAGAGCAATGGGACCTTGGTCAGGCCATCCGCTTACAAGGAAGCTGCAGAATATTGGATTCTTTCTAAGCATCTAACTATCATAATTCATTTTCTGTTGTTGACCTTAGTTATCTAAAAGTACAAAGCATAATCAGCTTAAGAATAAAAAATATGATGCAAATAAGGACAATTATTGACAAAACAACTTGAAATCCAGGTCTGAAAAGTGTTCTTATTTCTAAAAGTACCAGGCCAGGTGCAGTGGCTTATGCCTATAATTCCAGAACTTTGGGAGGCCAACGCAGGAGGATCACTTGAGGTCAGGAGTTTGAGAATAGCCTGGGCGACATAGAAAGATCCTATCTCTATAAAATAAAAATAGGCCAGGCTCAGTGGCTCACGCCTGTAATCCCAGAATTTTGGGAGGGCGAGGCGGGCGGATCACGAAGTCAGGAGATCGAGACCATTTTGGCTAACGTGGTAAAATCCCGTCTCTACTAAAAATACAAAAACAAAATTAGCCAGGCATGGTGGCAGTCGCCTATAGTCCCAGCTACTCGGGAGGCTGAGGCCAGAGAATGGCATGAACCCAGGAGGCGGAGTTTGCAGTGAGCCAAGATTGCACCACTGCATTCCAGCCTGGGTGACAGCAAGACTCTATCTCAAAAAAATAAATAAATAAAAATAAAATAAAAAATTAGCCAGGTGAAGTGGCATCCACCTGCAGTCCGTTACTCATGGGGCTGAGGCAGGAGGATCACTCAAGCTCAGGAATTTAAGGCTACAGTGAGCTATAATCATGACACTGCATTACAGCCTGGGCAACAGAGCCAGACTCTATCTCTAAAAAAAATTTTTTTAAACAAATAAATGTAACCAAATAAATATTTCATCTATTCCTTGTACTAGTCTGAAAAATAAGGTATTGAAGATCTCTGCTGTTGAAGATGCCCACTGAGGCAGGGCTGCCTGATATGGTTCCTTCTAACATGTTGGAAAGAGTCCCCTATTTGATGTTTTTGTATTTAAAAAATCTCCAGGTTGGAGACTGTGATCTTTGATGGTCTTATATTCTGGGAGCTCACTGTTAAAATAATCCTTAGGCTGGGTGTGTGGCTCGCACCTGTAATCCCAGCATTTTGGGAGACCGAGGCAGGTGGATTACTTGAGGTCAGGAGTTTGAGACCAGCCTGGCCAATGGTGAAACTCTGTCTCTACTAAAAATACAAAAAATTAGCTGGGTGTGGTGGTGTGCGCCTGTAATCCCAGCTATTCAGGAGGCTGAGGCAGGTGAATCGCTTGAACCTGGGAGGTGCAGGTTGCAGTGAGCCAAGATCGCACTACTACATTCCAGCCTGGGTGACACAGCGACACTCCATCTGGAAAAAAAAAAAAGAAAAATCCTTCATTAATCCTTAATTTTAGTGAGAAGCTTACAAGCCCTTAGCAAAAACAAAGAATATCACCTTTAAGGAAAGCTGGTTCATAGGCTCCTTCATCCTAGGCACATGGACCTTCCCATTACTATTTCAAAGGGAGAAAGAAACCTGATGTTTTCCAAACCAGGTAGAATGTAAGTCAAGCAAATGGAAGAGCCTTAAGCCAGGGAAAGTTAAAAGTTTGCATAAGCTTTGCCAATTGATTCTTTTATTATCTGATTTGTGTTTTCCACCACTCTGGAAGACTAAGGGTGGTATGTACAATGGAAATGCTGATCCATCTTATTGATTGATTGATGGAGTTTTGCTCTTTCACACAGGCTGGAGTGCAGTGGCGCCATCTCAGCTCACTGCAACCCCTGCCTTCCAGTTTCAAGTGATTCTCCTGCCTCAGCCTCCCGAGTAGCTGGGATTACAGGTGCCCGCCACCACACCTGGCTAATTTTTGTATTTTTAGTATAGATGGGGTTTCACCATGTTGGCCAGGCTGGTCTCGAACTCCTGACCTCATGATCCGCCCGCCTCAGCTCCCTAAGGTGCTGGGATTACAGGTGTAAGCCACCGCGCCCAGCCAACCCATCCAATTTCAATCAGCTTTGATGACACAAGATAAGCTTTCTAGAGACTTTTATAATTTCTTACATTTTTTTCCCAATCTCTTTCTTTCCTCAACTTTCTATATCCATTCAGTTTTGTTTTGTTTTTTTTTTCCTGAGATGGAGTTTCGCTCTTGTTGCCCAGGCTGGAGTGCAATGACACGATCTGGGCTCACCGCAACCTCTGCCTCCCAGATTCAAACGACTCTCCTGCCTCAGCCTCCTGAGTAGCTGGGATTACAGGCATGCGCCACCACGCCTGGCTAATTTTGTATTTTTAGCAGAGACGGGGTTTCTCCATGTTGGTCAGGCTGGTCTCAAACTCCCGACCTCAGGTGATCCGCCTGCCTCAGCCTCTCGAAGTGCTGGGATTACAGGTGTGAGCCACTGCACCTGGCCTCCATTTAGTTTTATCTATCATTCTTTCTTATCCTTTCAACTTAAAATAATCTTTAGGAATCTCTAGACAAAAGTACTTTTCCTTTAAGAAAAACTACATTCTCATGCCTTCTTTATAATCTTCTTTACCAAAGACACATTTGGTTTTTAAATGCTGTGTACACAGAATTGTTTCTCTTATAGCTAGAAATTTTTTTTGTTTGTTTTTGAGACAGAGTCTTGCTCTCCCAGGCTGGAGTGCAGTGGCGCAATCTCTGCTTACTGCAGCCTCCACCTACTAGGTTCAAGCGATTCTCCTGCCTCAGCCTCCCAAGTAACTGGGATTATGGGATTACAGGCACCTGCCACCACTCCCAGCTAATTTTTTTATTTTAGTAGAGACGGGGTTTCACCATGTTGGCCAGGCTGGTCTTGAACTCCTGACCTCAGGTGATCCACCTGCCTCGGCCTCCCAAAGTGCTGGGATTACAGGCACGAGCCACCAGGCCCAGCCTAGTAGTTTTAATATATATATTTACTATAATTTTAACTTTTAGTAACCTAATTTCTAGTGAAAAACCTAGAAAGTAATTTTGAACTTTTTTGTCAATATTTGTAGATGAAAATTACTTCATAATTTTTTAAAGATGTTTCTTCCATTTTTATTAACAGATTGAAATATATTTAGCTTTGTTAAACCATAAAGACAACAAAGTATATAAGCTTAAGCTTAAAAGACTAAGTATCATTAATATTGATTAATATTTTATCCCAGAGCTTGGGCCACTAGCTGTAACCTGCCCTGCAGCTGGTAGGCCTAGGCAAGCCACTGTGCCTGGCCTGGTTACCTTTAGAAACACTTTTTTTTTTTTTTTTTTTTTTTGTGACAGGGTCTCGCTCTGTCACCCAGGCTGGAGTGCAGTGGCACAGTCTCGGCTCACTGCAGCCTCTGCCTCCCGGGTTCAAGCGATTATCCTGCCTTAGCCTCCTAAGAAGTAGCTGGGATTACAGGCATGCACCACCACACCTGGCTAATTTTTGTATTTTGAGTAGAGACAGGGTTTCACCATGTTGGCCAGGCTGGTCTTCAACTCCTGGTGTCAAGTGATCCACTCACCTCGGCCTCCCAAAATGTTGGGATCACAGGCGTGAGCCACGCCTGGCCAGAAACACTTTTCAGATACGGATTTCAGATTGTTTTGTTAATAATTGTCCTTATTTGCATAGTTTTTGCTTTTTGAGACAGGGTCTCACTCTGTTGCCCAGGCTGGAGGGCAGTGACACAATCTTGGCTCACTGCAACCTACACCTCCCAGGCTCAAGTGATCATCTGACCTCAGCTTCCCTAGTAGCTGGGGCTATAGGCGCATACTACCACACCCACCTGCCATTACACCTGGCTAATTTTTTATATTTTTTGTAGAGACAGGGTTTCTCCATGTTACCGAGCTGGTCTCCTGGACTCAAGCGATCTGCCCGCATCGGCCTCCCAAAGTGCTGGGATTATAGGCATGAGCCACTGTACCCAGGCCGTATTTTTTATTCTTAAATTGATTATGCTTTATATTTCTAGATGTCTAAAGTCAACAACAAAAAACTAAAAGATTAAATTGATATCTCAGCATTTTAACTTACTTAGAAATGACTCAGACACTTTATGATTATCTATTACATAATTTAACATAACATTACTTCAAGATACACAGTTCAAAGACATATGCATGCTATGGACATACATATGTCTTCAAAGGTCTCACCATGGTCACCTGTCCAGGTCCCAAAATATATATATATATTTTTGAGACAGAGTGTCACTGTGTTGCTCTGGCTGGAGTCCAGTGGCATGATCTTGGATCATTGCAAACTCCACCTCCCGGGTTCAAGTGATTCTCGTGCCTCAGCCTCCCAAGTAGCTGGGATCACAGGCATGTGCCACCACACCTGGCTAACTTCGGTATTTTTAGTAGAGGGGGGTTTCGCCATGCTGGCCAGGCTGGTCTCAAACTCCTGATCTCAAGCAATCCACCCACCTTGGCCTCCCAAAGTGCTGGGATTACAGGTGTGAACCACCACTCCTGGCCTGAACCACTCTCTTATGTGTCTCAGACTGCCTCTAATCACCAGGTAGCAGTAGGGTTCTCAAGTTATCAGGGTTACCAGTTCCTTATTTATGCCTTTCTGGATAAGTAAGTGTCCCTAAAATGTTCTTTCAGTGAGGAATGCCCTGTAAGTCTGCTTTGTGTCCTAGGCAACAGTCCTGACATCTCTGCAGTCTCTAGTCACCTAGACCAGCTGAATGGTTCAGACAGAGTCATTGTCTCATCTCTTCAGGGTAATATAATTCACCCTCATGCACTCTTTGGTTTTGAAATAACAGGAATTGGTCACAAATGAAAAGACAAGTCTGAATTATAAGAAATAGAAAGCAGTTGCAATTTCAAAGGCATGCTAGGTAGTTTTAGGCTATAAGAAGTGAAACCACTTGTATTAGTTCTTTCTTACATTGCTATAAATAAATACCTGAGACTAGGTAATTTATAGACAAAAGAGGCTTATTTTGCTCACGGTACTGCAGGCTGTACAGGAAGGATGGCAGCATCTGTTTCTGAGAAGGTCTCAGGAGGCTTTTACTCATGGTGAAAGGCAAAGCAGGAGCCGGCATTTTATATGGCAGGAGCTAGACCAAGAGAGAGGGTGGGGAGGTGCTACACACTTTTAAACAACCAGATGTTGTGAGAACTCACAAGGGGGCATGGTACTAAGCAATTCATGAGAAACCATCCCCATAATCTAATCACCTCCTACCAGGCCCCACTTCTAACACTGGGGATTCGACATGAGATTTAGTGGGGACACAGACCCAAATCATATCATTCCACCCATGGCCCCACTAAATCTCATGTCCCTCTCACATTGCAAAATACAATTATGTGTTCCCAATAGTCCCTCAGAGTCTTAACTTATTCCAGCATTAACTCAGAAGTCCAAAGACTCATCTGAGACAAGGCTAGTCCCTTCTCCCACCTCAGCCTCCCGAGTAGCTGGGACCACAGGCGTGTGCCACCATGCCCAGCTAATTTTTGTATTTTTAGTAGAGATGGGGTTTCACCATGTTGGTCAGGCTGGTCTTGAACTCCTGATCTCAGGTGATCCACCCGCCTTGGCCTCCCAAACTGCTGGGATTACAGGTGTGAGCCACTGCACCTGGCCTGGTATTTTACGTTTAATGTATTGTTAGATTTATCAGGCGTGGTGGCTCATGCCTACAGATGTGATTACAATCCTAGCCTTTTGGGAAGCTGAAGTGGGTGGATCACTCGAGCCTAGGAGTTTGATACCACCCTGGGCAACATGGCAAAACGCCATCTCTACAAAAACAAAAACAAAAAGAAAAAAACAACCAACCAAATCAAACAAAACAAAACAAAAACTAGCTAGGCGTGGTGGCTTGTGCCTATAGTCCCAGCTACTCAGGAGGCCGAGGTGGGATTCCTTGATCCCAGGAGGCGGAGGTTACAGTGAACCATGAGACTCGCTCTGGCCTGGGTGACAGACCAAGACCCTGTCTCAAAAAAAAACAACAACAAAAAAACAAGGCCGGATGCAGTGGCTCACGCCTGTAATCCCAACACTTTGGGAGGATGAGGCGGGCGGATCACTTGAAGTCAGAAGTTTGAGACCAGCCTGTCCAACATGGTGAAACCCCGTTTCTACTAAAAATACAAAATTAGCCAGGCGTGGTGGGGCATGCCTGTAATCCCTGCTACTCGGGAGGCTGAGGCAGGAGAATCACTTGAACCCAGGAGGTGGAGGTTGCAGTGAGCCGAGATCATGCCATTGCAGTCCAGCCTGGGCAACAGGAGCAAAACTCCGTCTCAAAACAAACAAACAAATATAGATATATAGATAGATGTGGGGGTGGGGGAGACAGTTGGATTCAATTTGCTAAAATTGTGATTAAACATTTTGTATCTATGTTAATGAAGGACATTGGTATATAGTTTTTTTCTTATAGCATCATTTTTTTTTCTTTTTTTTGAAACAGTTTTATTTTGTCACCCAGGCTGGAGAGCCGTGGCGCCATCAGCTCACTGTAACCTCAAACTCCTGGGCTCAAGGGATCTTCCTACCTTAGTCTCCCAAGTTGTTGGAAAAATAGGTGCACACCACCACACCCAGTTATTTTTCCAAATTGGCTGTATAATTTTGCATTTCCATCAGCAATGTATGAGGGTTCCACTTGCTCCAAATCCTTGTCAATATTTGGTATTTTCAGTTTTTTTTTTTTTTGAAATGGAGTCTTGCTCTGTCACCCAGGCTGGAGTGGAGTGGCATGATCTCGGCTCACTGTGACCTGTTGTTGACCAAATACACACATTGAAAAATGTAATTCAAGAGTGGGATATCAGATTCTTGGCTTATAACTAATGATCAAGATTGTACAATGAGCAATAGTCAGATTATTCCTTTCAATGGTTCTTATGGCATCTAAATTACTGATTAATCCATCAATCAATCATAAATTGTGATTAAAATTATCAAATGAATTTTCAGCATTGAAAACTGTTGTGTGAAACATGTCTAACCAGAGAAGTAACATCCTATAAACACTACTTTAGCTAAATTGTTTTAAAGTAT
Source organism: Homo sapiens (assembly GCF_000001405.40). Classification (NCBI taxonomy): domain Eukaryota; kingdom Metazoa; phylum Chordata; class Mammalia; order Primates; family Hominidae; genus Homo; species Homo sapiens. Next base: position 47,173,755 of record NC_000003.12, on the reverse strand, counting down.
TATAAATAAAGTGAATTTCAGAGTAAAAATAAGGTACGTTTTCTGAGCAATAATCAATAAGTTAATCCATAATTTCTTAATTTGCAAATTTGTTTCTTATTTCAGGATTTGGAATATAGTGTGAGGGTTTTGTTTTGTTTTGTTTTGTTTTTTTTAAGACGGAATCTTACTCTGTTGCCCAGGCTGGAGTGCAGTGGTGTGATCTTGGCTCACTCAACCTCTGCCTCCTGGGTTCAAGTGATTCTTCTTCCTCAGCCTCCCGACTAGCTGGGATTACCAGCGCGTGCCATGCCCGGTTAATTTTTGTATTTTTAGTAGAGACAGGGTTTTGGCATGTTGGCCAGGCTGGTCTCAAACTCCTGACCTCAGATGATTCGCCTGCCTTGGCCTCCCAAAGTGGTGGGATTATGGGCGTGAGCCACTGCGCCCGGCCTAATTTCTTAATAGATATCTAAATACATATGCATATACTTATTATGTATTTATTTATTTTTTGAGACATGGTCTTGCTCTGTTGTCCAGACTGGAGTGCAGTGGCGCGATCTTGCCTCACTGCAGCCTCCATCTCCTGGGCTCAAGCAATCCGCCCACCTCAACCTCTTGAGTAGCTGGGACTATAGGTGTATGACCCTATACCCAGCTAATTTTTTATTTTTAGTAGAGATGAAGTCCTGTTATGTTGCCCAGGCTGGTGTCCAACTCCTGAGCTCAAGTGATCCTCCTACATCAGCCTCCCAAAGTTCTGGGATTACAGTTGTCAGCCACCATGTCTGGCAAACTCAATTCTTTTTAATGACAGTATAATACTCCTCTGTATGGATGTTCCAAAATATATTCACCCATTCCCTTATTTATGAGCATTCACTTCATTTCTCCCACCACAAATTATACCATTAATTTGTACATTTAGTCTATGTACGAGTGCTTTTATTTCCGTGAACCAAAATTTTAGAAATAGAATTTGCTGGGTCAAAGGACGCACACACATAGTTGTTACGGAATAATAAATAGATATAAATAACATTCATTACATCTAGTGTAGACAAAATAACAAAACAAATATCTGTCCACTTACTAACTAGTTTAAGAAATACAAATTTACCTGTGCTCTGAGGCCTCCTGGGTGTCCCCTATATAATCCCTTTTCCTGTTCAGAAAGGAAAACCAAACCAAACCAAAACTATCCTAAAATTTTTCTTTACCTTTCTCTTGGTTATAGTTTTACCATATTTCTCAACACCATCTGTTGTTTAATTTTGACTCTTAAAACTTTACATAAATGGAAAAACATTCTATGCCTTTTATTTCCTGTTCATTATTATGTCCCCAAGACTTTACCATTTTGGTAGGCATAGCTGAAAATTTCAGTTATGGCCAGGCTTGGTGGCACATGCTTGTAATCCCAATGCTTTGGGACACCAGTGTGGGAAGATCACTTGAGGCCAGGAGTTCAAGACCAACCTGGGCAACATAGCGAGACCCTGTTTCTAAAAAAACTAAAAAACAATTATACATCAGCACCATAAGACAGGGGAAAAAAAAATCCAGGCATGGTGGAGTACACCTGTGGTCCCAGCTACTTGGGTGACTGAGGTGGGAAGATCGCTTGAGCCCAAGTGTTTGAGGTGATACTCCTGCCTCAGCAACAAATGCAAAACCCTGCCTTTTAAGCTGTTTAATAGTAGTTCATTATATATACTATAGTTGATAGACATTTGCCCATTTGCCAATACTGCTACAGACATTCCTAGACATGTCTTTTGGTGTATATTTGCAAGAGTTTTAATTTGTATATCTAAGAACAATTGTTGGGTTTTAAGATATGCCCATATGCAACTCTACTAGGTAATGCCAACCAACTTGTTTTCCAAAATGATTGTATCAATTAACACTCTGACCAGCACCCTGATTTCCCTGAAACAGCTTTTCAAATGTTTCCTGGACATTAATTTTTCCTCTTCTGAGGTATTTACCAATTTAAAAAGCTGGGTTGTCTTTCTCTTATTCACTTACATTAGTTCTATATATATCCTAGATCAGTGCTGTCCAAGAGAAATAAAATGGAAGTCACAAATGTGATTTTAAATTTTCTAGAAGCCACATAAAGAGGTGAAATGGTTTTTTGTTGAGACAGGATCTTGCTCTGTTGCCCAGGCTGGAGCGCAGTGGCATAATCTCAGCTCACTGCAAACTCTGCCTCCCAGGTTCAAGCGATTCTCATGCTTCAGCCTCCCAAATAGCTGGGACTACAGGTGCATGCAACCATGCCTAGCTAATTTTTGTATTTTTAGTAGAGAAGGGGTTTCACCATGCTGGCCAGGCTGATCTCGAACTCCTGACTTCAAGTAATCCGCCCACCTCAGCCTCCCAAAGTGCTAGGATTATAGGTGTGAGACACCATGCCTGGCCTTTTTTTTTTAAAAGAGACAGTCTTGCTTTGTGATCTAGGCTGGTGTACAGTGGCAAGATCATTGCTCACCGTAACTTTGAACTCCTGGGCTCAAGAGATCCTCCCACTTCAGCCTCCTGACTAGCTGGGACCACAGGCATGTGCCATGATGTCTGGCTAATTTTTTTGAGATGGAGTCTTGCTCTGGCTGGAGTGCAGTGGCGTGATCTCGGCTCACTGCAACCTCCGTCTCCTGAGTTCAAGTGATTCTCCTGCCTCAACCTCCTAAGTAGCTGGGATTACAGGCACATGCCAGCATGCCCGGGTAATTTTTGTATTTTTAGTAGAGATGGGGTTTTGCCATGTTGGGCAGGCTGGTCTTGAACTCTTGACCTCAGGTGATCTGCCCATCTCAGCCTCCCAAAGTGCTAGGATTACAGGTGTGAGCCACCGCACCCAGCCAATTTTTTTGTATTTTAGGTAGAGATGGGGTTTCATCATGTTGTCCAGGGTGGTCTTGAGCCCCTTAGTTAAAGCAATTCACCTGCCTGAGCCTCCCAAAGTGCTGGGATTACAGGCGTGAGCCACCATACCTGGCCTAAGTTTTATTTTCTTGTCCATTTTGCACTCTTTAAAACTGAAATGTATTCCCCCTGCCTCAGCCTCCCAAGTAGCTGGGACTATAGGTGTGCACCACCACAGCTGGCTAATCTCTTTTGTTTTTTGTAGAGCTGGGAGGGAGTCTGGCTATGTTGCACAGGCTGGTCTTAAACTCCTGGTCTCAAGCAATCCTTCCGCCTCAGCATCTCAAAGTGCTGGGATTACAGGCGTGAGCCACCATGCTCGGCCTTTTTTTTTGTATTTTTCTTTATTCTATTTTCTTCTGTTAATTTGGAAAAGCAGTTACCCTACATATTTTATCTTATACACTTAAAAGAGTAAAGGTTAAAGTTAATCAATATTTTTACCCACTTCCCAAACAATACCAGGACCTTGGAAAACTTCAACTCCAACCATCACTCCACTCATCCTGCTTCTAAATATATGACTTTGTTGTCCAGAGTATCAGTTCCATCTTGCTTTACCTTATTAACCACACAAATTACTTACTATTACTTTGTATGGTAAAAAGTTTTTAGTTTTAACCACTTATTTACTAATATTTTTATCATTCCTTCTTGTATAAGGGATCATTTCTTTCTTTTTTATAAAATTATTTACTATGTAAAATTAAAAAAATTTTTTTTCAGCACCTGACACTCCCAGTGTGGGCTGAGATGCTGAGGCTAGGATCATTTCTTGTTGGTGGCAAACTCCAGATTTTTTTGTCTGAAAATGTCTTGAAACAGATAACCTGGCTGAAATCCTGGTTTTATCATTTCTTAGTCATGTGACTCTAGATATGCACCATAACCTCTGGAATCATTGGTTTATTCATCTGCAAAACTGGTAATCTTGAGTACATTCATTCTCTGCTGGGTAAGACAAGTTTGGGAGGGAAGATGCACTGAGAAGCTCCTGAGCAGATGAGTTCTCTAGAAGAACGCCAAGATCCAAAGCAAAACAGAATAAAAGATACACCATAATCACCTCTCTGAATGTTTGAAAACTGTAGGGAGGCTGGGCGCCGTGGCTCATGCCTGTAATCCCAGCACTTTGGGAGGCTGAGGCGGGTGGATCACAAGGTCAGGAGTTCAAGACCAGCCTGGCCAAGATGGTGAAACCCCGTCTCTACTAAAGATACAAAAAATTAGCTGGGTATGGTGGCGCGCGTCTGTAATCCCAGCTACTCAGGAGGCTGAGGCAGGAGAATCGCTTGAACCCAGGCAGTAGAGGTTGCAGTGAGCTGAGATTGTGCCACCGCACTCCAGCCTGGGCGACAGAGTGAGATTCCATCTCAAAAAAAAAAAAAAAAGAAAAAGAAAATTGTAGGGAAGACAAGGTTAACACATATTGAAAAAAAAAATTACCTAATAACAATATTCCTGTATACTTGAGAGTTACAGTGCATGGTTCTTTTTAGTCAGTCTTTTCAAATCCAGTGAAATAGCTGCTTGTAGGAGTTTACAAAAGAGACTTTACAGAAGAGAGTGCCTGACTGGAAGTAATCAACTTGTTAGCCAACTCCAACAATCTATTTTTAACAGAAAAATCCAATGTGAACACTAAGAAAAAGAATTGGTATTCCATGGATGAGCCTGAAAAAAAAAGAAAAAGGAATTGGTAAAAAGGAAAAGTATTAATCAAAAAGTAAGCTTTTCAGAAGTAACAAAGTAGTTATTCATTCAACACTTGCTACCTACAGCCTCAAACACTATAAAATAGGAAAGACAGATTGCTTCTGCCTACAACAAACTTATAAAGTTGGTAAGATAGATATATTATGTAATTAAAATCTGTTAACAAAGCAATATGTAACAGAAAGATTATCTGTATAGGAAAAACAACTACAGAGTATAATAATACTATGTAGGAGGGTGCTGACTTGATACAAATAACATCTAATAGGAATTATAGGAGGTGGAGCTCAATGTAGGTTGTGCATTGTTTTCTAGATTCTTCTTGCCTTGTGTTGGGATGTGCAGAATGAATAGGAATAAAAATAAGTTGTAATTAGGCTGGGTGCGGTAGCTCATGCCTGTAATCCCAGTACTTTGGGACGCCAAGGTGGGTGGGTCACAAGGTCAGGAGATCGAGACCATCCTGGCTAACACGGTGAAACCCCATCTCTACTAAATATCCAAAAAATTAGCCGGGCATGGTGGCGGGTGCCTGTGGTCCCAGCTACTTGGGAGGCTGAGGCAGGAGAATGGCATGAACCCGGGAGGCGGAGCTTGCAGTGAGCTGAGATCGCACCACTGCACTCCAGCCTGGGCGACAGAGCGAGACTCCATCTCAAAAAAAAAAAAAAAAAAAAAAAAAAAAAGTTGTAATTACAGTAGTCCCCACCTTATCTACAAGGGATAGGTCCCAAGACCCCTGGTGGATGCCTGGAACCCTAAATATACTTTGTTTTTTCCTATACATACATACTTATGATGTTTAATTTATAAATTAGGCACACTAAGAGATTAACAGTAGTTAATAAAACAGTTATAACAATATAACAAAACTTATGTGAATGAGTAATTTATTCTAAATTATGCTGCCTTTATTCTGTATACTGACTAAATCTAAATCTTCAATTGTATTGAGCCTCATATATCTACCTAAATTTATAAGGTAGCCAATTTTTTGTTGTATGGCTATTAGTTTACAGGCATTAGGTACTTTGTCAGACATTATCTCATTTCCCGCTCCCCAAAATGCTAAGATGTTGATAGTAAATGTTTCTGTGCTACAGAGGAGAAAATACATATTTATTTATTTTATTCATTTTTTTTGTTTGAGACTGAGTCTCACTCTTGTTGCCCAGGCTGGAGTGCAGTGATGCGATCTCTGTTCACTGCAACTTCCACCCCCCACCCCGGGCTCAAGCAATTCTCCTGCCTCAGCCTCCCGAGTAGCTGGGATTATAGGCGTGCGCCACCATGCCTAGCTAATTTTTGTATTTTTAGTAGAGATGGGGTTTCACCGTATTGGCCAGGCTGGTCTTGAACTCCTGACCTCAAGTGATCTGCCTTCCTCGGCCTCCCAAAGTGCTGGGATTATAGGCATGAGCCACTGTGCCCGACCTACATTTCTTTTTTTTTTTGAGATGGAGTTTTGCTGTTGTTGCCTAGGCTGGGGTGCAGTGGCGCGATCTTAGCTCATCATCGCAACCTCCGCCTCCCAGAGTTCAAGCGATTCTTCTGCCTCATCCTCCAGAGTAGCTGGGATTACAGGCATGTGCCACCACATCCGGCTAATTTTGTATTTTTAGTAGAGACCAGGTTTCTCCATGTTGGTCAGACTGGTCTCGAACTCCTGACTTCAGGTGATTCGCCTGCCTTGGCCTCTCAAAGTACTGGGATTACAGGCGTCAGCCACCGCACCCGGTCTACATTTCTTCTTTCTACTACCCTTACCAGGTACCCGAAGCCTACCTGTGGAGAGTAGGCTTTTGGCCTTTGTCTTCCCTAAGGCAAGAGATGATTTTGTTTCAGGGTCACTACTGGCAACCCTGGAATCTCCTGGGATAGGGTTGGTCTTGACCCACAGGAGACAGTAACAGTAGGAGAAAGTATAAATATATATATATTTTTTTGAGATGAGTTTCGCTCTTGTTGCCCAGGCTGGTGTGGAATGGCATGATCTCGGCTCACTGCAACCTCCGCCTCCCAGGTTCAAGTGATTCTCCTGCCTCAGCCTCCCTAGTAGCTGGTATTAGACATGTGCCACCACGCCGGGCTAATTTTTGTATTTTTAGTAGAGACCGGGTTTCTCCATGTTGGTTAGGCTGGTCTTGAACTCCCAGCCTCAGGTGACCCACCTGCCTCAGCCTCCCAAAGTGATGGGATTACAGGCATGATCCCATCACACCCAGCTGAAATTATAAAGGCTTTTACGATTTTAGCACTCTGGGAGTGAATGCCTCAAATATTTCATGCTAGGGCTTTTTAGACATTTTTCCTTTAAACATGTGCAGAAAGTAGGGGATGGTCAGTATTTAATAACATGAAAAACCAAATTATTCCACAGCTTTGATCAGGAGGCCAGGCCCAAGTACGTGCTCCAAGCATGCATTCTCTTTGACTTAAAAATATGAGTCCAAAGAACTCTGAGTGCAGTTATAGATGAAGGCACTGCCTGTAAAAACCCAGTTCATTTGTTTCTGTTTGGGGCTTAGAATTCTCACTGATTCCCATGGCTTGACAAGCTTATTGCACTGGGTTCTGACCAAACCAATGCTATCATGAGACCAGGCATTCCAGTGCCCAGCTGTACCTCCTGCAAGAGAATTGCTTACTTTCTTATTAAGGAAATAGGAAACCTGCACCTGACTGCTTTTTTCTCATTCACCTCAGCTTAGGTCCTTACCACCTCACATTGTTTCAACCACCTCCACCTAAAATTGTCCTTTCCTGCCTGTCCAAGGTCAAGTGACTCCCAATTGCCTATGTGGCATCTAAGGCACAGGGCCTCAATCTATTCTTTCAAAGCCCAAAAGATAACACTTACTGGGCACTTACTCAATGAAAGGCACTGTGCAAGCATGTTCACAACATTCTCTGCACAGTGGCTAATACCCCATTTACAGGTGAGGCACGGGAAGCATAAGAAGCAAGCATCCCAATGTCACAGGGCTAGAAAGTGCCTGGTACACAATGCCAGGTAGAGCTACCTCTTAAACTCTGCACTATCATGGCTGAAGAATGCTGACGTTTACTGAAAGTTTAAGCCTTTAACAAATAGCTCATTTAATCCTCACAATAATGAGAAGACCTGTCGGCAGCAATATTCTCATTTTATAATGAGAAAAACCACAGGGAAATTAGTAATAATCACGGTGTGTAAAAAAATGGCCTTGGGAGATTCGAACCTAGGGAGTCAGATGGACCCTGGACCTCCATGCTAACCCTAAAGGTACCAGGAAAAAAAAAAACAAAAGCCAAAATAATCCCTAAGTGAAAAACAATGATTATAAAACACTAATAGACACTGTAGCCTACATACATATAAAGGCTATTTTAAAAAGTTAACCACTGAAGGATGTTTATTCTTTCGTATCATATTTCAGTTTTTTTTTGTTGTTGTTGTTTTATTTTTTTGAGACGGAGTCTCGCTATATCGCCCAGGCTGGAGTGCAATGGTGCGATCTGGGCTCACTACAACCTCCGCCTCCTGGGTTCAAGCGATTCTCCTGCCTCAGCCTCCCGAGTAGCTGGGATTACAGGCGCACCACCACGCCCAGCTAATTTATTTTTTATTTTCATTCATTTATTTATTTTTTTGAGATGGAGTCTTGCTCTGTCGCCAGGCTGGAGTGCAGTGGCACAATCTGGGCTTACTGCAACCTCCGCCTCCTGGGTTCAAGCGATTCTCCTGCTTCAGCCTCCCGCGTACCTGGAATTACAGCCGTGCGCCACCACGCCCGGCTAAATTTTGTATTTTTAGTAGAGATGGGGTTTCGCCATGTTGGCCAGTGTGGTCTGGAACTCTTGACCTCAGTTACTCCGCCCGCCTCGGCCTCCTAAAGTGCTGGGATTACAGGCGTGAACCACCGCGCCCGGCCCACTTTCAGTTTTTAACCACTGTTTCTCAATTGGAAGACACATCCTTTCCTTTCCGTTACCAATTGCTGGTAAAATCCGATTCAAAATTCTAGTGGAAAAACAACAGCAACAACAACACAAAAAACGCTAACCCTATGAACCCCCAATGTCAAAATGATCTATCGCCAAAAACTCTTCAGCGTCTAGAAAGTTTAGCTATTGGATTTACGCGTTCCTATCTCTCCTTCCAAAAATAACAACTCGTAGCTCTTTCAAGTTATTCTACTTAGTCTCATCTTATCATTTCTGTAGGAAAGTGATTAATACCCTTTTTTTCATGACATTGCCTCTAAGGCCCCAAGAACCACACAGGAGAGGGGAGCTGCCGCCTTGGAGACTTCGGGTGGGGGCAGAGCGCCGCGCCGAGGTGGAGGTAGGAGCCCCGAGGGCACAGCGGGAAGGAAGGCGGAGGAGGCTGCCGGGAGCTCGGCCTCCGAGCAATCCCCCGCCTCGCTGGGCTTCCATGCTTGCTAAAGGGTCGAGATGAACGGGCAAGGGAGAGAGAGGGCGAGGAAAAATAAAAAAGAGAGGGGCGAGTGGGACGAGGGGCCCGGGAGCAGCCGCGGCCGCGTTACCTCAGAGCCCAGAGGCCTGGGGGAGGGGCCCTCGGCGCTGCCGCGGACTCCGGGGCTCCCGGCGGGCAGGTCCTGCAGGGCCGCGGAGCGAGAAGGCTGATGTCTCGGGTGTCTCGGGGAGTTCTCCCGACGTCGCCTGCTGTTTGTCAGTCGCCAGCTGTGACACGGTAGCGGGCCGGGTCACGCTGCCCCCGGCCGCCAGGCGGGTTGCGGGAGGGGTCGCGGTGCCGCCTCTCCAGGTCCGGTCTGGCCCACATCACTGGGGCCGGGGGTTTATTGTTCCGGAGAGCCACAGGCACGGTCGGCCTGGACCCGCCGGGCAGTGTTCCGCTCTGCCCGTCCCGGCCTGGGGTCAAGCCAACAGCTGCAAGGCACGCCGACTGGCGGCAGATCGGTGGCCCGTGTGTGTCTCTTTAAGGGGCCGGGCCTGCGAAGCTGAGGGGCGGGTGGGGTGTGCGTCGCTCCCGGTGTGAGGGTGAGAGGGAGAGAGCGGCTGGCGGGCGTCCGAGGGAGGGAGGGAGCGACGAGCGAGGTAGCGACGCGGGCCGCCCCTGCCGCCGCCGCCGCCGCCGCCGCCGCCGCCGCGGTCGGACCTGCGGCCTCCTCCCCTCCCCTCCCCCGCGTCGCCCTGCTGCGGGGAGGGGGCTCGCGTCGCCGTCTCCAGCCGCTCCCGATGAAGCAGCTGCAGCCGCAGCCGCCTCCGAAGATGGGGGATTTCTACGACCCGGAGCACCCGACCCCTGAGTAAGTATCAGCTCCGCGGCCCCCCGCTGCTGTCGGCCGCCTTATCCCCAGCCGAGGGCGGCGCGTCCTGACGGGTGGCGGCGCGGGCCGGCGCGAGGAGTAACAGGCCCACGGTGGCCTCGCGCGGTCGGTGTCGGGAGCAGGCCCGCGCCGCCACTTCGAGCCGCTTGGCCGGGGCCGCAGCAGGCCCGCGGTTGGGCCCGGCGTTGGCGCCGCTGCTCGTGTCGCGGCGGCGGTTGGGCCGGGCCGGTGGGGGAGGGGCGGCCACGGTCCCTACGGTTACCGCCGTGTCCGCACCGACCCGGCCATCCCGGGGCTCGGCGGTCCTCTCGGGCTCCTCGTGGCTCGTCCGGGCCCCGCTGCTAGCCAAAGGGCAGAGTCGGAGGAGCTGCCGGTGCCGGGCCCGGCAAGAGGGCGCCGGTGAGGGTAGGCCGCGAATCCCCGGGCTCGGGTGGAAGCTCGACCCGTCGCCCGACCTCCCCGCGACGGCGGCGCCTCGGACCGGAAGGGCCTAGCGCGGGTTGCCTGGCCCCCGGGCCGTGGAGGGGCCCGCGCTGCACTCCTGAGTTTGATTTTTTCCTCCTGGGAACTCGATCCTGGCCTTGCAGTGCTTCCGGATTCACATTGTGCACCTTTGGCACTTGGGTTTTGTAATGGCGAGGTTTGTGTGGTCCCGTTGTTGAGGTGACACCGGGTTTGTTTTTCCGCTTGAAAATGAAAGCCTCCTGAGGGACATACATTTTCTTGCAGGTTGTGAGATTTTCACACTTTCGGACACAATTTTCTTGGTAACAGGAATCTCTTACCCTAAACGGATGACTTTCTATTTCTTGTGAAGACTTGGTTAAAAACCAAGAATCGTTTGAGGATTCTCTAAAGAAGACAATGTTGTGGAAAACCGACACACAGTTTTGCCCAATAGTAATTTTTCAGTCTAGGACACCTTTACATTTCTCTTGAGGTCTGAATCTGCTGCTGTATCTGCTATCTCAGAAAGCCTGGAGTCACTTCTTTCCCTGAACCCTCACGAGACCATTGTTTTGAAAAGCCGTTCTTAAACACCGTTTGCTGGTGTTAGACCTAGGAATATACTATTGATTTAAAACTTATCGGTTGATAGGGGTTTCACATGAAACTGTCAAACTTTTATGACCAGGATGATTCCAAGAGCTTTGCTGTTTTGACACATTTTACCTTAGGTTTGCTCTGGCTCGTTTTTGAATCCCTTGCCACATCTTCTCACATTGGTCCAGAAATGTCTGGATCTTAATTGATAGTTTTGATTGCAACACAAACGGATTCTGTTGAGGTGTTGGTCATTTCTGCACAACAAGATAAATCATTATTTTGCTTTTCTAAAAACCCAACTCTTACTTGCAATAGTAAGTTAACATGGCTTTTTCCTTTCATGGGTTCTTGGCCATTGGTTAACATTACCTTAATTAGATTGGTCTTTTTGTTTTGCTACTGGCAGGGTCAGTTAGGTAAGATTGTTTTGATTTACTGCACCATCAGTCCAATTACAAAGCTCATGTTATAGGTTTTTAGTTTGAAAAACCTCAAAAAAAATTTTATATCACGATTCAATAAATGCTTATATAGCACTTGCTCTGTACAAAGTAACATGCTAACCCCTGAATAGGCTAAGTGCCTGCTTTCACTTCCTTTTACCAGGTTGTTTGGTGAAGTCCGGAAGCTTTAAGGATCACATCCTTACACTTCTTGGGGAAAAACAATTTTTCATAATATGTGGGAAAATGGACTCAGAAGTGCATCTTTGGTAGACCTGAGTGGGGAAGGAATCAAGAATGTTTTATGGTTTTACATGTTTTGGAGTTTTTATTTTTATTGCTTTAATGTAGTAGAAATCCACTGCTTTGGATTTCTAACAGTGATTATATATTTTTAAATTCTCGTGTATTTTTTCCTTTTTTTTTTTTTTAGAGGCAGGGTCCCACTCTGTCACCCAGGCTGGAGTGCAGTGGTGTCATCATGGCTCATTGCATCCTTGAACCTCTGGGCTTAAGCAGTCCTCCTGCCTCAGCCTCCTGGGTTGGGACTATAGGCATGTGTCACCACACCCAGCTAATTAAAAAAAAATAAATTACGTTACTGGTTTTGAATCCCTGGCCTCAAGTGAGCCTCCTGCCTTGGCCTCCCAAAGTGCTGGGATTGCAGGCATGAGCCATTGTGCCAGGCCTCTTCTTGTGTATTAACCTGTATGGAGTAAAGAATTGTAACATGTTTTTTGTTGTTGTTGTTTTGTTTTTCCTTTTTTTCATAATACTATAAAGACTGGAGGGGATCATGGTAGGTATCCTGAGCAATATCACCTGTTTGGCATATGAAGAAAATGAAGGCTAGAGAAGTGAAGTGACAGCAAACTCTTGAGATAGTAAGCTAGTTAGTGTTTATAATGCTAGAGAGAGGAGAGAGAAAGGCAGTATAGGGTTTAAAAAACCTGGATTTCAGAGTCAGACCTGAATCTGAACACTATTTTAACCTTGGACGATGACTTCATCTCTCTGAACTTGGGTTTTCTCATCTTTTATATAGGTATTATAATGGTTAACAACTTACTGGGGCTTTTTGGGAGGATTGAATGAGATAATGCATGAAGAGCACTTGGCGCAGAATGTGGCACGTGTAAGTGCTTCTAGTTGGGGTCATCAGGGAAAAGTTAAAAGGTAGGATTTAAGTTGAGGATGAAAAGACTAGGTGGGCAACATGGCTCAGGGGAGAAATGACCAAGTGCCCTTTTTAGACTTTGGATGGTTTGAAATGGTACTTAGACATATGAAGAAATTGAGGCAAAAATGTAAATTCAGTTTGACTGAAGTAACACTTAGCGTCTGATGTTCTGGGTTTGTCTTGTACCCATGCTTTTAATCAGACACAGCTGCAAGATGTCTTTTTTATTCAGCAGCATAGAGGACATTGTGTTTCAGGTGAAAATGGCTGTAATCACTTGAGTATCTGTGCAGTGGGTGTCCATTATGGGGCAGGCCCAGGGACAGGTGTTGAGGACACGGCAAAGTAGATCCAGTTAGTCTTTAAGGAACTCTTTTAATGAAGGAGATAGGCAAGTACTTTACAGTGATAGAGGTGCAGGTCTTTGAACATATGCATGTCTGTTGTATGCCAAACATAGGCACACTAAGGGTAATTGGTGTACAAAACAAAATTTTGCCCTTGTGGAGTTTACATCCTAATAGGGGTGATAATAAATGATATAGAATGTTCTGGCCAAGTGGGGTGGCTTTCATCGGTAATCCCAGCACTTTTGGAGGCCGAGGTGGGTGGATCACCTGAGGTCAGTGGTTGGAGACCAGCCTGGCCAAGATGGTGAAACCTCGTCTCTACTAAAAATACAAAAAAAAAAAAAATTAGTCTGGTGTGGTGGCAGGCGCCTGTAATCCCAGCTACTCGGGAGGCTGAGGCAGGAGAATTGCTTGAACCTGGAGGCGGAGGTTGCCGTGAGCTGAGATTGTGCCACTGCACTCCAGCCTGGGGGACAGAAGGAGATTCCATCTCGAAAAAAAAATAATAAAATTAAATAAATAATGTAGAGTGTTCAAAGGTAAGTGCTTTGGAAAGTGGAATAGAGTAAGGGGGATTCAGAATTGTTGAGGAAGAGGTTGCAATTTAAAGTGAGGTATACTGGGTGAGTATCCTTGAGAGAGTGATATTTAGGAAAGATTTAAAGGAGAAGTAGCCATGTTAATAACTGGGGTGAAGGCATTTCAATAAGAGGGAATAGTTTCAAGGTGTTGAGGCAGACCTGTGAGTTTTGCCCATTATGGCTAGAATGGAATGAGCAAGAAGGTGTAATAATAAACTGGGTTAGGGTGAGATGGGGTTTAGCTTTTTTTTTTTTTTGGAATGGAGTCTCACTCTGTCCCCCAGGCTGGAGTGCAGTGGTGTGATCTCGGCTCACTGCAACCTCTGCCCCCTGGCTTTAAGCGATTCTCCTGCTTCAGCCTCCTGAATAGCTGGGATTACAGGCGCCTGCCACTGTGCCTGGCTAATTTTTGTGTTTTTGGTAGAGATGGGGTTTCACCTTCTTGGCCACGCTGGTCTTGAACTCCTGACCTCATGATCCACCTGCCTTGGCCTCCCAAAGTGCTGGGATTACAGGTGTGAGCCACTGCTCTCGGCTGAGGTTTAGCTTTTTTACAGTCTTGTAAAGCCATTCTAAGAACTTTGCCAAGAGTTTTGAACAGAAGAGTGACATAGTCTGCTTTCAGTTTCAAAGGATCATTTGAATTGCAAAGGGAACAACAGTGGAAGCCTGGAGACTAGTAAGGAAGCTAGTAATCCAGAAAAGAGATGCTGCCAGTACCAAGATGGTAATATAAGAGTAGTGAGAAATGGATGGATACTGGATATGTTTTGAAGATGGAACTAATATGACATGTGAGAGAGGAACCAAGGATGATTCCAGGGTTTCTGGTCTCAGCGTTAGAAAGTTGCCATCAACAAAGACAGTGATGACTAAAAGGAGCAAATTTGAGGACTAGATTAGGAGGAGTTCAATTTTAGGCATAGTAAGTTTGAGATTGCCTGTTAGATATTGAGTTGATTTGATAACCAAGTCTGAAGTTCAGGGGAAAGGTCTGGAATGGAGATAAATTTTGTTTTCACCAGTTTAGGTATTATTCAAGCCATGAAGCTGGATGAGATTACCAGAGAATCCTTGGTAGAAAGAGAGAAGGGCCAAGGATTGGTCTTTTTATTTTTTTTTTAAGATGGAATCTTACATTTTCCCCAGGCTGGTCTTCAGCCTGGGCTCAAGCCATTCTCCCACCTCAGCCTCCTGAGTAGCTGGAACTATAGATGTGTACCACCACACTTGGCTTGATTGGTTTTTTAAATGCCTGTGTTAAGAGAACTGTTTTAGTGTGCAGTTTGAGGTTTTAACATGGATGACATCTGTGAACTTGGGAAAATTACCTCTTCGGTAACCTCTGACTAGAAGTTAGCATTTCTTTCAATTACTAATATAAATAACAAACTACAGTAGTATTAATTGTGATTTGTGTAGAAATCAGATATTTTAATAATAAAATATGCAGGTGACTCTTGATCAAACATGGGAGTTAGAAGTACCAATCTGCAACACAGTCAAAAATGTGCATATAACTTTTGTCTCCCTCAAAACTTAACTGCTACTAGGATACTGTTGACTTTACTGAGAACATAGTCTACTAACACATACTTTGTTGTATGTTATGTGTATTATATACTGTATTCTTACAAGAAAGTAAGCTAGAGAAAAGAAAATGTTATTAAGAAAATCATAAGGAAGTGAAAATATATTATTCATTAAGTGGAAGTGGATCATCATAAAGGTCTTCATCCTTGTAGTCTTCACACTGAGTAGGCTGAGGAGGAAGAAGAGGAGGGGGTTTTAGTCTTGCTGTCTTGAGTGACAGAGGTGGAGGAGGTAGAACTGGAGGCAGGCACAAGGTGTGTAACTTTTATTGAAAAAAATCTGTGTATAAGTGGACCTGGACAGTTCCAGCCCATGTTGTTCAAAGGCAAACTGTATTGTGGTTTTTATAGAATCTTGAAATATGTTTATCATTATATCAAAATCCACTAGATTGAGAAGCACATACTAAGCAATATGACACATTGGTTTTTTTCCCCTCAATATAATTGTCTTCCTTTGCAATCATATGTATTTTATCTTATGCATTAAAAAATATTAGACTGAGAAGGAATCCACAAGCTTCATTAGATTGCCAAAATGGTATAGGGCACAAAAAAAGTTAAATCCCTGGGCTCTGGAGACAGAACTCCTGGTTTAGAATCTCATCTCTTTTACTTAATTGCTTTGTGAACCTAGGCAAGTTTCTTAATTACTCCTTACCTATAAAGTGGGGATCATGGTAGTATCATCTGCAAAGGGTTTTATGAGAATTTAAGAATTAGGACAGTGTTAGTTTCTTTTTTTTTTCTTTTCTTTTTTTTTTTTGAGATGGAGTTTTGCTCTTGTTGCCCAGGCTGGGGTACAGTGGCGTGATCTGGGCTCACTACAACCTCTGCCCCCTGGGTTTAAGCAGTTCTCTTGCCTCAGCCTCCCGAGTAGCTGGGATTACAGGCATGCGCCACCATGCCTGTCTACTTTTGTATTTTTAGTAGAGATGGGGTTTCTCCATGTTGGTCAGGCTGGTCTCGAACTCCTGACCTCAGGTGATCCACCCACCTGGGCTTCCCAAAGTGCTGGGATTACAGGCATGAGCCACCACGCCCCTGGTCAGTTCTTTTATTGTTAGTATTGAATGGAACAAGTCAGCTAGAAAGAACGGTACTTATGAGGCGCCATGATGTGAAAGTATGGCAAATTTGGTCAAAAGAAAGTTTAACTGGGAAAGAATATTTCAGCATGTTCAAATGAGATACAAAGCAGTCAGGATAGTCAGATTCTATATTAATTTTTTATTTTTAGGGACTTGTTCTGTTGTCCAGGTTAGAGTACAGTGGCAAGATTATAGCTCACTGTAACTGAACTCCTGGGCTCAAGTGATTGTCCCATGTATCTAGGACTGCAAATGTGCACCACCACTCCTGGCTAATTTTTTTGTTTTGAGACAGGGTTTCGCTCTTGCCCAGGCTGGAGTGCAGTGGCGCGATGATGGCTCACTGTAGCCTCAACTTCCCAGGCTCAGGTGATTCTCTCACTTCAGCCTTCTGAGTAGCGGGGACTGTGGGCACATGCCACCATGCCCAACTAATTTTGTTTGTAGAGATGGGGTTTCACCATGTTGCCCAGGCTGGTCTCAAACTCCTAAGCCCAAGTGATCTTCCTGCTTCGGCTTCCCAAAAGTGCTGGGATTATAGTCGTGAGCCACTGCACCTGGCCCTGGCTAATTTTTTATTTTTTATAGAGACAGGGTTTTGGTGTGTTGCCCAGGCTGGTCTCGAACTCCTGTCCTTGGCCTCCCAAAGTGCTGGGATTACAGATGTGAGCCACCGTGCCCAGCAAGTCAAATTCTTATAATTCATGTTAGAATGGAGAAGATAGAGATACCTTAGGAAGCCAACTGAGAGAAAGTATCATGTGGTTACCAGATTTCATATATAATCTGGACCTTTAGTAGCTTTATAGACAGTTGAATCCATTTTTCTGATGAGAGAGAGAGCTTTGTAGTGATGGAGGTATGGTGCTACAGGCCAGGTTACCTTCTTTGGGCTACTGAGATGCACAGGAGGCCAGTATAGTACTTGGAGGGTTTGCTGGTAAGTATGGAAAGCCTGTTGAACTATCCTAGTGCTTAGGCTAGGGTATACCTCTTTAATATTCATGTCCCTCTTTGCCATTTGCTTTTGCTACATTTTAGGCATACCATTCTCCTTTTATTGACACATTATGTCTTTAGAAAAGTATCAAGCAACTGTTGATACAACTGTGTTTTCCTAAGAATTGTCTCTAGTTGCCAAGCCGTATTTTATACATACAAGATTATCTATCAGTCATACTTTCCTAGTTTCCTTAGCAGGACTTTGGTGTTTCCAGATCTTCTCAGTCATTTTTCACTGTAGTGACTCGTTGATTTAATTTATTCACTTAAAAATTTTGTTTAATACATTACAGTTTATTCTGTAATAGATATTTGTAATAAATTTTCTCAACCCTAATATTCATTGTTCCATGAGCATTGTCAGGTTTTGGATGGAAGCAGGATGGCCAGCCTGGGTTTGAGAATCAAAAGTTGACCAGCTTCTCTGTCCATAAATCTATTACGTGGCTCTGCTGGAGCCTCTCTGAACCTATCCTGGTTAAGAGGCTGCTCAATTTGCTAATTGTTCTTTGCTCAGTTTCTTAAAAAAGTTGACTAGCTTCATTTCTGTTAATTCTTCCAAGAGTACCGTAGAGTACTTGATTTTGTAATACACTAAGAACTATTATTGTAAAACCCTGAGAGATAGTTTATATTGGAAACTAAGCCATTTACACCTAAGTCACTGAAATCAGGTTAGAATGTTTTTCTGACAGAAAAAAAAAACAACAAAAACAAAAAAACACTTTTTTATGTGTGTGTGAGACAGGGTCTCACTCTGTCACCCAGGCTGGAGTGCAGTGGCACAATCTTGGCTCACTGCAACCTCTGCCTCTGAGGCTCAAGCGATCCTCCCACCTCAGTGTCCTGAGTAGATAGGACTACAGGTGCACACTACCACACCCGGCTAATTTTTGTATTTTTTGAAGAGATGGGGTTTGCCATGCTGCCCAGGCTGGTTTTCTGACCTCAAGTGATCCACCCACCTCAGTCTCCCAAAGTGCTGGGATTACAGGTGTGAGCCACTGCGCCTGTCAGAAAACACTTTTTATTTTGAAAAAATTTTAAACTTTCAGGAAAGTTGCAAGAATAGCACAGTGAATTCCCATAATGTACTTTTAACCTAGATTAACCAGTAATTGGAATTTTGCCACGTTTGTATTACCTTTCTATATTTTAAAAAAAGTTTTATTTACTTTTGGCAGAACCTTTTGAGAGTAAATTGCAGGCATCATGATCTTTCTTTCCTAAATATCTGATAGTGTTACCTAAGAACAAGTATTGTCTTAGATAATCAATATACAGTAATCAAATTCAGACATTTTAACATTTGTAACCCTACTATTACCTGATATGTAATTTATACATTTTGCCAGTTGTCCCAAAGATGTCTTTTTTTTTCAATCTAGTATTACACATTGCATTTAATTGTCATGTCTCTTAGTCTTTTTCAATCTCTGAGGATAACTTTAAATTTGTTTTGGAAGTACTTTATTACTATGTACTAACCATGAATGTGATATTTTAAAAACAATAACAGGGTCTGATAGTATGTTTAAGATTTTTTTTTTTTTGAGATGGAGTCTTGCTCTGTCGCCCAGGCTGGAGTGCGGTGGTGCGATCTCGGCTCACTGCAAGCTCCGCCTCCTGGGCTCACGCCATTCTCCTGCCTCAGCCTCCGGAGTAGCTGGGACTACAGGCGCCCGCCACCACGCCCAGCTAATTTTTTGTATTTTTTTAGTAGAGATGGGTTTCACCATGTTAGCCAGGATGGTCTCGATCTCCTGACCTTGTGATCCGTCCGTCTCAGCCTCCCAAAGTGTTGGGATTACAGGCCTGAGCCACCGCGCCCGGCCAATGTTTTGTTTTTTTAATTACCACAACAATAAATGCTTATTGCAAAAGGGTCAGACAATACAAATGTTTATAGAAGAAAAAGTAAAAATCCTCCCTGAGTATCTCTTCTCTGCTCCACCTCTCCAAATACCATATCCAAGAACTTAATGTATTTTTCGAGATCTTTTCCTTTTTTTGGTTTTTATTTTTTTACACAAATGGAGTCATATTACTGTATGTATTTTTCTGCCTTTTTCCTACATTCTGTATTTGTTTCCATTTACATATAAGATATGCTTATCTTTCTTTCTTTCTTTCTTTTTGATATGGAGTCTCGCTCTCTTGCCCAGGCTGGAGTGCAGTGGCACAATCTCGGCTCACTGCAACCTTTGCCTCCTGGATTCAAGCGATTCTCCTGCCTCAGCCTCCCAAGTAGCTGGGACTACAGGCGCGCACCACCACGCCCAGCTAATTTTTATATTTTTAGTAGAGACGGGGTTTCACCATGTTGGCCAGGATGGTCTCCATTTTTTGACCTCATGATCCGCCCTCCTTGGCCTCCCAAAGTGCTGGGATAACAGGTGTGAGCCATCGCGCCTGGCCAAGACGTGCTTATTTTTTTAAATAGTTGAACAATATTCTGTAGTATGGATGTACCATGTTAAGTTGTTTGATTTTCTTAAGATGTCTGGTTAGTATATTAGGCAGTTTAAAAGAGCCTTAGGGCATATTGTGCTACGTGGAAGGTGTCTCTTTCCAAATGTATTTCTCCACAGAGTGAGTTTTTCTGGTTATGATGGTGTTTGGGGGATTTTGTTTAGAGTTTTTTAAAAAATCTGTACTTATTTCTATTTGTATATGGTACTGATGGATTAAGCAGATAATTTTTATTCCTGCCTTACTTTGATTAGTTACTTGTTTCTTTTAAAAAGGAAACTGAAGGCATTTAAGTGGGATCTCTTTTTTTTTTTTTCTTTTTTGGATCAGGGCCTCCCTTGTCACCTAGGCTGGAGTGCAGTGGTATGATCCCAGTTCACTGTAGCCTCGAACTCTTGGGCTCAAGCAATCCTCCTGCCTCAGCCTCCCAAGTAGCTGGGACAACAGGCATGCGCCACCACACCTAGCTAATTTTTAAATTTTTTTTGTAGAGATAGGAGTCTTACTATGTTGCCCAAGCTGGTCTCAAACTCCTGGCTTCAAGGAATCCTCCCACCTCGGCCTCCCAAAGCACTGGAATTACAGTGCTGGGCACCCCTGTGCCTGGCCTTAAGTGGGGAGTCTCTTGAAAATGGTTGGTTTGAGGCTGGCCAACAGAGCTAAGACAAAATTTGATAGGTTTGTTGTTGTCATTTTTCCATAGTTGGACTTATACAGTATTTGGAAGTCTCTCATTCAAATGAAAGGCAATTACCTTGTATAATTTTTGGTTAATTACCTTGTATAATTTTTGGTTAATAAAAATTGTGTAATAAAATGTTGTATTTGAGTCTCTTAGCTTTGGAATTTGTGTAAATTTACTTTGTTTAATTTGGTAGTCTTTGCTTTTTAATTTTTTAATTTTAAAAATTAGATAATCACTTCACTGGGTCTCACCTCACTGCCCAGGCTGGTCTTGAACTCTTGGTCTCAAGTGATCCTCCTGCCTCAGCTTTCCAAAGTGCTGGGATTACAGGCGTGAGCCACCATGCCTGTTTTTTGTGTTTTTGGTCAAGCTAATGGTTACTTCAGTCTTTTTTCCAGCTGAGCAAACATATTGTCATTTCAATGGAGGTTTAAGATAGGTCTGAATTCCCATAGTTGCTTTTTATTTTAGAATGCTTTTTCTGTCAAATGCTAACATCTTGCAAGTGAAAATATCCTTGGGATGATGTGGGTGTTGATAAGACTGCAATTGTGCTGGCAGGCTTCTGGGAGGTCTGCTTACTGGGAGCACTGCTCTGGGCTTGCAAGAACCTAGAGCAAGTGGTGGTTTCCAATTGTAGTTCTTCCTGTGGCCCACTTCCCTGCCAAGTGTGGTTGGACCCTCTCTTTGGGGAGGACTATTATCGTAATCAACACTATTTGCTTCATGGTTAGCTCTTTGTGAATCCGTGGTCTAACTTGTGTTTTGAGGCTTTTGTCTGATATTTGGCCTCATGATGAATAGTTATTAATTACATACTCTATTTGAAGAAGCAGAAGATGCTAGGTTTAAAGTTTAAATTTTTTATGAGTTTTGTGTGAATGTAAAGTGGAGCAAATACTGTTTTTCACAAATTATATTAAATGACTGTAAAAACTCTTTCTATAGAAATCCATTTATTCTGGCCTTGAGCACACACAGACCTGGTTGAAAATACATCTGGTTAAAAATTGCCTGGTTAAAAATACGACTCTTCCATTAATTTATCAATACTTGATTGGAGTATCAACTCTAAAACATAAGCTACACATTTTATGGTACTGGTTCTGTGCTGAAAATGTAGTTAAGAATTATCTGTAGTAAAGGCAAATTTCTTTGAGGTACAATACAACATTTTAGAAATTGGTGAAAATCTCTTCAAGTTTGCCTCAAGGTAACCATAATAGGTATATTTTCAAGCTTAAGCTTACCATGTCTATTGAGGAACAAAAACAAAACAACTTTTGTTGTACAATTATTCAGGAAACCAGTTGTCACAATTATGAAAAGTATAGTATACTTTTTGGCAGATTAGCAGTTTGTGTAAGGAAGTAGTGTTACTAGCTGATATGAACACCTTGAACACATTCAAACCGTAGTGATTGAATATAAAAAGACTGTTCCCCCAATTATAGTATTGCTCATATGAATTAGGGAGATGATGAGATTTGCAAGAAGTATTTGGTGCTCTTCCTTCTTTGACTACCTATTTTCTTTCCAAACTTTTTTTTTTTTTTTTTTTTGAGACAAGAGTCTTGGTCTCTCTCCCAGGCTGGAGTGCAGTGGTGCGATCTTGGCTCTCTGCAACCTCCGCTTCCCGGGTTCAAGTAATTCTCCTGCCTCAGCCTCCCAAGTAGGTGGGATTACAGGCGCGTACCACCACGCCCGGCTAATTTTTGTGTTTTAGCAGAGATGGAGTTTCACTATGTTGGCTAGGCTGGTCTCGAACTCCCGATCTCAGGTGATCCACCCGCCTTGGCCTCCCCACATGCTGGGATTATAGACATGAGCCACTGTACGCGGCATGCTCTTAGAGAAGATCATGATGGTGTCAGGATATGAAACTGGGAGCAGGAGTTAGAATCTGTGATAGGACTTTTTTTCCAGTTGTGCGTATGTGTGCTGCACAATTTTTTTGTTAGCTGTGTGCTTTTTTGAAATGTACCGATTGCTTAAGCTTTTTTATTTTCATCGATGCTATTTTTTCATATAAGTTTTTAAAAGATATGTTTTTATATATGTATTTTTATAATTCTGTAATTTTTAAGATGTTTTGGTTGATTATTAATACGAAGTTTCAAGAAAGGCTAACATTTCATTGAAGCCTGGCTATCTTAGCATTCATCTATTCTCATTAGACCTGTTTGGTTTTGTTGCTAGGACCTAAGGGATTTTGTAGATCTATGTATCAGAAAATTCAAGACCCATGATGAATATATTATAGAATATGTTCTTCTCTTTTAATGGAGGAATCCTAGTAACTAGTAGTTGGGTACATGGTAGTACATGCTTAGTAAATGTTTGAATTGACCTGATTCTTTGTAACGATCATTATTCTAATTTGATTACCAGCAGCATTGTTAATAATTGCTGACCTCTATTATAATACATGCTTTTCTTTTTTCTTTTTCTTTCTTTTTTTTTTTTTTTAAAGATAGGGTCTTTCTCTGTCACTCAGG
Source organism: Homo sapiens (assembly GCF_000001405.40). Taxonomy (NCBI): domain Eukaryota; kingdom Metazoa; phylum Chordata; class Mammalia; order Primates; family Hominidae; genus Homo; species Homo sapiens. Next base: position 47,150,891 of record NC_000003.12, on the reverse strand, counting down.
CTGAAATGTAGTGGCACGATCACGGCTCACTGCAGCCTCAACCTCCCAGGCTCAAGAAATCCTCCCACTACGCCTAATTTTATTTATTTATTTTTTGTAGCGACAGGGTCTCGAACTCCTGGACTCAGGCAGTCTCCCTACCTCAGCTTCCCAAAGTGCTGGGATTACAGGCGTGAGACACCGTGCCCAGCCTATTACCAGACATTCTTAAATAACTATAAGATTAGGACAGAGGTCAGGGAATTGAGTGGTATGTGTTGGGCTAATGGCAGTGACTTGGTGCTCATAGCACTTTTTATGCTTCTTCTGTTGGTATGCTAGACCACTTTTTTCTCCCAGCCTTTTCAGTTGTTTTGTACTTGTGTATTTTCCAGGATGGGTAATCCTTAAACTAAGGGTAAGCTGCACTTTACCCTTGTTCTGTTGACTTTCTATCCAAATTTCTCAGATCAGTAATCTCATTTATCTCTTTATAAATATTATGGGCAAAATATTACGGGCAAAAAGGAAGTGAGGAACCTCAGATGCAGTGGTAAATCAAACGATATTTTTGAGGCCGCGCACGGTGGCTCATTCTTGTAATCCCAGCACTTTGGGAGGCCGAGGCGGGCGAATCACAAGGTCAGGAGATCGAGACCATCCTGGCCAACGTGGTGAAACCCCATCTCTACTAAAATACAAAAGATAAATTAAAATTAGCCGGGCGTGGTGGCAGGTGCCTGGAGTCCCAGCTACTCAGGAGGCTGAGGCAGGGGAATTGCTTGAACCCAGGAGGCAGAGGTTGTAGTGAGCCGAGATTGCGCCACTGCACTCCAGCCTGGCAACAGAGCGAGACTCTGTCTCAAAAAAAAAAAAAAAAAAAAGTATTTTTGGATATGCCAAAAGACACTGAAAAATGATAGAAAATTTAGTACTCCAAAAATAGAGGCTTTTGTTCTTCTCTAGGGTAGCTGATACTTTTTATACCTAGCATACAAAAAAATTCAGTTTTCTAAAGTCTGTCAGTTTCTAACTGTATGAGGCAATTAAAAACGTTATATTTAAACTCTTTTCATTATATCGAGCCTTTTAACCTAATGTTTAGAACAACTAGCTGAGATTGAACTCTTGAACTCTTGACAATTTATTCAGCTAACATTTGTTGAATGCCAGACCTGTGCTAAGGATACAGAAGTAAGCACAATGTGCTATGGCAGGGATATCTGACTTCTACTGGGATGGGGATCAGGTGGGCAATCAGGGAGGGCAGCCCAGAAGAATACCTGAACTTAGCCTTGAAGAGTAGGACTTAGGCAAAAATGGAGTAGGCAGATGGTAGAGGATGTTGTAGGGCTACATTATGGGGGAGGATACAGAGAGAGGATGAACCCTATGCCCATTTCCCCTTCAGTTTTTAACCAAGTGTAAATTGCTGAGTGCTATAAGAGGTGTCTAGTGTAGGGAGTCCTTCTACTATATCTAATAATTCCTCATTTCTGTGGCTCCCAACTTTTTTTTTTTCCCCTTTAGCTTGCTCATTGTGACTTGCCATGAGTGTGATTTTAAAAGGGCAAGGGGAGCTAGTGCCTCTAATTTTATAAAGGGAAGAAAAGGAAGTCCAAAGACATACAGGTTGTGCTCACTAGCTAGTTTAGTGGCATATCAGAACTTGGGTAATATTCATTTACCAGTTTGTCCAAAACTGACTTTTTAATGATGTTAAGGAATAACATTTAGAATAGCTGCCATTCATAAACAACTGGATTTCTGTATTGAGTTACTTGTTTTCCTAAAGGTCTTCAGAATTGACCTTGATGTACTTATAATTGTTCAATTTGGAGGGTGCAGGTGATTCTGTATTTGAATTGGTTCTTTCCTCTGACTTTGCAAATGTATATGCTGGAGGATTATGGGTATGAATATCATTCAGCAAAAGGTAAACTGGATATGGGGATCATTCAGATCTGCCCGTTTTTCTGTCCAGGTGCCTTAAGTAGTCTGAAATCTTTACTGGAAATGAGCTTAATCCCGTATGAAACTCAAGCCTTCATTCACCATTATTCCATGTAGTGATCCTCCCGCCTCAGCCTCCCAAAGTGCTGGGATTACAGGCGTGAGCCACCGTGCCTGGCCTATGGCCACTTTTAAAAAAGAAACTTGTATGTAAGTCGATTGGATGTCTATAAAGTTTTTCCTACTGGAAAATGGGGTTTTTATTATTCTAACCTCAGTTCTAAGTCAAACATCATTAATTTAAGACCCTAATTAATGATTGTCTGATTCAGAAATGTGCATTTATTTGAAGTTCATTTAAAAACCAGTGCTCATTTTAGAATAGTATAGAGGTAGAAAGAAGGTATAAAAAATTGGAGAATACTTGAACACAGATTGTACTTTGAAATTTCCCTGTTTTTGTATTTTTTGTCTTCATTAAAAGAAAGTTTGAGGGGAGTAACATTGTTCTGTTTCAATAAAGTTTCAGGGCCAGGCACAGTGGCTCATGTCTGTAATCCGAGCACTTTGGGAGGCTGAGGTGGGCGGATCCCCTGAGGTCAGGAGTTTGGGACCAGCCTGGGCAACATGGCAAAACCCTGTCTCTACTAAAAATACAAAAATTAGCCCGGCGTGGCAGTGGGTGCCTGTAATCCCAACTACTTGGGAGGCTGAGGCAGGAGAATTGTTTGAACCCAGGAGGCAGAGGTTGCAGTGAGCTGAGATCGCGCCACTGCAATCCAGCCTGGGTGACAGAACGAGACGCTTTATCAAAAACAACAACAACAACAACAACAACAACAACAACAAAACACAACCAAAAAAACAAGTTTCAGTTGGTTATGTTATAGTTGAAGCCTAGGTTTACTAAAATATATTTTTAGCCCACCAATGAGTATAATACTTTAATTTTGTAAGAGGGTTCTAAGCATACCTTTATGAACAAGAGTGCAGAAAGTATAGGAGCTGAAAGAAAATATCTTTTTTTTTTTTTTTTTTTTTTGAGACAGAGTCTTGCTCTGTCGCCCAGGCTGGCGTGCAGTGGTGTTTGCTCACTGCAAGCTCCGCCTCCCGGGTTCATGCCATTCTCCTGCTTCAGCCTCCCAAGTAGCTGGGACTACAGGCGCCCACCACCTTGCCCGGCTAATTTTTTTTGTATTTTTAGTAGAGACAGGGTTTCACTGTGTTAGCCAGGATGGTCTCGATCTCCTGACCGTAATCTGCCCGCCTTGGCCTCCCAAAGTGCTGGGATTACAGGAGTGAGCCACCGCGCCCGGCCTAGAAACTATCTTAAAAAATGACATGCTGGCTGGGCACAGTGGCTCACACCTGTAATCCCAGCACTTTGGGAGGCTGAGGCAGGTGGATCACCTGACATCAGGAGTTCCAGACCAGCCTGGTGAAACCCTGTCTCTACTAAAAATACAACAATTAGCTGGGCGTGGTGGTGCATGCCTGTAGTCCCAGCTAGTCGGGCGGCTGAGGCAGGAGAATCGTTCGAACCGAGGAGGCAGAGGTTGTAGTGAGCCAAGATCACGTCACTGCACTCCATCCTGGGCGACAGGGTGAGACTATGTCTCAAAAAAAAAAAAAAAAATGACATGCAGTGGCTAGGCTTGGTGGCTCACGCCTGTAATCCCAGCACTTTGGGAGGCTGAGGAGGGCAGATCACCTGAGGTCAGGAATTCGAGACCAGCCTGGCCAACATGGTGAAACCCTGTCTCTACTAAAAATACAAAAAAAATTAGCGGGTGTGGTGGCGAGTTCCTGTAATCCCAGCTACTTGGGAGGCTGAGGCAGGAGAATTGCTTGAACCTGGGAGGCAGAGGTTGCAGTGAGCTGAGATTGCACCACTGCACTTCAGCCTGGGCAACAGAGTGAGACCCTGTCTCAAACAAACAAAAACAAATATGTTACAGCTCTCATTTATTGAGTATAAACTCTCTGCCAGGCACTATATGAAGGAATTTTTTTTTTTTTTTGAAGACAGGGTCTCACTCTGTCACCTAGAGTGGACTAGTAATGCAAACCTGGCTCACTGCAGTTTTGACTTCCTGGACTCTCAAGTGATTCTCCTGTCTCAGCCTCCCAAGCAGCTGGGACCACAGGCAAACGCCAGTATACCTGGATAATTCTAAAATTTTTTTGTAGAGGCAAGATCTCTCCATGTTGCCCGGGCTGGTTTTGAACTCCTGGCTTCAAGCAGTCATCTCGCCTTGGCCTCTTAGAATGCTGGGATTACAGGCATGTGCCATCATGCCTGGCCTATATGAAGGAATTTTTTTTTTTTTTTTTAGACGGAGTCTCACTGTGTCGCCCAGGTTGGAGAGTAGTGGCATGACCTCGGCTTACTGCAACCTCTGCCTCTGGATTCAAGCGATTCTCCTGCCTCAGCCTCCCGAGTAGCTGGTATTAGAGGCGACTACCACTATGACTGGTTAATTTTTGTATTTTTAGTAGAGACGGGGTTTCGCTATGTTGGCCAGGCTGGTCTTGAACTCCTGACCTCAGGTGATCCGCCTGCCTCGGCCTCCCAAAGTGTGGGAATTACAGGCGTGAGCCACCACACCCGGCTATATGAAGGATTTTAAATAGACACTCGTTCTCTTTTTAAAGTAAATATAGTACTATTTCAGTTTTATAGCTAGCTTCTTTGGCCTCCATTTCTTTTAGTAACTTAGGTTAAAAAACTTTGGAGTCAGTATTCAAATTCAGGTTGACTGAATATAAGAGCTTTTGCTCCTAATATATTGTACTGTGGGTGGTACCTCTCCAGCTGACATTTTGAGAGTACAAGATGGGAGATAAGAGCAAGTGGGATATGCTTTCTGGACAGAGGCACTAGAAAGACCATAGCAGACAATTTAGGCTGTATAGCTTTTTTTTTTTTTTTTTTTTTTTTTTTGAGACAGGGTCTCGCTCTGTCACCCAGGCTGAAGTGCAGTGGCACCATCATAGCTCACTGTAGCCTTAGACTCCTGGGCTCAACTGATCCTCCTGCCTCAGCCTCTTGAGTATCTGGGACTATAGATGTAAGCCACTATACCCAGCTAATTTTTTATTTTTTGTAGAGACAGAGCCTCGCTATGTTGTCCAGGCCAGTCTCAAATTCCTGGCCTTAAGCACTCCTCCTGTTGGGGGCCTCCCAAAGTGCTGAGACTACAGGCATGAGCCACCACACCTGTTCAGCTGCATAGTTCCTTTTAGGTTATATAGTTCTTAAACTGTATACAGGCCTCAGCTGAATCCAAAAATGTGAAATCTGAAATGCTCCAAAAGTTAAAACTTTTTTAATGCTGACATGATGCCACAGTGGGAAATTTTACACATGACCTGATGTGAGGGGCTGCAGTCAAAACACAGCCAAGCTGGGCATGGTGGCATGCACCTGTAGTCCCTTCAGGAGCCTGAGGTAGGAGGATCATTTGAGTCCAGGAGTTCAAGGCTGCAGCAAGCTGGGATTGTACTACTGTACTTGCTCCAGCCTGGGCAACAAAGCAAGACCCCGTCTCTTAAAAACAAAAACAAAACACAGGCATACAACACAGTTTATTCCATGTCCCAAAATTATTAAAAAATATTGTATAAAATTACCTTCAGGCCATGTGTATAAGGGGTATATGAAACATAAACAAATTTGGTGTGTAGACTTGGGTCCAAGATATCTGGCCCCAAGATATCTCGTGTATATGCAGATATTCCAGAATCTGAAAAAGTTGGACATACTTACTGTCCCAAGTGTTTTCAGTAAGCGTTACTCAACCTGCAGTTTTTTTCATCATTCTAGTTATGTTTACACATTGTCAGTTTTGATTTTTCAGTGTTCTCACCTCTGTAGATGTAGGCATGAAAACCAGCTGCGTACTTTAACTTTTGGATATAATATTGTCTACTATTTAATTCCAAGCCATATTCTGTTATTTTTAAAATATTTATTTATTGTTTGTTTGTTTGATTGATTGATTGTTTTTGAGACAGAGTCTCACTTGTCGCCCAGGCTGGAGTGCAGTGGTGTGATCTCAGCTCACTGCAGCCTCAGCTTCCCGGGTTCAAGCGATTCTCGTACCTCAGCCTCCCGAGTAGCTGGGATTACGGGTGTGTGCCCATCTAATTTTTGTATTTTTTGTAGACATGGGGTTTTAACCACGTTGGCATGAACTACTGGCCTCAAGTGATCCACCCGCCTCGACCTCCCAAAGTGCTGGGATTACAGGTGTGGGCCACCGTGCCTGGCCTTATTTCTTTTTCTGGACTTACTTATTTTTTATTTTTATATTTTGAGACGGAGTCTCGCTCTGTCACCAGGCTGGAGTGCAGTGGTGCGAACTCGGCTCAGTGCAACCTCTGACTCCCTGGTTCAAGCGATTCTCCTGCCTCAGTTTCCCAAGTGGCTGAGACTGGGACTATAGGCATGCACCACCACGCCTAGCTAATTTTTGTATTTTTAGCAGAGACGGGGTTTCACCATGTTGGCCAGGATGGTCTCGCTCTCTTGACCTCGTGATTCGCCTGCCTCGGTCTCCCAAAGTGCTGGGATTACAGGCATGAGCCACTGCACCCGGCTGGACTTATTTATTTTTATAATTTTTTTTAGAGACAGGGTCTCACAGTGCTGCCCAGGCTGGTCTTGAACTCCTGGGCTCAAGTGATCCTCCTGCCTTGGCCTCCCAAAATGTTGGGATTACAGGTGTGAGTCACTGCACCTGGCTTCTGATATTTTGCCCTGTGTTGTTTCTGTGAGGTATACATTTACTTTGTCAGCTTGGAGTAGTTCTTTGTCATAGAGCATAAGATTTGGCCTCCTCAAGTGAGCTGTTTATAGCACTTAAGTTTTGTCTCTGATTAAGTGGCTAGAAACTTGACAGCTAGAGCTGTGGGACAACTGCATTTTCTTAAGTTCTGGTGTAATGTGGCCGGGCGCAGTGGCTCATGCCTGTAATCCCGGCACTTTGGGAGGCCGAGGCGGGCAGATCACGAGGTCAGGAGATCGGGACCATCCTGGCTAACACGGTGAAACCCCGTCTCTACTAAAAGTACAAAAAATTAGCCGGGTGTGGTGGTGGGTGTCTGTAGTCCCAGCTACTCGGGAGGCTGAGGCAGGAGAATGGCATGAACCCGGGAGGTGGAGGTTGCAGTGAGCCGAGATCGCGCCACTGCACTCCAGCCTGGGCGACAGCGAGACTCCGTCTCAAAATAAAAAAAAAAAGTTCTGGTATAATGTAACTTGACATTTGAGATATAAAACCAATGGGATAAAGTTCTGATAAAAGTTTGTTTTATAGATCAACTAGCTTTATTATATGAATATGCAGTTATATACTGTTAGTATTTAATAATGAGCAACTTACAGAAATTAAAAAGATCAGTAGACTAGATAGCAATTCTAATCTGCAAAATGATGTTCAAAAATACTCTTATTTTTCTGTTTACCTTAAGAGCACAAAAGATATTTTTTGCAGGAAATGAAAATTTAGCACTGTAGTGCCTTATCCTAAAAGATTACAGATAGGTGGAAAGTGGATTTAAATATTTGGAATATTAGTGTTTCTCTCCTTGAACACAGCAGAATTTTATGTCTACTTTTGTTAAGGTTTTTTCCCCAATAAAGTTTTTTTGTTTTGTTTTTTGAGACGGGGTCTTGCTCTGTTGCTCACGGTGGAATGCAGTGGTGAGATCGTAGCTCACTGCATCCTTGACGTCCTGGGCTCAAGCAGTGGTCCTGCCTCATCCTGCTGAGTACCTGGGACTACAGGCATGCATCACCAACGCCTGGCTAATTTTTAAATTTTTTGTAGAAATGGGCTCTCACTATGTTGCCCAGACTAGTCTTGAGCTCCTTGGGCTCAAGTGATCCTCCAGCATCAGCCTCCCAAAGTGCTGGGATTACAGGTGTGACCCACCATGCCCAGCCCCAACTTTCATTTTTCCATTTTGAAAATAAGAAGCCAATGAGCCAGGCGCAGTGGCTCACGCCTGTAATCCCAGCACTTTGGGAGGCTGAGGTGGGGCAGATCACCTGAGGTCAGGAGTTCAAGACCAGCCTGGCCAACATGGTGAAACCCCATCTCTGCTAAAAATACAAAAAATCAGTTGGGCGTGGTGGCAGGCTCCTGTAATCCCAGCTACTCAGAAGGCTGAGGCAGGAGAATTGCTTGAACCTGGGAGGCGGAGGTTGCAGTGAGCGAGATTGCGCCATTGCACTCCAGCCTGGCCGACAAGGGCAAAACTCCATCTCAAAAAAAAAAAAAAAGACAATGTATATATGGTATTCCCCTTCCCCACCTCCCCCCACCACGAAGTAGCATACTAAATTTACTGTTTTGTTTCTTGCTTTTTTTCCTTAACAGTACATTCCGGAGCAGTATACAGAGATCTTCATTATGACCTTTTATTTTAATTAAATTAATTAATTAACTTAGATTCTTGCTCTGTCACCCAGGCTGGAGTGCAGTGGCACCATGTCATCTCACTGCACCCTTGGCCTCTGGGGCTCAAGCAGTCTTCTCACCTCAGCCTCCTGAGTAGCTGGGACTACAGGCGCACACCATCACACCTGGCTAATTTTGCTTATTTTTTGTAGAGGCGAGGTCTCACTATGTTGCTCAGGATGGTCTCGAACTCCTAGCCTCAAACAACCCTACTGCCTCAGCCTCCCAAAGTGCTGGGATTACAGATGGGGGAGCTACCACGTCCAGCCCATTATTATGATCTTTTAGATCAAAGTTCGTAATTAGAACTTTTTGAAGCTGCATACTACCACATTGAACGGATGTACCAGGGTTATTCAGTCACTGTTACAACCTTTTACTAGCACACAGATAGCCTTTTGCAGTTTATTTTAACCTTTTTCTGTATGAAATGATGGATAGTGGTGCATTCAGTGCATTGTAATTCACAATCATCCTATATTATCATTTGGCTTTGCCTTGTAAGAATATGTGTTTCAAGTGTTTTTTTTAAGGTATGGATAGCTTTTACCCTACTTGTAGTTGTGTTAGTTGACTTGAAACCTTTTCCTTCTATACCTCAGACATTAATTACAATGAAAAAAAAATGCTTAAACTCTTTACCAAAACCAGAAAATAAACAATGGCTATTTTTATTGCATTTAAGCTTTTGTTCCGTAAGAGTACTGAATTGTTTTTTAATGTGTTTTGATTTTGGTCGGGTGGTAACTTATGCTAGAAACTTTTTGAATTGTTGTACTTGGTATGTTTCTAAAATAGAAAGCAGCCCACACATTTTTTTATTTTTTCTTTATAACAAAAGAAAACTTACTTGTGAAACATGAAATAATAAAATTATTTTCAGAAGCATTTTTAGTATTAAGATGAAAGTAAGCAGTTATTTATGATGGAAAGAGATCTGAAATATGTATAAAAAGAGAGACCTTGTCTTTCTCATGTCTTTCCATTTAATCACATCACAGGTTTTATTTCTGTGTTTTTATTTAGAAGGTGGGTTTTTCAGAGCTAATTTGCATGAAAGGCTGTAACTTGAAAGAGCTGTTTTTGTATTCTCATTTAATGTGGTTAAGCAAGAGTAGGACAGGAAGGCTGACATAAGTACTTAGTCTGGTACAATACAAGATAGGTACAGTTTAAACATTAACCAACTGGGTGCAGTGGCTCATGCTTGTAATCCCAGCACTTTGGGAGGCTGAGGCAGGCAGATCGCTTGAGCCCAGGAGTTTGAGACCAGCCTGGGCAACATGGTGAAACCCCATCCCTACTAAAAATTCAAAAATTAGCCAGGCATGGTGGTGTGTGCCTATAATCCTAGCTACTTGGGAGGCTGAGGTGGGAGGATCACTAGAATGGGGCGGGGGTGGGTGGTGTGAGGTTGCAGTGAACCAAGATCATGACACTGCACTCCAGCCTGGGTGAGGGCAGTGAGATCCTGTCTCACAAAAAAACAATATTAACCAAGCGAGCTTAGAGTCTACAGTCTAATTATAATAGTCTAATTATAACAAGCCATCTCCCTCAGAAACCTATCTCATGTCTTTCTTCGTATTCGATACTTAGAATTTTTAATTTTAATTTTAATTTTTTATTTGAGACAGAGTCTCGCTGTGTCACCCAGGCTGGAGTGCAATGGCGCAATCTCAGCTCACTGCAACCTCCACCCCACTGGGATTCAAGTAATTCTTGTGCCTTAGCCTCCCGAGTAGCTGGGATTACAGATGACTGCCACCATGCCTGGCTAATTTTTGTATTTTTAGTAGAGACAGGATTTCACCATGTTGGCCAGGCTGATCTTGAACTCCTGACCTCAAGTGATCCACCCGCCTTGGCCTCCCAAAGTGCTGAGATTACAGGCGTGAGCCACTGCACCTGGCCAGTCAACTCTTTCTGTGTGATTCACTGGCTTGTACTAAAGATGAATTTCAGCATTTATGCATATTTATCTTTTGAGGCTTATTTGGTATTGGAGGTTTTCCTCTCTCACTTTTTGCTAATGAGGAAAACAAATGGATAATTGAAAAGATTAACTCAGAGTAATGAGTAAAATTACTGGAATTCAATTGAATACAATAGTCTTCAACACTGGGCTCTAAAATGTTCAGGTTAGGTCACCCAACGTTCCAACTTATGGGTTTTGGAAAAAGCAGATGGCTTTAACAGGTGAATATCATTCACTTTAGGTAGGTATTCTTGTGTATCTATTTGGCAGACAAGTAGAGAAACATTTCAGGCATAAATACAGTTGTTAACATTTGGGATTATAGTCTTAACCTTTCCTCACTGATTAGAATTCCGTAGTGACACATTTGAGATTAGCTTTTTAACAAAGTCACTTCTTGTTAGAAGTGACTTTTTTAAAGAAAATAAGTTAGCTTTACTCACTTGTGTAGTAATTCCACATTAAAATAAAGTTTCAGCTATTTTTGGGGTGTAAGAATAGTTGGTGAGTATGATCAAGTTATTTTTTTCTAGATTTAGTCGGTATATATTGATCAATAGGATTCTTTGTATGTTTGAGATACTATACCAGTTGAAGATGTGGACTTAAACAAGTGAGAAGGAGTGCTTGTATATCAAGTCTACTCATGCTAGTTCAGGTTAGCATACTTACTCCAAAGTGCTTTACCTGAAATTTCAATGTCTTTGATAAAGCAGTGTATCACTCATAGCTTTATTGACCACATAAATAACGTATATTTTTCATCAGTGTTTTTTTTTAATTCACTTGTCTTCACGTGTCCTTGTTCTTAGATGAGAATGCGGCAAATTTCATAAATTTTATGGCCTATATATCTTGCTTTTTCTACATGTCAGTTTTGAGATGTTTCCCTCTTTTCCTTTAAGAATTGCTTGAAGTGAGGAAGCTAAAAACTAGTACTGTTGTTAAGGAGTTTCTTTGATTCAAAAAGTAACGAGAATGTATGATAGGAACGGGAATGTTAGGCCCAGGGGAGATTATATAATAAGGACAAGATGTTGCCTTTGTCTCTTTGAAATTTAAACTCTATATGGGGAGACAAGAACAATAAATGCAAGTCAAGGCTGTATGTGATTGTCAGATTGTAAAGTATATGCTGTAGGAGTTGAATTTAGTAGTAGTATCTGGAAAGGTAAGAAAAGGATAGGAAAAGGCATAATAGTGCTGAGTACCTACTAGACATTCAGATAATTGTCAAAGGAAGGAAAGGCTTTAGTGGTCCCTGAGTGGATTAAGGTAGATATGGGGGTGATGTGGTATGTGTGTAGTGTGGAGGCTGAGAGGGAGGAAGGTGATGAAACGAGCAATACAAAAAATAATTTGAGAGCTTGGGCAAGATAAGTGAGCCCGTCTCTATAAAAAGTTAAAGAAAATTAGCCAGCTGAGGAGACTTGGGAGGGAGGATTGCTTGAACCCAGGAGTTCGAGGCTGCAATGAGCTATGATCGTGCCATAGCACTCCAGCCTAGACTCTGGGTGACAGTGGGTAACAGAGCAAGACCCTGTCAAAAAAAAGAAAAGAAAGAAAGACGTTGAACAAGACTGATCTAGATTTGAACTTAAAAGAGACCACCATAGCTATTGAGATTCCTTCTGGGGAGTAGTGTAAAAGCAGCTTAACTAGGTAGGAAAATGATAATCCCAGCACTTTGGGAGGCTGAGGTGGGCAGATCACTTGAGACCAGGAATTTGAGACCAGCCTGGCCAACATGGTGAAACCCCGTCTCTACTAAAAATACAAAAATTAGCCAGGCTTGACTGGGCGCGGTGGCTCACGCCTGTAATCCTAGCACTTTGGGAGGCCAAGGTGGGTGAATCACCAGAGTTTGGGAGTTCAAGACCAGCCTGACCAACATGGAGAAACCTCATCTCTACTAAAAATACAAAATTAGCCAGGCTTGATGGTACATGCCTGTAATCCCAGCTAGTTGGGAGGCTGAGGCAGGAGAATCACTTGAACCTGGGAGGTGGAGGTTGTGGTGAGCCGAGATCATGCCATTGCACTTCAGCCTGGGCAACAAGAGTGAAATTTCATCTCAAAATATAATAATAATAATAACACCTGTAATCCCAGCTATACATGGGAGGCTGAGGCAGGAGATTCGCTTGAACCCAGGAGGTGGAGGTTGCAGTGAGCTGAGATCGCGCCACTGTACTCCAGCCTGGGCGACAGAGTGAGACTTGGTTTCAAAAAAAAAGAAAGTGGGCCGGGCGCGGTGGCTCACGCCTGTAATCCCAGCACTTTGGGAGGCTGAGGCGGGCGGATCACGAGGTCAGGAGATCGAGACCATCCTGGCTGACACGGTGAAACCCCGTCTCTACTGAAAATACAAAAAAATTAGCCAGGCGTGGCGGCGGGCGCCTGTAGTCCCAGCTACTCGGGAGGCTGAGGCAGGAGAATGGCGTGAACCCGGGAGGCGGAGCTTGCAGTGAGCCGAGATCGCGCCACTGCACTCCAGCCTGGGCGACAGAGCGAGACTCCGTCTCAAAAAAAAAAGAAAGTGATAATACTGTAATCCCAGTACTTTGGGACACTGAGGCGGGTGGATCACCTGAGGTCAGGAGTTCGAGACCAGCCTGGTCAACTTGGCAAAACCCCATCTCTACTAAAAAAAAAATAAAATTAGCTGGGTGTGGTGGCGGGTGCCTGTAATCTCAGTTACTTGGGAGGATGAGGCAGGAGAATTGCTTGAACCTGGGAGGCAGAGGTTGCAGTGAGCCAAGATCGCACTATTGCACTCCAGCCTGGGCGACAGCAAGATTCTGTCTCAGAAAAAAAGAAAAATTTATAATAATGTCAGATATTTATTGAGTGCTCCATATCTTCTAAGTGGTGTTTTTGGCAGTTAAATGCAGCTGTAAACAAGATAAAACCAAATCTCTGTCCTAAAGAAGCTTGTATGCTAGTGGGAGGAAATGGGCATTACATAAAATATTTATAAATAAAAAATAAACAACCAACTCTTATAGTAATAAATACTAGGAAGGCTGGGCGCGGTGGCTCACACCTACAATCCCAGCACTTTGGGTGGCTGAGGTGGGTGGATCACAAGGTCAAGAGATCGAGACCATCCTGGCCAACATGGTGAAACCCCATCTCTACTAAAAATACAAAAATTAGCTGGGTGTGGTGGTGCTTGCCTGTAGTCTCAGCTACTCGGGAAGCTGAGGCAGGAGAATCGCTTGAACCCAGGAAGTGGAGTTTGCAGTGAGTCGAGATCACGCTACTGCAATCCAGCCTGGCGACAGAGTAAGACCCCATCTCAAAAATAAAAATAAAATAAAATAAAAATAATAATAAATGCTAGGAATAAAATAAGGTACTATAATATAGAATGATGGGAGAATCTCAAAGGAAATAACATTTGAGGTGTCATCTTTTTAAAAAAATTATTTTAGATTCAAAGGGTACATGTGCATGTTTGTTACACGTGTATGTTGCATGTTGGTGGGGATTGGGCTTCTAGTGTGCCCATTACCCAAATAGTAGTGAACATTGTACTCACTAGGTAATCCTTTTTTTTAGATGGATTCTTGCTCTGTTGCCCAGGCTGGAGTGCAGTGGCGTCATCTCGGCACACTGCAACCTCTGCCTCCCGGGTTCAAGTGATTCTTCTGCCTCAGCCTCCCAAGTAGGTGGGATTACAGGCACCCGCTATCATGCCCAGCTAATTTTTGTATTTTTGGTAGAGACGGGGTTTTGACATGTTGGCCAGGCTGGTCTGGAACTCCTGACCTCAGGTGATCCACCTATCTTGGCCTCCCAAAGTGCTGGGATTACAAGCGTGAGCCACGGCACCCAGCCCCCATTAGGTAATTTTTCAACCCACTGCCCTATCTTTTGGAGCCCCAAGTGTTAATTATTTCCTTCTTTATGTCCATGTGTACCCATTGTTTAGCTCCCACTTACAAGTGAGAACATTTAGTATTTGGTCTTTTGTTTCTGAGTTAGTTCACTAAGGATAATGGCCTCCAGCTCCATACATGTTGCTGCAAACAACATGATTTCATTCATTTTTATGGCTGTGTGAGATGTCATTTTATTATCGAGAAGCAGCAGTCTGGTGAAGATCTGGAGGGAATGGTATTCCAAGAAGGAACAAGCAGGTGAAAGGGCTGTGAGCCAGAAATTATCTTGGAATGTATGAGGGACAGAGAGAAGGCTAATGTGGCTAAAACCTAGAGAATGAGGAGGAGGGACTATGGAAAGAGGTAAGGTCAGAAAGAGGATAAGCAGGTATGTGGAGTGGGCTGTGAGTGGAGAGAGAAAAATTAAGGACAAATGAGGTTTGATCTGAGCAATTGGGTAGATGGTAGTATTACTGTCATAGGAACGACTTGGGGGAGGACTGAATTAGGTATATGGGATAATCGTCATCAGTTCAATTTTGACCATGCTATATTTGAGATGTAGGAGGTATCCAAGTAGTACCTATTAGTTGGATGGGTGGGAGGAGCCAACAAATGAGATTAAGGAGGAGTAGCAGTGAGGGGAGGAGGAAAAACTGAAGAATGTGGTCTGTGAAAGCCTAGGAAAGAAATTGATCACTAGCTTTAAGATGCTGGTCTAGTAACTTACTAAAAGCTGTTTGGCTAATGAGAATGAATAGAGAGGAAAGAGAGAGAGACTGATGATAGAGGAGAGGAAATAAATAGAAAATGGAAGTCCTTGAGGCAAGAGGATAGGACACTGAGCAAAGTGGTGGGATCGTCAATTGAGAGTGGTCATGGAGATCATGGTGATAGAGATTTGGGGTAGGGGAATGTGTGAAATAGGCATCTAGGAGAGTAAGGGAACAGAGTGGCACAAGCCATAGAGTTAATAAATGGCAGGGATAGGATTCTGACCTAGGTATCAAGTTTGATTTTTTTTCTGTATTAAATTGCCACCCCTAGGCCAGGCGTGCCTGTACTGGCTCATGCCTGTAATCCCAACACTTGGGAGGCCAAGGCGGACAGATTGTTTGAGCTTAGGAGTTCTGAGACCAGCCTGGGCAACATGGTGAAACCCTGTCTCTACAAAAAATATAAAAATTAGCTGGACGTAAGTGGCGTGTGCCTCTAGTCCCAGCTACTCAGGAGGCTGAAGTGGGAGGACAGCTTGAGCCCGGGAGGCAGAGGTTGCAGTGAGCCAAGATTGTGCCACTGCCTCCAGCCTGGGTGACAGCCAGGTCCTGTCTCAAATTTAAAAAGCCACCCTAACAAGCAAAGTAATAAATACTAAAGGTGTGTTTTCATAGAGAATCAGAAAAATTGAGACCAGGTGAGCCCAAAAGTGAAGCTTAAAAGAAAGCACCTTACTGGCTTTTCTACTCATGGCAATTATTATTTGTTACCTTGTATTATAGTTATTTGATGTACCTCTGTGCCATGTTACTTCAAGTAAGTATGAAATTCCTGGTGGGGTAGAGACTGTGAACTGACATTTTGCCTTTACAGACCTAGCACTGCTTTTACAAGGTGGATCCTTAAATAATTATTGAACAAATAGCCTCTGATTGATATGAGAGGTGATATTTATAGTTAAGTGTTACCTTTCTAAAATGTCATTCAGGCCGGGTGTGGTGGTTTACACCTATAATCCCAGCACTTTGGGAGACCGAGGTGGGTTGATCACTAGAGGTCAGGAATTCAAGACCAGCCTGGCCGACATGGTGAAACCCTGTCTCTACTAAAAATACAAAAATCAGCCATGTGTGGCGGCACATGCCTATAATCCCAGCTACTCCAGTGGCTGAGGGAGGAGAATCACTTGGGAGGCGGAGATTGCAGTGAGCCAAGATCGTGCCATTGCACTCCAGTCTGGGCACCAGAGTGAGACTCTGTCTCAAAAAAAAAAAAAGTCATTGAGCAGTCCATCAGCATGGTTGTGTGCTACTGAGATACGTTCTGATGTAGTTTTCACATTTGCCATAAGCCCAGCTCACTCTTGGTAGTTAGCTAGGACATCCATTCCCTACCAAAACTCTAGCCTACAGAAGGATTGGCTCAGTGTGTTTAGAAGAGGTTTGCAAATGTGTATGACCATAGTCCAAGCAGAGAGCTAGGTAGGTGTGACCTTTTGTGATAAAAGTTTTAATTTTGAAGATTTCTGCCTGATGCATATTTCTAGATCAGTGAAGATTGGAGGAAGTTTAACTCTTGAATATATAACGCCATAGGTGCTTAAATGTATAAATGTCAAAACATGCATGACTTTAACTCATTCGTTCCAAACTTTTCCCCCCCACAACAGAGGCTTCCACCTGTACTTGCTGGGAAGCGGATCAAGGATTTAGAATCCTAAAATTAAAACAAAACATGAGGTATAGTGTAGGATGGGGCAGCAGGAGCAATGAAATTCCTGGTTTCCTAATGGTGAAGGTAATCACTTAGTAATTGAGAAGAGTTCCCTGCCAATATTTCTGTTTCTGTCTTGCTTTGGGCAGGGGACAACAAGCACCTTTCTTCTAGGAAGTTAAGGGTACTGCTATCCTACCTCTGGGCTAGGATATGTTAAAAGCAATATTATGAAATACTCTTTGATTTGTAATTGGTGGCTTCCTTTCTTTTGTTATCAGTTTTCCTGTCTTTGAGTTTTCTCTTCACAGTATCGTTACCCCTGTAATCTCATACTCCAGAGTCTAGTTTTTATGTAGCTTATTTTTATCAGTGCTTACCAGAATATAAATTTAGGAAGATTTGAGGTAATGTTTTTCCAGCTGAGGCTCTAGGATTTCCAAGGGTCCACATACTCTTTTTTTTGAGACAGGGTCTCACTCTGTGGCCCAGACTGGAGTACAGTGGCGTGATGTTGGCTCACTGCAACCTCTGCCTCCTGGGTTCAAGCGAATCTCATGCCTCAGCCTCCTGAGTAGCTGGGATTACAGGCATGTGCCACCACGCCTGGCTAATTTTTGTATTTTTAGTAGAGATGGGGTTTCACCATGTTGGCCAGGCTGGTCTCCAACTCCTGGACTCATGTGATCTGCCTGCCACAACCTCCCAAAGTGAACCACCACGCCTGGCCCACATATTCTTAAGGGTTGGGGGGGATTCTGTGAGAATTTTTAACAACTTTTCATATTTGATTATCTTTAAGTTTAAAAAATAATTACAGAATGGTTTAAAAAATAGAGATTTCCACTGGGTACAGTTGCTCATGCCTGTAATCCCAGCACTTTGGGAGGCTAAGGCGGGAGGATCGTTTGAGCTCAGGAGTTCGAGACCAACCTGGACCACATAGACCCCTGTCTCTACAAAAAATATGTATTAAAATATATTTTTTTAAAACACAGAGATTTCCTATATACCCTTCACCCAGATTCCCGAGATAAGAACATTTTACCACATTTGTTTTGTCATTCTTTGTTTATATACATATATGTATACATCATTACTTTTTTCCTGGAATGCTGGAAATTTGCAGACATGATGCCTCTTTACTCCTATATCCTCAAATATGTATTTCCTAAAAACAACATTACAATGATCAAATTCAGGAAATTAACACTGATACAATATTATTTTCTAACCTATAGACCTTAAAAATTATTTTGACAAGTTTTAAGTTTAAAATTCTCTGCAATGACAGTTTTCAAATGAAATAAATTTTAATAGGCTAATTTTTGTTTTCTGTCAGAAATCTTGAACTGTGATCTATTCTTATATGTCTGACAGTTTTTTTCTTTAAATGAGGCCTATACTACACTCAAGTGTAAGAAACACTGTATTTTAGTTTTAGTAAGAAATCTTTAGGTAGGAGTGAATTTTTGAAGTCTTTGCTTATTAAAATCAAGGTAAAGTAAAAAGCTATTTCTGATTTGTAGTTACGAAATTCAGTAGAAGGTCTGGAGTGAGACCTAGGACCTCACTTTTGGCTGTCCACCTTGAGGACAGGAATATTCTTTGTCTTATCTTAGTTAAGTTCTTATCCAGATTCTTAAACATTTTTGATGTCAAGGAATCTTAAGTGTCCTGTACAGTGACACATCTAGTTTTGTTTTTGTTTGAGACAGAGTCTCCCTCTATCTTCTAGGCTGGAGTGCAGTGGCACAATCTCTGCTCACTGTAACTTCCACCTCCTGGGCTCAAGGGATCCTCCTGCCTCAGCCTCCCAAGTAGCTGCGACTATAGGCATGTACCACCACACCTGGCTAGTTTTTGTAGTTTTGTAGTAGACTTTGTCTCAAAAAATATTAGCCCGGTGCAGTGGCTCACACCTGTAGTCCCAGCTACTCAGGAGGCTGAAGCAGAAAAATCACTTGAGTTTGGAAGGTTGAGGCATCAGTGAGCCAAGATTGCGCCACTGGACTCCAGCCTGGAAGACAGAATGAGATCCTGTCTCAAAAAAAAAAAAAAAAAAAGATATGTGTATGTTCATATATGCACACAAAGTTTTCGAATAAGAATATGCAAACTAGGCCAGGCACAGTGGCTCACGTCTGTAATCCCAGCACTTTGGGAGGCTGAGGTGGGCAGATCACGAGGTCAGGAGTTCAAGACCAGCCTGGCCAGCATGGTGAAACCCTGTCTCTACTAAAAATACAAAAATTAGCTGGGCACGGTGGCTCGCGCCTGTAGTCCCAGCTACTCGCGAGGCTGAGGCAGGAGAATTGCTTGAACCCAGGAGGTGGAGGTTGCAGTGAGCTGAGGTCACGCCTCTGTACTGCAGCCTGGGTGACAGAGTGAGACTCTGTCTCAAAAAATAAGTAAATTAAAAAAAAAAAAAAAGAATATGCAAACTTAACAATAGTTGCTCTGGGGAGAGTGATTTGTTTTTAGTTGTATATCTCTTTGTATTATAAAATTTCCCGCAGCTACATATAGTACTTTTTCAAATAAAGAAAATTAATTTGGCCAGGTGCAGTGGCTCACGCCTGTAATCCCAGCACTTTGGGAGGCCGAGGCAGGCGGATCACGAGGTCGAGATCGAGACCATCCTGGCTAACACGGTGAAGCCCCGTTTCTACTAAAAATGCAAAAAATTAGCCGGGTGTGGTGGTGGGCGCCTGTAGTCCCAGCTACTCGGGAGGCTGAGGCAGGAGAATGGCGTGAACCTGGGAGGCGGAGCTTGCAGTGAGCTGAGATCGCGCCACTGCACTCCAGCCTGGGCGACAGAGCGATACTCTGTCTCAAAGAAAAAAAATTAATTTAAAATGTACTAAAAATGAGCTAAAAGCTGTCATTCTGTAACTTCTATTTGTTGGTCACAGTTCTGACTTTCAGAATTGCACAAAATAAGATTATTTCATCTTCTAAACTTTCTGGTAGTTTGAAATAAACTACTATGGTCCTGTAAATCTTTTTTCTTCTAAGGTAGATAAAAATACTTCTATTTAGCTTTAACCATTTCTTGTGTGACATGGTATCCAGAATAGATTTCTTTACTATCCAACTTGTTTATATTTATTAATGCGCTTGATAGGGCCAAATTGCTCTCATTTATAGGGCTTCCCTTTGTAAACCTTACTTCTAATGTCCTAGCCTGAGAGATTGGTTGGTTGGTTTTTTTTAAGTCATGTCATTCTTTGGTTCCTTGAGCTTGCCATGACTAAAACTCTTAACTAAGTCTTTTTCTATATATACCATGTGACCTAATAGAGATTTATCTTCGTGTTGATATGGATTCTTTAAATATATAATTCCATCAGCAAGCTGCAGATTTGCCCACTTCACTATTTTTTTGACAGATAACTGGCTAACATATTCTTTTTTTTTTCTCTGTAGTAGTTTTTTGAAAGAAGAAATAGGCTATTCTAGCATGATCTCATCCTGTGGAGTTAAATACTTGTTTTCACATGCCTCCTTATTTTTTATGGTAGGGAGTACAGGAAGTTTAATACTCTTAACTTCTTGTTTCTATACCCTTGTTTCATCAACCTTTCTTCAAAAACTCTCTTCTTTGCTCTTGATATTATTTACCGAAACAAGTGTTCTTATGTTAAAAACATTTGTAGCTAATTCTTGCTGTTAATTGTGGTCTCACAATTGTATTAATTTCTTCAAAAAGGTCCTGCCTTCTTATTGCTGCAGCAGTCTACTCTTCCTGGCCGTACCTAGGTCTCCTACCCAAGAAGACTCTCCTGGAAATGTACTTCAACTCTAAAATAATACTCTGACCATAATTTCCAGTTCTTCCACCTTATTGACCCTTCTACCTCTCTTCCTGGTTTCCACCAAATCCACTCTTTAAAGCCCCCAATATCTTGTCCCTACCCTATTGAGTTTATGAGCTTCCTTCAGATTTCACTCCCTGTCTATTATCTAGGGATCTTTAGGTCAGTTATTTTAATATTTTTGAGAAATCAGTTCTCTCAACTTCTTGCCTTCTACCCCTCTTGTCCCGCCAATCTTGCTGGATTAATTCACTAGCTGTTACCTCTGATGGCTTAATCCCTTCAACAAAAATAGAATAAGTATGCTAATGAGCTCAATTATAAATTGGTAATGTCCAACTTTGGGCAGCAACATTGAGGATTACAGTCTACTTCCACTTCTGTTGCCTAACGCTTGAATTTTCTTTGTCTTTTACCCTGTCTCTTCCCCCAGCTTTCAACTAATTATGTCAGAAAAGTAGAGACCAATTTTTTCTTTTCTTTTTTCTTTTTTTTTTTTTTGAGGCGGAGTCTCATTCTGTCGCCCAGGCTAGAGTGCAATGGCGTGATCTCACTGCAACCTCCGCTTCCCGGTTCAAGCGATTCTCCTGCCTCAGCCTCCCAAGTAGCTGGGATTACAGGCACTTGCCATCATGCCTGGCTAATTTTTGTATTTTTGTAGAGATGGGGTTTCCCCACGTTGGGCAGGGTGGTCTTGAACTCCTAACCTCAGGTGATCCACCCGCCTTGACCTCCCAAAGTGCTGGGATTACAGGCGTGAGCCACTGCGCCCAGCCTGTATCTCCTTCTCTTGAGATCACTTCCTCAATCTAATTTGGTGATTCCATACTTTTTCTGTGATCTAAACAACTTGTCTGCTCACCAGCTCTATCATGAGGGAGGGAAGCAAGATACAGAATGGCTTGTATGTTTTTAAAAAGAAAAACAATGATCTCTGTTTAAAAACCACACTCAAGTGCATGCACAAACGAGTGCAGAAAGCTCTGTAGATCAAAGTGTTAACAGTAGTTGTCTCTGGAAAGTTGGATTGTGGACTTTTCTTTTGCTTGTTTGTAATTTGATTTTTATCTATTAACACTAAATGCTTTTAATGATGAGAAAATTTCCCTCCAAATTTCTGATTGTGCTTATATTCTTTTATTATAAACATTTTATTTTATCAAGTTCTGGGAAATGTCATTTCTTTTCTTTTCTTTTTTAAACACTTCCCCCTCCTGTCTTGTCATTTCTGTCAAACAATTCTTTGATTTCTAAAATGGACCTTCATTATGCCCCCTTCCCTCCCAACTCCACAAATTTACAATATAACCTGAGCCTATTTTCATCATATTTTGTCAGGATTATTCTTTTCATCTGCCTGTCCAAAATAGAACTGCTGAGGCTTAAGAAAGTGTTCTGGTCACTTTTGTATTTCTAGCATTTCGTATGTGTGCGTACTATGCAGATAAGCCTTGGTTGGACATCTCCTGGTACCTTCTGTCTTGAAAAAATTTCAAATGGTACTAATTTAAATCAAATTGAATATACCATAGGTTCTAATATGCCATCGATTGTAAGAAAATGATTATTTTATGAACGTTGAGACGTGAAAAAAATTTTCAGTTAAAACTATTATACCATTGATAGCATGCATCCTGTGGGCAAAATGTACATCATAGAATTGATGAAGTACAGTAGTGCTAACATCACATTTATGAGGTTTTTAGTGGTTTTGGAGTAGAAAAAAATGGTTAATTTTGGCACTGCTTCAGATCTCATTCATGTATTATCAGCTTACTGCCCCCTCTCCCCCTGTCATTACTTGGTTTTGTATGGCTACCACAGACACTGGCGAATGGAATGAATTATGATGAAGTTAGGCCTACATTTGGGGAAAAGGGTTTTATATGTTTCCTTTCAGGAACATTGAAAACAGATTGTTGTATTCCAGTCTTGCCACATAGTCCAATGAGTGACTAGCTGAAAATACAAATCTCGCTGTCATGTCCTTTTGTAGCTTCCTTTTCTCCAAGTAGACAGTCCCTCAGTATGCGTTGGTGTGCTAGTGTACACTAGACTTGTGGCTTTTGATTGCTCTTAGTCAGTGTGGTTACCTTTGTTAGAACATAACCCAGAGAGCTGCGCATTGTGTTATGGAGCAGATGCACTGTAATGTGGAATAGTCTTGCCTTTGGAACTGTTGAACAGATACCAAAAACGATTGAGAAGCATTGATCCATAAGATGAAATATGATTCTTCTCATGAGAAACCTGACCACTGCCTCCTACTCCATCTTATTGTTGGCTTCTTTCTGCCTTACACCTTATATTCAGGTAATATTGAACTGTTTATAGATACTTTACACATATTATTCTATGTTATTTTGTGTGTGTGTGTGTGTGTGTGAGAGAGAGAGACAGGTTTTCACTCAGTTGCTCAGACTGGAGTGCAGTGGCATGATCTTGGCTCAGTGCAATTTCTGTCTCCCAGGCTCAAGCAATCCTCCCAACTTAGCCTTCCTTTTAAAAATTATTTTTCATTTTTTGAGATGGAGTTTTGCTCTTGTTGCCCAGGCTGGAGTGCAATGGCACGACTTTGGCTCACTGCAACCTCCACCTCCCGGGTTCAAGTGATTCTCAGCCTCCCGAGTAGCTGGGATTACAGGCACGCACCACCATGCTCGGCTAATTTTGTATTTTTAGTAGAGATGGGGTTTCACCATGTTGGCCAGGCTGGTCTCGAGCTCCTGACCTCAGGTGGTCTGCCCACCTCGGCCTCCCAAAGTGCTGGGATTACAGGCGTGAGCCACCGCACCTGGCCTAAAAATTATTTTTAAGAGAGATGAGGTTTTGCTATGTTA
The DNA here is from genome assembly GCF_000001405.40 of Homo sapiens. Lineage (NCBI taxonomy): Eukaryota > Metazoa > Chordata > Mammalia > Primates > Hominidae > Homo > Homo sapiens. The sequence goes on along the minus strand of NC_000003.12, from coordinate 47,127,539 downwards.
CCCAGGGTGGTCTCGAACTCCTGAACTCAAGTGATCCTCCCAATTTAGCCTCTTAAAGTGTTGGGATTACAAGTGTGGGCCACTACACCCAGCCTTATTTTATGTGTTAATCTCTGACTCTGCCTGGGATCTTCTCACAAATGTATTCTTCAAAAACGAATCGTCTCTTCAGGATTTTTTTTTTTTTTTTAAAGACAGCCATCACCACAGCTGGAGTGCAGTGGTGTGATCATGGCTACCTGCAGCCTCGACCTCCTGGGCTCAGGTGATCCTCCCACCTCAGCCTCCCAGGTAGCTGGGACTATAAGTGCACGCCACCATGTCTGGCTATTTTTTTGTATTTTTTATAGAGACAGGGTTTCACCATGTTGCCCAGTGTAGTCTCAATCCCCTGGGCTCAAGCCATCAGCCGGCCTCAGCCTCCCAAAGTGCTGGGATTACAGGTGTGAACCACCACACCTAGGCAGGAAAAATTCTTTGCATTCCTATTTTCCCACTAAACTGAGTTGCTTATCGTCCTCTTTGCTGCCTTACTATATATATTTCTATTCTTATATTTACTCCATTATGTTGGTATTACTTTTGTTACAAATTTCTTTTTTGTGACTTACAGGAAGCTGAGCTTTTTGAGGGCAGGGATGCTGCTTTATTCAAATTTGGTCTCCAGCCCTTAGCACAGTATGTGACACTATCTTGAGTAAATATTTGTTAAACTAAATGTAACTGAGTGTGAAGGAATGGACAATCCATATAGAATATACCTGTAGGTAGTAAGTATCCCAAGTTTTAATACAAATAACTATTATTTCAATCGTTTTTAAGTATTTATGATTTCTTTTTATTCTTTTGCATGTTTTCTTGGCTGAATGGAAATAGAGAAGAAGAAAATGAGGTAAGTATAATTTAACTAGTCATTCAATGATTATGAGATGGACCACTAAACACATTTTAGAAATTGGGTAAAAGCTGAAAACACTCAAAATGTAGCTATCATTTTGAATGTGAAATGAAGTAATAGTTTTTAATTTTGTTTTTAGAGCCATGGTAACTTATCCCAGTGAGGGATGTTGTGTATCTCAGAAAAATGGTTTTTAAACTTTAGAGCTTCAAGAGATTTAGGAAAGGTAGAGAAAGTTGGAAGTTCTAAAAATATCTTTTACTTGTTTTTTATGTATTGAGCTTCCATTTAAGATTTAACTTGAAAAGTGGATTCTGTTTCTTAAAAGTATTTGGCTCATGCCTGTAATCCCAGCACTTTGGGAAGCTGAGGCAGGTGGATCACTTGAGGTCAGGAGTTTGAGACCAGCCTGGCCAACATGGTGAAACCCCATCTCTACTAAAAATAAGAAAATTAGGCAGACATGGTGGCTTAGTCCCAGCTACTCAGGAGACTGAGGCAGGAGAATTGCTTGAGCTGGGGAGGAGGAGGTTGCAGTGAGCCAAGATGGTGCCCCTGCACTTCAGCCTGGGCAACAGAGCAAGACTCTGTCTCAAAAAAATAAAGTATTTGGAATTCACTGCTCCATGATAATATATGTGAAAGTATTTACTTTCCAACTTGAATGACTACTATGTAATTTTGAAAACTGATTTCAGATTTTACTGTGTTGAAAGGGAAGTTACTCTCTTAAATAGCCAAAGTGGATTAAAGAACATTAATTAGAAGAATTTTGCATATGAGAAGTATACCACCATCTTTAATTTAGGATTGAGTTTGTTGCTGTAGATTTTTCTGATGCTCTTTGTACAACCTACGTTATGCCTTGAACTTCCAAGGCTAACCATTTCCTTTGGTGATTTGGCAAACATGGAAGAAAAGTAGTCTTCTTAGGTTTATACTTTGTAACTGTTGCTTATACAGCAGTATTATTACTTGAGGGTGGGGGGCCCAGGCAGAGACAGTGATATGTGCCAAGGCAGAGTACTCTCCAGGAAGGCAGAAGGCCTGGTCCTCATTTGGTTACCTCATCTGTAAAACAAGTAAGGTGGGAAGTTCCTCTGTATCAGTGGTTTCCCAAACCTGGGACATTGATTAGAATTGCCTATGTAATGCTTTTTTGTTTGTTTGTTTTTTTTAAAAACCAAAACCTCAAAACACCCCAAAAAACAAACCCTTTCCTCATCTTAGAGCTCAATAGCTCGTTGATATTTGATATTTCCTAGAGTGTGGATCACAGATGAGTATGTTTTTTTTTTTAATTTTTAAATTTTTTATTTTTTTGAGACAGAGGCTCGCTCTGTTGCCCAGGTTGGAGTTCTGTGGTGCCATCTTGGCTCACTGCAACCTCTGCCTCCGGGGTTCCAGTGATTCTCCCACCTCAGCCTCCCAAGTAGCTGGGGTTACAGGTGCATGCTGCCACACCCTGCTAATTTTTGTATTTTTAGTAGAGATGGGTTTTCATTATGTTGGCCAGGCTGGTCTCGAACTCCTGACCTCAAGTGATCCTCCCGCCTCGGCCTCCCAAGGTGCTGGGATTACAGGTGTGAGCCACTGTGCTCGACCCAGATGAGTATTTTTACTGTGCACTCCATGTGATGCCAGGAGACCACTGGTCTTGATGACCTCTGATTTTTCATCTCTGATAGAACACAAGAACAAACCATATTGAGTACTGAGATGTTAGATATTGCCCTTTATACAAATGTCTTTCAAACATATGTCAGGTTTTTAAAAAATTCTTTTTAAAAAATGCTACCTGGAAAATAGTTATAAAACTGAAAAAAGTTATTTATGTACGAGAAAGTAAGAATGGGGAAAATAGGTAATTGTTGAAGCTTGGAGTGGATACTTAGGGATTTATTATACCATTTTCTATACTTTTGACTGTGTTTGAAAATTTTCATAATAAAGATATATATAGCTTAGTGAAATTCATACTATTTGTTATTAAAAAGGGCTTTTCATTTCTCCAGTAAACATTTTAAACTGTGCAGTCCATTTGAAAGTAACTATTTATTGTAGTAGTAATTGCTTATTTTGTTCATTTGTAGGCAAAGATTGAAAATGTGCAGAAAACAGGTTTCATCAAAGGACCAATGTTCAAAGGTGTTGCTTCTAGTCGATTTTTGCCCAAAGGCACCAAAACAAAAGTTAATTTGGAAGAACAGGGACGACAGAAGGTGTCATTCAGCTTCAGCCTTACAAAGAAAACTTTGCAGAATAGGTTTCTCACTGCACTTGGCAATGAAAAGCAAAGTGATACTCCAAACCCTCCAGCTGTACCTCTTCAGGTAGACTCGACTCCTAAAATGAAAATGGAAATTGGTGATACCTTATCTACTGCAGAAGAATCTTCCCCACCAAAGTCAAGGGTGGAATTGGGCAAAATTCATTTTAAGAAACATCTGCTTCATGTAACATCCAGGCCACTGCTGGCTACTACCACAGCAGTAGCATCTCCACCTACTCATGCAGCACCATTACCAGCAGTGATAGCAGAATCAACAACTGTAGACTCACCGCCCTCATCTCCGCCTCCACCGCCTCCACCTGCCCAAGCCACAACACTCTCATCACCAGCACCAGTAACAGAGCCAGTGGCCTTGCCACATACACCAATAACAGTTCTAATGGCAGCACCAGTACCCTTACCAGTAGATGTAGCAGTTAGATCTCTGAAAGAACCACCAATTATAATTGTACCAGAATCTTTAGAAGCAGATACTAAGCAGGACACTATATCTAATAGTTTAGAAGAACACGTAACTCAAATATTGAATGAGCAAGCAGATATTTCCTCAAAAAAAGAAGATTCCCATATTGGGAAGGATGAAGAAATTCCAGATAGTTCTAAGATTAGTCTGAGCTGTAAAAAAACAGGTTCTAAGAAGAAATCCTCACAATCTGAAGGCATCTTTCTTGGTTCAGAATCTGATGAAGATTCTGTACGGACTTCTTCAAGTCAAAGATCACATGATTTAAAATTTTCAGCAAGCATTGAAAAGGAAAGAGATTTTAAAAAGAGCTCAGCACCTTTAAAAAGTGAGGATCTAGGGAAACCTTCACGATCTAAAACAGACAGAGATGATAAATATTTTAGCTATTCAAAACTTGAAAGAGATACTCGGTATGTATCTTCCCGATGTAGATCAGAAAGAGAGCGACGGCGGAGCAGATCTCACTCTAGGTCTGAGAGAGGCTCTAGAACTAATTTATCCTATTCCAGGTCAGAACGATCTCATTATTATGACTCTGATCGTCGCTACCATAGGAGCTCCCCTTATCGAGAGAGGACGCGCTATTCTCGGCCATACACAGATAACAGAGCACGAGAGAGTTCTGACTCAGAAGAAGAGTATAAGAAGACATACTCAAGGCGTACCTCATCTCATTCCTCTTCTTACAGAGACCTAAGGACATCATCCTATTCTAAATCTGATCGGGACTGTAAAACTGAGACCTCTTACTTAGAGATGGAAAGAAGAGGCAAGTATTCTTCAAAACTAGAAAGAGAATCTAAAAGGACTTCAGAAAATGAAGCAATTAAAAGATGTTGTTCTCCCCCTAATGAACTGGGATTCCGACGAGGGTCATCATATTCTAAGCATGACAGTAGTGCTTCCCGTTATAAATCTACCCTTTCAAAACCTATACCCAAGTCTGATAAATTTAAAAATTCTTTCTGTTGTACAGAATTAAATGAAGAAATCAAACAGTCTCATTCTTTTAGTTTACAGACACCTTGTTCAAAAGGTAGTGAATTAAGAATGATTAATAAAAATCCTGAAAGAGAAAAGGCTGGGTCTCCAGCTCCATCAAATCGATTAAATGATTCACCTACTTTAAAAAAGCTAGATGAATTGCCTATTTTTAAGTCCGAATTTATAACACATGATAGCCATGATAGTATTAAGGAATTAGACTCTTTATCTAAAGTGAAGAATGATCAATTAAGAAGTTTTTGTCCCATAGAATTAAATATAAATGGATCTCCTGGGGCAGAATCTGATTTGGCAACATTTTGCACTTCTAAAACTGATGCTGTTTTAATGACTTCTGATGATAGTGTGACTGGATCGGAATTATCCCCTTTGGTCAAAGCATGCATGCTTTCATCAAATGGATTTCAGAATATTAGTAGGTGCAAAGAAAAAGACTTGGATGATACCTGCATGCTGCATAAGAAGTCAGAAAGCCCATTTAGAGAAACAGAACCTCTGGTGTCACCACACCAAGATAAACTCATGTCTATGCCAGTTATGACTGTGGATTATTCCAAAACAGTAGTTAAAGAACCAGTTGATACGAGGGTTTCTTGCTGCAAAACCAAAGATTCAGACATATACTGTACTTTGAACGATAGCAACCCTTCTTTGTGTAACTCTGAAGCTGAAAATATTGAGCCTTCAGTTATGAAGATTTCTTCAAATAGCTTTATGAATGTGCATTTGGAATCAAAACCAGTTATATGTGATAGTAGAAATTTGACAGATCACTCAAAATTTGCATGTGAAGAATATAAGCAGAGCATCGGTAGCACTAGTTCAGCTTCTGTTAATCATTTTGATGATTTATATCAACCTATTGGGAGTTCAGGTATTGCTTCATCTCTTCAGAGTCTTCCACCAGGAATAAAGGTGGACAGTCTAACTCTCTTGAAATGCGGAGAGAACACATCTCCAGTTCTGGATGCAGTGCTAAAGAGTAAAAAAAGTTCAGAGTTTTTAAAGCATGCAGGGAAAGAAACAATAGTAGAAGTAGGTAGTGACCTTCCTGATTCAGGAAAGGGATTTGCTTCCAGGGAGAACAGGCGTAATAATGGGTTATCTGGGAAATGTTTGCAAGAGGCTCAAGAAGAAGGGAATTCCATATTGCCTGAAAGAAGAGGAAGACCAGAAATCTCTTTAGATGAAAGAGGAGAAGGAGGACATGTGCATACTTCTGATGACTCAGAAGTTGTATTTTCTTCTTGTGATTTGAATTTAACCATGGAAGACAGTGATGGTGTAACTTATGCATTAAAGTGTGACAGTAGTGGTCATGCCCCAGAAATTGTGTCTACAGTTCATGAAGATTATTCTGGCTCTTCTGAAAGTTCAAATGATGAAAGTGATTCAGAAGATACAGATTCGGATGATAGCAGTATTCCAAGAAACCGTCTCCAGTCTGTTGTGGTTGTGCCAAAGAATTCTACTTTGCCCATGGAAGAAACAAGTCCTTGTTCTTCTCGGAGCAGTCAAAGTTATAGACACTATTCTGACCATTGGGAAGATGAGAGATTGGAGTCAAGGAGACATTTGTATGAGGAAAAATTTGAAAGTATAGCAAGTAAAGCCTGTCCTCAAACTGATAAGTTTTTCCTTCATAAAGGAACAGAGAAGAATCCGGAAATTTCTTTTACACAGTCCAGTAGAAAACAAATAGATAATCGCCTGCCTGAACTTTCTCATCCTCAGAGTGATGGGGTTGATAGTACAAGTCATACAGATGTGAAATCTGACCCTCTGGGTCACCCAAATTCAGAGGAAACCGTGAAAGCCAAAATACCTTCTAGGCAGCAAGAAGAGCTGCCAATTTATTCTTCTGATTTTGAAGATGTCCCAAATAAGTCTTGGCAACAGACCACTTTCCAAAACAGGCCAGATAGTAGACTGGGAAAAACAGAATTGAGTTTTTCTTCCTCTTGTGAGATACCACATGTGGATGGCTTGCACTCATCAGAAGAGCTCAGAAACTTAGGTTGGGACTTCTCTCAAGAAAAGCCTTCTACCACGTATCAGCAACCTGACAGTAGCTATGGAGCTTGTGGTGGACACAAGTATCAGCAAAATGCAGAACAGTATGGTGGGACACGTGATTACTGGCAAGGCAATGGTTACTGGGATCCAAGATCAGGTAGACCTCCTGGAACTGGGGTTGTGTATGATCGAACTCAAGGACAAGTACCAGATTCCCTAACAGATGATCGTGAAGAAGAGGAGAATTGGGATCAACAGGATGGATCCCATTTTTCAGACCAGTCCGATAAATTTCTTCTATCCCTTCAGAAAGACAAGGGGTCAGTGCAAGCACCTGAAATAAGCAGCAATTCCATTAAGGACACTTTAGCTGTGAATGAAAAGAAAGATTTTTCAAAAAACTTAGAAAAAAATGATATCAAAGATAGAGGGCCTCTTAAAAAAAGGAGGCAGGAAATAGAGAGTGATTCTGAAAGTGATGGTGAGCTTCAGGACAGAAAGAAAGTTAGAGTGGAGGTAGAGCAGGGAGAGACATCAGTGCCCCCAGGTTCAGCACTGGTTGGGCCCTCCTGTGTCATGGATGACTTCAGGGACCCACAGCGATGGAAGGAATGTGCCAAGCAAGGGAAAATGCCATGTTACTTTGATCTTATTGAAGAAAATGTTTATTTAACAGAAAGGTAAGTCTAATTAATACTTGTTTGACAAATTTTAACTCTTTTTTTGTTGTTAGAAAAAGCCTTTAAACAATTCAGACTGTATGAGATTAAACACATGAAAGAGTTGTGGGATAAAGTAAATTTAAAAGTCTAAAAAAGTGTTTTTACCTATTTAGATTTGATAGTATAGATTCCTTTCCCCATTCCCCCCGCCGCCCCATCCCCAGGAAAGGAGATGTCTATTTTTTTCTTTCATTACTTGTTTGGTTTTCAAGGTACAATTTAGGCTAGCCCAGTATTTCTGTAATTCCTTTTACATGTGAAAGTCTGACCAAAAAAACAGAATAAAACCCCAGCAAAATAATCTGTACTTAGAGAAGAAAAAAGTGGTTACTTTGGATTTTATTTTCAAAAATGTGCAGAATGAAGTATCTTTGGGTACTGTATTAGTCCGTTTTCATGCTGCTGATAAAGACATACCCGAGACTGGGAAGAAAAAGAGGTTTAATTGGACTTGCAGTTCCACATGGCTGGGGAGGCCTCAGAATTGCGGCAGGAGGCAAAAGGCACTTCTTACATGGTGGTGGCAAGAGAAAAAGAGGAAGAAGCAAAAGTGAAAACCCTTGATAAACCCATCAGATCTTGTGTGACTTAATCACCATCACAAGAATAACACGAGAAAGGCCGGCCCCCATGATTCAGTTACCTCCTCAAGTTGAGTTTGGGTGGGGAAACAGCCAAACCATATCAGGTACTTATAAAGTTAGAACTAGACTAGAACATAATTTTCTTCTCTCATTTTTTTTTAGACTATTGTTAATAGATTAAATCTGGCAATAGTGTAATAAATATTTTAGAAATGATAAAGTGGTTTATCAAAAAATCCCTAACATGAAACAAATTATAATGAGAATAAGAGTAATGAAAACATAGTCCTCTAGAGCAGGGCTTCTCAGTCTGTTTTAACTTTAACCCCTCCTTGATAATTTTCTCATTTTCCTGATGTAAATTTATATTGATTGTGCTTAAAAAACCAAAACAAAAAGTATCCTGCCCCCTTACTCTCCTTTTTTGGAAGTTTTCCTGCTAGTTGAGAATCAACCTAGCCATTGTATCTTTAAGGATCAAAATGTTATTAAATCAAATTTTCCTCTGTGTATAAGGTAAAAGACTTAATTTTAAAGGTAGGTCCTACCAGAAATTTTTTTCTATTACAAAATAACCTTTTAACAGAGAGCCTTTTACAGCTATTTTCATTTATATCTAGTTATAAATTAAGTTTACATTTAAAATATTCAATATTTTAAGTAGTACCCTTTAGGAATTGTGTGAGTAGACTAATGGAACTTACAAGATCTTTGTAAAAGAATATAAATAAAACTAATCAGTCCAATTCTCTGACTTTTCTTTAGCATTGAGAATCAGATATATATATATAAAACTGTGCACATAGATTTGGTTAGTGGAGGCATAAGAGGGCTTCCACCACTTTGCAGTGGGAAGGATTTATATATATTTAACTTTTTTTTTTTTTTTTTGAGACAGAGTCTCACTTTGTCTCCCAGGGTGGAGTGCAGTGGCGTGATCTCAGCTCACTGCAACCTCTGCCGGGTGCCACCACGCCCAGCTAATTTTTGTATTTTTAGTAGAGATGGGTTTCACCATGTTGGCCAGGCTGGTCTCGAACTCCTGACCTCAGGTGATCCGCCCGTCTCAGCCTCCCAAAGTACTGGGATTACAGGCGTGAGCTACCACGCCTGGCCTATATATTCAAAATTTTGAAGTGCCTGTTATATGCTAGGCATTTAGGAGCCACTAAGAAGACAAACTCTTATAAAAAATAATATGAATATAATGAAAACATTTTTCTTATGTTTAATGGAAAAGGGCTTACCTGCCAAAATCTATGCCCATTCGTCCTATTCCAGCCTTCTAGAGCAATACAAAATAAAGCTGCTGCTGATTCTTCAAAATTGTAGCTAAGTACTTCTAAATAGATAATTTCGTTTAGTCATCTTCAGGCTAAGCATATTCATATACTCATTAACGAATTGTGTCTTTAATCAAGAGGAATCATTCTTTTCACCTAAACTTAGTTAAAACTATCATAACACTCTTGAGGCACTTCATAAAATTGGCACTAGAATAGAACATATGTTGAAGATCAAAGCAGATTAGAGGTAGGAGATTAGATAACCATTTAGAGCAGCTATGCTGTTTCCTGTTTGATAGTCAAAGAGTGAGTTATAGTTCTTATAGTTCCCTAATCTTAAACATAACAGATCTTTTTTGACCATCTTTGGTTGTTTTGTTTTGTTTTTAGACCAGGGTAAAAGACTAGTTCATCAGCAAAAAGGCCAATAAATAATCACATTTTCACTTTTGCTTTGCACACTCTGGCATGGCTTATTATGAACGCAATCAAATTTTAGCAGTTTATGTTCTTCTCCAAAATAAATCTGTCTGCATGGAGAAAGTTGAGCCCTCTTAAACATTTACCTGATTATTCTGTAATTACACTTCATTTAAAAAATTCAGTCTGCTTTTAAACAAAATTTATGCAGATGTGATGTTACTGAAAGATTCTCTAAAATATTGGATTGAGTTAGAACTCACTCTTATTTTTTTAGAAACCCCTTTTCTCCCTCAATCTTATATCTCAACTATTATTTGCTCATCCATGAGGTCTGATTCTTAAACTTAACTTTAACCAGCTATGTCACTATTTGAAATGCATGAGTTTTCCTATTTTTCCTAGAACCTAGTATGACTTTAACACTTGAAACTGTTCTGAATCCAAGGCTTAGCTGACCTGGAGTAGGAAATAAGGGCTGAGTTCCAGAATGAGTAGTCTTGAACTCATCTCATCTTCCCCATTTGCCAAGGTTAAGGTTGCCCTTCTCATGTTTTTTTTTTTGTTTGTTTTTTTTTTTTTTTTTTTGGTAATGCAGGTCTTAGGATTTTCAGTCTCACAAGTACTAATAATTAGATGTTTTATTTTGAATGGTTGACTTACAGGAATCATTAAATGTGAATCTAGCCAGGCGTAGTGGATCATGCCTGCGATTGCAGCACTTTGGGAAGTGGAGGCAGGGGAATTTCTTGAGCCCAGGAGTTCAAGACCAGCTTGAGTAACATAGAGAGACCCTGTCTCTACAGAATATTAAAGAACAAACAAACAACAACAATAACAAAAACCAAGCGTGGTGGCATGAGCTGTGGTCCCAGCTATTCAGGAGGTGGAAGTGGGAGGGTCATTTGAATCCAGGAGGTTGAGGCTGCAGTGAGCCATGATCGCATCACTGCACCCTGGCCTGGGTGACAGAACAAGACCCTGTTTAAAAAAACCCAAAAGAATCTAATGAGATTTGGCACATATTTGATTATATATGTTATATCTTTACCAGGAAATTTATTTAATCAGTTTTTATGAAATTTTACCCAATAGAAAGAAGAATAAATCTCATCGAGATATTAAGCGAATGCAGTGTGAGTGTACACCTCTTTCTAAAGATGAAAGAGCTCAAGGTGAAATAGCATGTGGGGAAGATTGTCTTAATCGTCTTCTCATGATTGAATGGTAAGTAAATTAGAATACTCGGCTTTTGCTCAACACTTCTATTAAATGTCTCTAAATATTGAATTATCAATGAAGAATAAAATTTAACCTTTCTCCTACCTATGGATGACTACAAGCAAAAAAGTATAGTAGACACTTTGATGTATAGTAGAAAACATATTAATAGGGAAACAAATATCCCTTGCATTGTGCATTAGATTACAGTACCCACCATGTTTTAAGTGCTTGGTAAAGTAGTCCTATAATATTAATTTCTATTCAGTACTTTTTTATCTTTTATAATATTTATGTCCTAGAGGTAAATGTTGGTATTTTTTAGCTTTCACTATAAAGTGAAATAAAACCCTAACATTTCAGAAATGCATAAAGTGAATGTCTTCTCCCAAACATCAGTCCCATTGTTTTGTCATTTTTCCAGAAAACTTTTAATGCCTATGCTAGCATAGGTAGATGTTTTCCTCTTTTTATGTATACAGATAAAATCTTATTCTATATACTTGCTTGGATTTGCTAATCAGACCTAATCAGAGCTCTGTGTACAGACCTGCCTAAATCTTTCTCTTGACTGCATTATGTATTCTATTCATAGTTAGCCGGTAATTAGTCTGTTGACAGACATTTGCTTCTGTATTGTTCTTATAAATAGTAAATATCTTTACATTAAAAAATTTAATTTTGGCCAGGCGTAGTGGCTCATGCCTGTAATCCCAGCTATTTGGGAGGCTGAGGCGGGCAGATCACTTGAGGCCAGGAGTTTAGGATCAGCCTGGCCAACATGGTGAAACCCCATCTCTACTAAAAAATACAAAAATTAGCCAGGCATGATGACACACACCTGTAATCCCAGCTACTCTGGAGGCTGAGGCAGGAGAAGCACTTGAACCCAGGAGGTGGAGCTTGCAGTGAGCTGTCATTCCACTATACTCCAGCCTGGGTGACAGAGCGAGATGTTGTCTCAAAAAAATTTTTTTAACCAATCTGATTGATGAAAAATATATTCTTGTCTTTTACATGGAAAGAGTATACCTTATTTTTGATGTTAGTGAAGGTTTTTTTTCCCCAAAGCTCAGTTTTTGGTTTTGCTCATGTTATAGTGTTGCAAAAATAAAATATATATACCTTGAAAAAATAAAGAGAAAGGATTTTTGGTATTCTTTTATCCAAACTAGAGAGAGAGATGACAGTACAGATGTAAGAAGAGAAGACATAGAGTTAGCATTATTCTAACTTCATATTGTTGCCCTAGTCATTCTTCTGGGTTTTCCTGCCAACCTTGTGAAGCATACATGAAGAAAAATATTTCTTCATATTATTCACACACTTAAGCTTTTGGTAGTTCTCGGTTGTTCTCATGATTAGGTTCAAACTTAGCCTTGTATTCAGAGCCCTTGGTAGCATATCATCAGCCTGTCTTTTCATCCTCCAGCAACTCACCTTTCTTATCAGTTATCTTTAGTTGTTTCATTTCTCTTTGTCCAAACAGGGATTGTTTTCCTATTTCTGCACACAGACAGGGACAGTTGTATCTCCAGCTTTCTTTATGCATATCCTATGTATCATTAGAGATTCTGCCTTAAATTCTCTTCCCTCCTGAAAGCTTTCCTTTATACTGCCTCACTCTAGAGCAAATCCTTCATCCTTTGACCATTGCTAAAAATGTTATTTGCTGCTGGGTGGGCAATAAATAATAATATATTCAAAATGATTGGTAATTTCCAGTGGTCTTTTTTTTTTTTTTTTTTTTTTGAGACAGTCTCCCTCTGTCGCCCAGGCTAGAGTGCAGTGGCACAATCTTGACTCACTACAACCTCTGCCTCCTGGGTTCAAACAATTCTCCTGCCTCAGCCTCCCAAGTAGCTGGGATTACAGGCGTGCACCATCATGCCCGGCTAATTTTTGTATTTTTCAGAGAGACAGGATTTCACTATGTTGGCGAGGGTGGTCTTGAATTCCTGACCTCAAGTGATCCACCTGCCTTGGCCTCCCAAAGTGCTGGGATTACAGGCATGAATCACCGTACTCAGCCCCCTCTGGTGTAGTTTTAATCATCGTTAAAACCTTTATATCTATCACATATTAAGAAGTCAATCAGTGTTCGATTTTATCATTTTTACTCTAGGATCCATGGGAGAAGAGCCATGCCATGTTATTCTGTTTACTCTGAACAAGGATATATTTAATAATGACTTTAGATTTTCTCAATTGTAGATCAAGTAGTTAGCTGCATTCAAAAAATGAAATTAAAAGTGATTAGAGTAGAAGGAAGGGAAGGTGCACTTACAGAATATAAGTTCTGCAGAGTTGTCAATGTACTGAAAGCTTACATGCAGCCTGAAAATGTATTCTAGACACCTAGGGAGTGGTAGATATTTCTGTGATGACCAGATATCAAGGCTGTATTGTGGGTATGATCTGTTTAAGTAACAATGTAGATACTCAGTTCTAAGGAATCCCTTTGTGATGGAAGGAAAGGAAGACTTAGTTGGGGGTTAGTCATACATATGCTAATTATACCATAAAAGTATGTATATATGTAGTTATACTAACACATTTTTTCAAAGTTACTTTGGTTCTTTTGCTGCTTTAAAGAATTAAATTTCCTCCTTTTCTCATTTCAGTTCTTCTCGGTGTCCAAATGGGGATTATTGTTCCAATAGACGGTTTCAGAGAAAACAGCATGCAGATGTGGAAGTCATACTCACAGAAAAGAAAGGCTGGGGCTTGAGAGCTGCCAAAGACCTTCCTTCGTAAGTTCTTTTTTAATTACCTTTCACTTCCTTTTTTGAGACAAGGTCTCACTCTTTCACCCAGACTGGAGTGCAGTGGCACGATCTTGGCTCACTGGAACCTCTACCTCCCGGATTCAAGCAATTCTCCTGCCTTAGCCTCTCAAGTAGCTGGAACTACAGGCTCATGCCACCATGCCCAGCTAATTTTTTTTGTATTTTTTTGGTAGAGACGTTGTTTCACCATGTTGGCCAGGCTGGTTTCGAACTCTGACCGCAAGTTTTCCGCCCACCTTGGCATCCCAAAGTGCTGGGATTACAGGTGTGAGCCGTCGCGCCTGGGCTTCACTTCATTTTTGTGTTGTTGAACTTAGATGTTTTTGTAGGGAAACAATTTCTTTATTACACTGAGGTTTAATGATGATTATTATGTAGAATGACCACTTGGTAGCTAGTTTGTTGTTAAAAAATCTTTTTTTCTTTTTTGGTAATTATGTTTTCTTTAATTCCAAGCAACTACCAAGTGTTTACTGTGGACCCCCAGAATCTCTATGAAGCTATATAAAAAGAAGTTGGGACAGAATCCATTAGTATACATAAAATTGAGTTGGGATAAGAGTAGAAGAGAAGGCCAGGTGCAGTGGCTCATGCTTGTAATCTCAGCGCTATGGGAAGCTAAGTGGGAGGACTGCTTGAGCCTGGGAGTTCAAGGTTACAGTGAGCTGTGATCACGCCACTGCATTCTAGCCTGGATGGCAGTGATCTCTTGTCTCTTAAAGAAAAAAAAAAAGAGTAGAAGAGAATACCTGAGCATATCAAGGTTAAGAATTAAAACATACTTGATAGATAATCATTAAACATTTCTTGAATGAATAAATGTTGCTTTCCATGTAACTGATGTAAGTTTTTAATGTAATACAGCAAAAGGTTCACTTTATTTTCTACCATATTCAGTATTTCCTGGAAATGTTTAATTTTCTTATATATAGCATATTTAAAGTATTCTTGGCCGGGCATGGTGACTCATGCTTGTAATCCCAGCACTTTGGGAAGCCAAGGTGAGTGGATCACCTGAAGTCGGGAGTTCGAGACCAGCCTGGCCAACATGGCGAAACCCCGTCTCTACTAAAAATACAAAAATTAGATGGGTGTGGTGGCGCACGCCTATAATCCCAGCTACCTGGGAGGCTGAGGTAGGAGAATCGCTTGAACTTGGGAGGTGGAGGTTGCAGTGAGCCGAGATCATGCCACTGCCCTCTAGCCTGGGAGACAGAGCAAGACTCCATCTCGAAAACAAACAAAAAACCCAAAATTACGCTGGACGTGGTGGTTCACGCCTGTAATCCCAGCACTTTGGGAGGCCGAGGTGGGCAGATCACCTGAGGTCAGGAGTTCAAGACCAGCCTGGCCAATGTGGTGAAACCCTGTCACTACTAAAAATACAAAAATTAGCTGGATGTGGTGGCAGGCACCAATAATCCCAGTTACTTGAGGGGCTGAGGCAGGAGAATCTCTTGAACCGGGGAAGCGAAGGTTGCAGTGAGCCGAGATTGCGCCATTGTACTCCATCCTGGGTGACAAGAGTGAAACTCTGTCTCAAAAAACAAAACAAAAATTAGCCAGGCATGATGGCGCACAGCTGTAATCCCAGCTACTCGGGAGGCTGAGGCAGAAGAATTTGCTTGAACCCACGAGGAGGAGGTTGCAGTGAGCCGAGATCATGGCACTGCATTCCAGCCTGGGGGACAGAGCGAGACTGTCTCCAAAAAAAAAAAAAAAAAGTATTCTTAATGAAGGTCAAGTGCCTCTTTGAAGTTAAATATAAACAGATTACATGTGTTTATGGTTGAAACATTTAAAAAATATATAAAAGAAAAAATGGAAGGAAATAAAACATTTGCTGGATTCTAGTAACTTAGACATAACTATTCTTTCAGAACCCTCTGAGCATATGGCCACAGTTGGATGGGAGTTGGAGTTGGGGCAGGACTTGGTGGGGTTTAATCTGTTTATTGTGGGAATTCAAAACACAGGTAATAAAGACAATAATTTTTTTTTCTCACTGTTTTCCCCTTGGCAATAATTTAGTTTTATGACAGGAATCCTCATATATCTTTTGATAAGCAAATTGTTCTTTTTTTTTTTTTCCTTTGAAGATAAGAAATGATGTTGATATTAATCTATCCTTTTGGGAACCAATCAGAAAGCAACATGTTTTGTTACACAAAAAGGGGGCTAGTAGGAACCTCATAGATTTCTCTTCTCCTCTAAGTTTTGTAAAAACACACCCTGGCTCATAACTGGTTTTTATTGTTTTTTATTTTTTTGAGACAGGGTCTTGCCCTGTCACCCTCGCTGGAGTATCCTGGCGCAATCATAGCTCACTGCAGTGTCGACCTCCCAGGCTCAATTTATCCTCCTGCCTCAGCCTTCTGAGTAGCTGAGACTATAAGTGTGAGCCAGTATGCCCAGCTACTTTATTTTTCTATTTTTTGTAGAGATGGGGTCCTCACTATGTTGCCTAGGCTTCTCATAACTGGTTTTTAATTGTTTATTTGAAGCAAATATCCCACAGAATTGTCATATGCCCCATATCCATTCATTGGATTCTTTATAATATTTTAAACAAATAATTGGTTACACTTCCTTTGAACACTGTTGATACAGAACTCAATACCTCTCAAAGCAGCCCATTGAATTTCCAAAATCACTAGTTCTAGTCCAGACGCACATTTTCAAAGATGCCTTCTTTCATTCTGCCCTAGCCAGCCAGGCCTTCTTGAGATTTTTTTTTTTTTTTTTTTTTTTTTTTTTTTTAAAGGAACCACAGTTTGGACACAAGCCTCTCTTACAGGGACAATAGTGGATGAGCTGTCTGGATGCTGGTCTTTTGTGGTATCTGCAGTAAAACACATAGCTTCAAACCTGATCTAAATTCTGTTACTTGCAACAGACACTCTTTGATAGCTCAGTGCTCTTCTCATATTAAGGGGAAAGGAGACTGGGGAAGGGAGGAAAGGATATATGGCTCCAGTTTATAAGCCAGGTTAAAATTTCCTAAAGCTCTTCCGTTTTCTTCAGCTATTCACAGAGAACCCTGCTTTGGTAAAATATACTAGGACTTAATGTTTCCATGTTTCCCATACCTTCCTACTCCTATAACTGCCACATGATGATGTGTAATACCAATAGTTTATGAATTTCATAAACTAGTCAAAACTCTTGCGTTGTTTACTGGTAGAGTATTACCATTTAATAAGGACAGATTGTCAGAGCTACACAGGATGAGAAATTATTTGGAGCTAAGTTACTAGTTAGTGTTAAAGTGCCATGGCAGACCCCACCAAAAAAGCAGGTTATTACCAAAACCCCTGTAGTTTTAGGAAATCTCCCAGTTGTAGGAAGAGAAGGCAGTCCAGGTTGACTTAATGTAATTGGATACCAGATAGGGTTTTAATTGAGGTAAAATTCACATAATATAATATTGACCATTTTAAAGTTTACAATTCAGTACCATTTAGTGCATTCATAATCTTGTGCAACTGCCACTTTTGTCTGTGTCCAAAACATTTTCATCATCTGAAAAGGGAACTAACTCTGCCTGTTAAGCAGAATCTTCTCATACCTGCCTCCTCCCAGGCCTGGCAGCCACTAATTTGCTGTCTGTTTCTGTGGGTTGATCTATTCTCGGTATTTCGTATAAATGAAATTATACAATATGTGGCCTTTTGTGTCTGGCTTCTTTCACTTAGCATTATGTTTTTGAGGTTTCATCTGTATTGCAGCATGTGTCAGCACTTAATTCCTATTTATGGCTGAATAATACTCTCTTGTATGGGTATACGATATTTTGTATATCCTTTTGTTAGTTGATGGACATTTGGGCAAATGAGGCTTTTTTTTTTTTTTTTGAGATGGAGTCTTGCTCTGTCACTCAGGCTGGAGCACAGTGGCACGATCACGGCTCACTGCAACCTCTGCTTCCCGGGTTCAAGTGATTCTCCTGCCTCAGCCTCCTGAGTAGCTGGGATTACAGGTGTGCGCCACCATGCCCAGCTAATTTTTCTATTTTTAGTAGAGAGGGGGTTTCACCATGTTGGCCCAGCTGGTCTCGAACTCCTGACTACAGGTGATCCGCCTGGCTTGGCTTCCCAAAGTGCTGTAATTACAGGGGTAAGCCACCGTGGCTGGCCGAAATGAGGCTTTTTTAGAAGCCATCTTTCCCCTCCACATTTTTTTGTTGTTTTCCGACACAGGGTCTCACTGTGTTGCCCAGGCTTGAATGCAGTGGCGCGATCACAGCTTACTGCTGCCTCAACCTCCTGGGCTCAGGTGATCCCCCAACCTTAGCCTCCTCAGTAGCTGGGACTACAGGTGTACACTACCATACTCTGCTAATTTTTTTGTATTTTTAGTAGAGACAGGGTTTTGCCGTGTTGCCCAGGTTGGTCTCGAACTCCTAAGCTCCAGTGATCCTCTCACCTTGGCTTTCCAAAGTTCTGGTATTACAGGCGTGAGCCACCACCCCTGGCCCGTTTTATTAATAAAAAGTTTCAAACTTACAGAAAAGTTGAAAGAGTTGAACAGTTAGTGTCCATGTAAGCACCACTTAGGTTTTATAGTTATTAACATTTTGTTCTGTTTGCTTTATTTTACATTCTCTGTCTGCCCGTCTCTTTTTTATCTATCAGTCTTTTTTTGATGAAGCTTAAAGGGAGTTGCAGACGTTACCCTTAACCCCTAAACCTTCCATAGCTTTGCAGTGACAGTGACAATTTCTGTCCCCACCCACCTGCCATAGTAGAGCCCTGTTGCCCTGAACAGGCTTTAAGGAGAAGGAGTTCAATGAAGTGACCCTATTCAGCCAGGAGCAAATTTCAGGCTTAGAAAAAGATTAATAAGAATCATAAGAATCACACTTCTCATTGCCTTTGCCTTCATGGGATTTAGTCACTGCATGCCAGGCAATATGATGTTTTCTGCTTTGTTTTTGTTTTTATTTTGGTTTTTAATTGAGACACGTAGCTTCTCTAAGAAACCTAAATCTTAGAGTTTTAAGGACTGCATGATAGACTTTTACACTGGCCTCATTTAGTTTTTTGGAGGTCAGGCAGCTGGAGGGTCTAGCCACTCTTCCTACATTCCCCAAATTCCTGAGGACTTTGAGATGCTTCTCTCAGCTGCTTCCTCAAGCTCAAACTGTTAGATCCATGTGTGTTGGTATATCCTTCCAACTTCCTGATGTGGGGTCTCTACTCTGAGTGATTTACTGGCTGGTCAGGCTCTGATATTTAAGAACTTTTTCTAAATAAGGTGATTTGAGAGTAATATCATTAGAATTGAATATTTTAGTAAAATTCAAGAAAGCATCTTTATAATATAATGAGGTAAATAGTTATTTAGGTGGAGTTTGAATCCCAGGCTGTAATTGAGCTTTATGAAGTTGGATAGATCACCTACATTATCCAAACTCTGTCTTATTTGTCAAATGGGCATAATATCGATGCCAGATGACATCAATATGCTTTATTTTTATTTTTCATACTACCTTTCAAAAGCAGGTAATCAAGCCTTAAATGAGTAAGTTTAGGGAAGATAGATTTTTGGCAGAAGAGGGATTGGAAATATTTTTTATGTGTGCAGTTCCAGATCCTGGATAATATATGTTTTGTAGTCACCACATTTAATTCACAAGGCAGTCCATGATGTCATTTTTCTTTTTCTCTCTTTTTTAAGTTTTTAAAAAATGTTTTAAAACATTTTTTAAAATTTATTTATTTTGGTAGAGACGGGATTTCACCATGTTGCCCAGCTGGTCGGAAACTCCCAGGCTTAAGTGATCTACCCACCTCGGCCTCCCAAAGTGCTGGAATTACAGACTTGAGCCACTGTGCCCAGCTTTTTTTTCTTTTTTAATGCAATGGGGTCTTGCTCTGTCACCTAGCCTGGAGTGCAGTAATGTGATTGTAGCTCATTGTAGATTCAAACTCAGGGCTCAAGCAATTCTCCTGCCCCAGGCTTTCAACTGGTGTAGTGGACTATAGGCACATAATACCATGGCCGGCTAATTTTTTAATTTTTTATTGTTTGTCAAGATGAGGTCTTCCTGTGTTTTTCAGGCTGGTCTTGAACTCCTGGGCCAAAGCAATCCTGCCACCCCCCCCCCACCCCCCCCCGCCACCCAAAGTGACTTTTCTTTTTCTTGAGGGAGGGCACTAATCCTGGAAGTGGAGAGTCCAACATTGTAGGACCTCAAATTTTGTCATCATTTTAAATTATTTGCAAGATGATAAGCTTCTGGGGTTAGAAAGGACATTTCAAATATTGGTTATAGAGGTAATAATTTGACTTTCTAGGTTTACCCATGAATAATCAGATTTTTATTATTGAGACCTAAATGTGTTTGTGATGGACTACTATATAAATATATATATACATCCACTATAAACTTCTCCAATCCTGTTTTTGAGCTCTGCTTTTTAATATATGTGTTCTTTTCTCATTTGTTTTTAATTGCTTTATTTTTTAAAGTAAAAGGATTTAATTTTTTTCAGTTGGCGAAGTTAACTCCTTTAATAAGTACATTGATTATGCCAGTATGTTGTAAACAAATACAAAAGATTTACATTAAAAAAATTTCTTTCATTAGAATTAGGGTATGTTTATTTTGAGGGGATAAGAAAAGACTTTCAGGCAGGCCATTTTATGTCAGAACTTCAGAGTAAAACATAGTATAACATTTGTCTACATAGAACTAATAGTTGAAGTCATTGGTTAGAATGAGCTTTTAGAGAATTAAGAGAAGGGGAAAAGACTGATAATTTAATATCTTCAGTTCAGAATAAATAGGTAAATAATCAAGAAAAGAACATTCAAAGATAAAGGGTAACTGAAAGATGCCAAAGAAGAAGATAAATAACAATTACTGATAACATTCTAAAGAGACGTCAAAGAGAATGTCATTACATAAAGGGAATTAGATTTGATCTTTAACATTTTTAGAGACCTTTGAGAGTAAAGACAGCAGAAGGGCTGCTATATTTAAGTTGCCTTCTTCTTTTTCTTTTTCCTTTTTTTTTTTTTTTGAGACGGAGTCTCACTCTCTTGCCCAGGCTGGAGTGCAGTGGCGCGATCTCGGCTCACTGCAACTTCTGCCTCCCAGGTTCAAGCAATTCTCCTGTCTCAGCCTCCCAAGTAGCTGGGACTACAGGTGCATGCCACCACACCTGGCTAATTTTTGTATTTTTAGTAGAGATGGGGTTTCACCATATTGGTCAGGCTGGTCTCGAACTTGTGACCTCAGGTGATCCACCCGCCTCTACCTCCCAAAGTGCTGGGATTATAGGCATGAGCCTCTGCGCCCGGCTGCCTTTTTTTTTTTTTTTTTTTTTTTTTTTTTTTTTAGAGCAAAAATCCTCTAACTTTTCAGTGTCTCTTGATTTCTTCAGAGCTGTTTTCCAGCTGTTAATAACTTTTTTTGATATTGTAAGCCAGACTTGAATGATTTAGTATCTAGTTAAAGGATATATATTTTGGTAGTAGGTATAAATTATAAAAGCATCTTAGAATCAACATTCTTTGAAAAGTACTGTGAAGGAGAAAAGTAACCTTGGTTAGAAGCTAGATACTTGACATGTGTTTGAAATTTATTTTGTGTAATAACTGAATTTATCCACATTGCAGTATTTATTTAAATTCCTTATTTTTGCCTGAGCATATATGTTTTCCCTACTGCTCCTAGGTAGGAAGTGCTATTTTTTTCCTTTTGGTTTGCAGGAACACCTTTGTCCTAGAATATTGTGGAGAGGTACTCGATCATAAAGAGTTTAAAGCTCGAGTGAAGGAGTATGCACGAAACAAAAACATCCATTACTATTTCATGGCCCTGAAGAATGATGAGGTAAGCAGCTTGGATATGTTTGCCTTGAAACAGATCTGTTAGGTTTGAAGGAGCCATTGATACTGATTTGATTTTTTTTTTTTTTTTTTTTTTGGAGACGGAGTCTCGCTCTATCGCCCAGGCTGGAGTGCAGTGGCAAGATCTCGGCTCACTGCAACCCCTGCCTCCTGGGTTCAAGAGATTCTCCTGCCTCAGCTTCCTGAGTAGCTGGGATTACAGGCGCCCGCCACCACGCCTTGCTAATTTTTGTATTTTTAGTAGAGACGGGGTTTCACCACGTTGGCCAGGCTGGTCTCGATCTCCTGACCTCACCAAAGCATTGAGATTACAGGCATGAGCCACCGTGTCCTGCCGACTGATTTCTAAAATATATTAAGCGACAAAAATGAGGGGCAGAGCAGTATAAATAGCGTCTATTTGTTTTCAAAAAGCGTGGAAGTTACTGTTGCATGACAAGGTAGAAAATAAAAACATGGAAGAGAGAGGAATTTACATATATATATGTAAAGATAAACGTAGTGTGTTTTAGATTACAACTCTTAGAAATTATTGATGACCCCCAGAGTGCCTTTTTTTTTTTTTTTTTAGAGATAGTGTCTTGCTATATTACCTGGGCTGGAGTGCAGTGGTGCCATCTTGGCTCATTGCAACCTCTGCCTCCCGGGTTCAAGCGATTCTTGTGCCTCAGTCTTCTGAGTAGCTGGGACTACAGGCACACACCATCATGCCCAGCTAATTTTTGTATTTTTAGTAGAGACGGGGTTTTGCCATGTTGGCCAGGCTGGTCTTGAACTCCTGGCCTCAAGCAATCCATGTGCCTCAGCCTCCCAAAGTACTGGTATTATAGGTGTGAGCCACCGTGCCTGGCCCCAAAGTGCTTTTGCTTATATAGGTTATGTGGGTTATAATTACTTATACTTAATCATATTAAAAATCACAACTGAGAAATTTAGAATGTCTGTTTAAAACCACATTAGGGCCAAGTGGGAGAATCATTTGAAGCCAAAGGAGGCCAGCCTGGGCAACATAGTGAGACCTCATCTCTACAAAAACAAAAAAAAATTAACCGGGCATGGTTTTGCATGCATCTAGTTACAGCTGCTCCAAGGGCTCAGACCGAAGGCTAAAACAGAGAATCACTTGAGTGTTGGCCCAGATTGGCCTCCCAGAGCGTTGGGATTACAGGCATGAACCACTACACCCAGCCCATCTTGGTCTTTATTTAGAAGTTTGTTGATGTTTTGTGGCCAGAAATCTGCCATAGGAACTTAACTATTGTTTAGTATCAGTTAGCCTATGGTAAAATTGGTTTCCTTGTATGTTGTTTTGCTTTTGTAAGTTGCAGTTTCAAAGAACCTGTTGATGACTTTAAGTGAGGACTTAACTGTAACAATAGTAAGCCCATTACTTATTGATAAAAATAACATGGTATTATGAAAAATAACTTTTTTTTTTTTGAGTCAGGGTCTTGCTCTGTTGCCCAGCCTGGGGTGCAGTGGCATGATGATAGCTTACAGCAGCCTTGAACTGCTGGGCTCAAGCAGTCCTCCCACCTCAGTCTCCTGAGGTGCTGGAACTACAGGCACATGCCACCATGCCTGGCTTATTTTTAAATTTTTTGTAGAGACAGGGTCTTGCTGTGTTGCCCAGGCTGGTCTCACTTCTGACCTGAAGCAATCCTCCTGCCTCAACTTCCCAAAGCACTGGGATTACAGACATAAACCACTGTGCCTGGCCTTGGAAAATGATTATTTAAATTTTTTTTTTTTTTTTAGTGAAAAGAGTTGCATCGCTTTACATTTTTATAAATCTCTTTAATGTCTGGCTTAATAAAATTCAGTTCAATTCTCATATATCTGCCTCTGTATTCAGTGTGGAAATGTAAATTCTAGGGACCTAACCCCAGAGCTGTTTAGTTTAACCCTAGGGATGGGTTCAGCAAGTTTTAACAAACTCTCCATGGGATTTGGATACACACTCAAGGTTGAGACCTATGGCATTGTGACATAGCCCACACTTTAAAGTGAAGTATTATACCATGCAGTGAGATTAGGATGTAATAGAATATAAGAAATGGCTAAGGATAAATGGGAGAGACACTGATAAAGATAATTTTGCCTATGGGCAAAAGTTAATAATTAGCAGATCTTCCAAAAGCATCAGTTAGGTATTTGTTGCTTTGAAGTGGGAAGCAGTGTGACAGTTCTCTGAAGCAAGGGCAAAGTGGGGATAAGGGAGTGTGTGTGTGTGTGCGTGCGTGTGCATTGCATGTATCTTACATTTGTCTTAATGCTTTTCCTTTGTAAAATGTGTAAATTTTTTTTGATTGGGTTAATTTAATTCACAGTGTCATCTGTCTTCAGTTAGAAATAATGGAAACTGAGCCATTGTTTACAGTGGAAAAACTTTGAAGCTGGTAGTCAGGAGGCCTCACTGCCCTACCTTAACTGGTTAGGTTTCGCAGCACAATCTTTTTTTTAATTGATGCATAAGAGATGTATGTAGTTTTGCAGGTAATTGCATGAATATTTAAGGTATTATTTTTTAATTCTTAAATGATCCTCTTCTCCCAGATAATAGATGCCACTCAAAAAGGAAATTGCTCTCGTTTCATGAATCACAGCTGTGAACCAAATTGTGAAACCCAAAAAGTAAGTTGAGGTGGATTTAGAGTTTGAGGTATTTGTTCACGATTGCTGTTCTGACCATTAATTTTAGATCCCATATCTAAGGTACTCATGAATTTTTTAGTCCCTTTTTCCTATTCTACTTTATTATTTAAGATTTTATTTGGAAATAGGTTTAGATTTATAGGAATGTTAGAAAAATAGTATTGACTACACCCATATATCAGTCTTCACCTAGCTTTCCCCATGTTAACATCATATATAACCATAATAAAAGGATCAGATCCAGAGAATGCTATTAAGTAATATGAAGACCGTATTCCAATTTTGACAGCTGTTGTTTTTCTGGTCCAAGATCCAATCCAGGAACTCACATTGCATTTAGTTGTCACCTCTCCTTCCTTGCCCATAATTATTTTGTATATTATTTTAATGGTGCCAAAATACAAAACTAAATTTTAATTTTGAAAGTTCAGTGTGTATTTGGATTCTTTATTAGGTCTTATCTAGGTGCAACATTTGACTTTTAATAACACTGATGAGGGACTGAAGGACTAACATTGAGAGGGATTGTATCTTTTTTTTTTTTTTTTTTTTGCCCAGGCTGGAGCGCAGTGACATGATCTCGGCTCACTGCAACCTCCGCCTCCTGGATTCATGCGATTCTCCTGCCTCAGCCTCCCAAGTAGCTGGGATTACACGTGCGTGCCATCACGTCCAGCTAATTTTTTTAGTATTTTTAGTAGAGACGGGGTTTTGCCATGTTGGCCAGGCTGGTCTCGAACTCCTGGCCTCAAGCGATCCACCCCCGTCAGCCTCCCAAAGTGCTAAGATTATAGGCGTGAGCCTCCGCACCCAGCTGGGATTGTAACTTTTTAAGGTTAAAGCTATGAACCCGCTCTGCAAATGTATATCATTGATTTCCTCTCATGTTGAAATAGCACTTTTGAGTCTGGATATTTTTTGCCCTTTGAACTATACACTAATAGATTTTATGCATGGCTCTTCCAAGAGCCAAGTTGTATAACAAAAAGGAGAACCTACTGTGGAATCATTCAACCTAGGTTTTGGTTATAGTTCTGCCAGAGCTGGTGGCCACATGTCTAGCTGTGAGACTCTCACTGTACAGTGTCCCTTAATCTCTGCAAGTCCAGAGTTTTCATTAGTAACATGTGCAAATTGTCTGGATCAGAGCTCCTCAGTCCTTGACTTGCTTACATGTTTTGGAACTAAAAGATCTGCCTAACATGTATCTGCCCCCATTTTAATTCTTGAGTCTTATGCATCTGTTCTGATGTCCCTTTCACTATACTCAGCCAGATGACCACCACTTCATGGAATTAAACTTTTGGGATCAGTGTTTCCTAGTTTCTATATCTCATCTTATCTTACAACATGGTTACTTTTAACATATGTTAATATAGACTTGCCTTTGATACTCAGTGACACAAGCATCCTCTGTTTGCCAATTTTTAGTACAAGTGAATCTTTACTGTATGGAAATGTTAAGATAAATTAAAATAGCAGTTACTTTTTTTTCTTTTTTTTAGCAGTTACTTTTATTAGAGACGAATTAGAGATATATGCAATCTGGTAGTCCATTAAATGAGAGTTACACTTAAATATTTTAGTTCTTTTAAAGAAAAAAGTCTCCATGTGCTATTTGGGAAAACCTTCATTGCCTAAAGACCCACTTGCATAATTAAGGCAGATGATGATGATCTTTATATATGCGCACACACACACACACACACACACACACACACACACACTAATAAGTTACTAATTTCTTTTGTTTTCAAACATCATCTCAGTGGACTGTGAACGGACAACTGAGGGTTGGGTTTTTTACCACCAAACTGGTTCCTTCAGGCTCAGAGTTAACGTTTGACTATCAGTTCCAGAGATATGGGTAAGTATTGTTTCTACTAATTTTGCTGCTTCTGATGGGGAAATAGGCTGTTCAGATATAAGGATATAAAACTTTAATATAAATTACTTAAAAGTTATATTTACTCTTAACTCTTATCTATAAGATATTGTTTTGGTTTTGTGTGTTTTTCTACTGTATGACACTTCTGACCCTTAAGGGATGTTGTACAGGAACTGTATAATTTTCTCCTCAACTTCATATGGTCTACTTGTATAATTATATTTCTTATGTAATTCTGAAAAACTTTAGACATGCCAACTCTTTTTGTGTCTGAAGAGAATAGTACAGTATTATAAATTCCTCTGTATCCGTTATTCAGCATTAACAGTTAGCATAACTCATAACCAGTCTATTTCATCTGTACCATTTTGTACTCTTAAATATAATTGGTTACCTAGTTCTTTTTTTTTTTTTTTTTTTTTTTTTTGAGATGGACTCTTGCTCTGTCGCCCAGGCTAGAGTGCAGTGGCGTGATCTTGGCTCACTGCAAGCTCCGCCTCCCAGGTTCATGCCGTTCTCCTGCCTCAGCCTCCTGAGCAGCTGGTACTACAGGCGCCCGCCACCACGCCCAGCTAATTTTTTGTATTTTTAGTAGAGACAGGGTTTCACCGTGTTAGCCAGGATGGTCTTGATCTCCTGACCTTGTGATCCGCCCGCCTCTGCCTCCCAAAGTGCTGGGATTACAGGCTTGAGCCACTGCGCCCGGCCTGGTTACCTAGTTCTGTTTCCTAAAAACAGTAACCGATGCAATAGCAAAGACTGCCTAAGCAAAAAGTGTGAGAGTTCTTATTAACACTGAAGCATTAATAAAGATACTGAGGAGGTTTGAAGCACATTATGTAAAATCCCTGTGTTCTAATGACTACTTAAAAATAAAACTACAGGCTGGTTGCAGTGGGTCACGCCTGTAATCTCAGCATTTTGGGAGGCTGAGGCGGGCAGATCATGAGGTCAGGAGTTTGAGCCTGGCCAACATGGTGAAACCCCGTCCATACTAAAAATATAAAAATTAGCTGGGCGTGGTGGCGCACGCCTGTAATCCCAGCTACTCTGGAGGCTGAGGCAGGAGAATAGCTTGAACCTGGGAGGCGGAGGTTGCAGTGAGCTGAAATCGTGCTGTTGCACTCCAGCCTGGGTGACAGAGGGACTCCATCTAAAAAAAATAAAAAGCAAACGAACAAAAAACTACGCCTGGGAGGCTGGGTGCGGTGGCTCATGCCTGTAATCTCAGCACTTTGAGAGGCCAAGGTGGGCAGATCACGAGGTCAAGAGTTCGAGATCAGCCTGGTCACATGGTGAAACCCCGTCTCTACTAAGAATACAAAAAATAGCCAGGTGGGGTGGCACATGCCTGTAATCCTAGCTACTCCGGAGGCTGAGGCAGGAGAATCACTTGAGATCGTGCTACTGCACTCCAGCCTGGGCACAGAGAAAGACTCTGTCTCGAAAAAAACAAAACAAAAACAAAAAAGCAAAAAAAAAAAAAGGTATATTAGTCAACCAATTCATGACTTTGAAGACTAGTTTAAAAATAAAAAAGGAAAAAAATTAAGCATTTAAACATTTATTCTGCCTTTCTCAAGTGACTTCTGCTTTAGGTTAAACCAAATAGTTGATGAGAAGAAGTTTTTCTTTGTACAAGTCTTCCAGTTAATAAATGTAGTAGTAGGTGAGTGGTGCATGCTTATAGTCCCAGCTACTCAGGAGGGTGAGGTGGGAGGATCACTTGAGCCTAGGACATTGAGGCTGCAGGGAGGCATGACCTTGCTACTACAGTCCAGCCTGGGCCATAGCACAAGACCCTGTCTCAGAAAACAAAAAGATAAAACTAAATTAAGTAGTAAAAATATCACCATTTTGCAACACTTAGTAAGGTATGGGTCCTAAACAGTGGTCATTAGTGGCCGCTAATATCAGAAAAAGACAACTAATGTGTGCCTCATAATGAAAGAACACAACATTACCCGTGAAACAGTCTATCTTCTTTGGGTCTTTAGGACCAGTGACCTATGCAAGATACTTTCTGATTATTAAGAAACCAGTACAATTAAAATATTGGAAAATTTAAGTAAGATACAAAACCCTAAAAGTTTTTATTTTATTTTTTTCAGATTATACCTATATCAATTAGTAGCTTTTGGTGTTTATGCTAGAAAAGCACACAGCTGCAGAGTTTCCTGAATATTTTAATTCTTTTAATGCTACCATATGATGAGGTTTTAATTCCTGTACTCTGTTCAGTCTGGTGACAGTTACCAGACTTCTGGCAATGAAGGTCTTTTACATACTCCTTCACATTGTTTCATACATGCTTCATGTCTTAAACATAGTGAACTCTGAAACTGATGATCTGATTATAATCTAGGACAAATGCCAGATGGTTGTTTCCGATTCTGTCTGCTTCTCTTGTCAGATATTCAGGGCATGAATGCAGACCAGGTTCTGTGTCGGGCTCCATTTTTTTGCCTCTGTGCTTGTATTGTCCTCTCTGAGGGAAAGAAAAGTGGAAATCAAGTGCTGTTTGGGAATTCCTGCTCTACTTATTGAACAATTTATTTTTATCCCTCTAATTGCCACTATCATATCCTAAGTCCACCAGTTTACTATTAGAATACTCAATTATTATTATTATTATTTTTTTGAGACAGAGTCTTACTCTGTCACCCAGGCTGGAGTGCGGTGGTGCAATCTCGGCTCACTGCAACCTCTGCCTCCTGGATTCAAACAATTCTCATGCCTCAGCCTCTTGAGTAGCTGGGATTACAGGTGTGTGCCACCATGCCCAGCTAATTTTTGTATTTTTAATAGAAATGGGGTTTCACCATGTTGGCCAGGCTGGTCTCAAACTCCTGGCCTCCCAAAGTGCTGACATTACAGTCGTGAGCCACTGTGCCCAGCCAGTCTTTTAATAATCAAATGTTTCCTTTTAAGTATCCTGTATTAATCATTTTATGTCTGCTTATACTAATGCATGTTTGTTTGTTCTATGTGCCAATTAAACATTTACATATAAGTAATAGTTCTCTGAACTATTTAAGCAATTTTATTCTTAATCCAAACATGTATATGATCTCTTATTTTCATATTACTAGGTATTCTCATAAAATGGAAGAATTGTTTATTTCTTGGCTAGTTTTGTCTCCCAAAGAAAGATGATTGGAAAAATAATGAATATTTTTAAAGAGCAGTTTTCAGACATTTCTATTAGTAATAGCAGACTTGTTGGAATCTCTTCAAGTTATGGTTTTTGTTTGTTTGATTTTGTTTAGACTGGTATGACTTTTGTGTGTATTGCCAACAGTTTTGTATGGTTTACTTCCACATAGCTGACTTCTTTCCTATGCTCTTTGAACAGAAAAGAAGCCCAGAAATGTTTCTGCGGATCAGCCAATTGCCGGGGTTACCTGGGAGGAGAAAACAGAGTCAGCATCAGAGCAGCAGGAGGGAAAATGAAGAAGGAACGATCTCGTAAGAAGGATTCAGTAAGTTTGCATTTTTCTTTCAACTTTCACAATAAAAAATTTAAAAAGCGAGGTGGCTTTTCTGATTGAAGGTTATAAAGTCATACTACTGCCACCAGAGAAATCCAAGATCAGATGAGTTGTTACCAGAAAAGAGATGCAATTGCTATTTTTATTTCAGATTCATAGAGATTGGAATTGGGTACTGAGAACTATTAAAGTATTATTGAAAACACCTGGACTAATAGTTTTTCAGATTCTTTAAAACTCCTAAGTACAAGTAAAACATATCTTTTCTCCCTGATAGCTCACTATGTCTGCTGTACGTTTCTAATCTCTTGTTATTGGTTTGTCTTTGTTTGGTACTCTAAACTTTGAGTGTTCTTCAAATCTCTGAAAATCCTCTTTTGAGTGTGAGAAAAGTTTTGAGAGGAAGTAGGTAACCTAAGACCAACAGGAGTAGTCACAGATGCTCTTTTTATTTAATGAAACAGCAGTTGATAGCCTCATTTTGTACCCTGTCTTGCCTGAGTTACTCCTGGGATGGGGATGGGATTGTTGGTGGGGAATATCCTGTTACTAAAGGGACTATCAATTGCAAAAAGGACTTTGTGTTTAAAAAAATATTCTCCTCCCTTTTTTGAGGATCCCTTTGCTAGAGCACTGTTTTTCAAAAATGTGATCCTTGGATCACTTTCTTTAGAACCAGCTGGCTGGATCCATAGTAAAAATGCACATTTTTGGGCTACTCTCTAGACCTGTGAATCTTAGTGGAAGGGCTGAGGGTTTACCGGTGTTAGTCAGCAAATTCCCCTGTGATTCTTTTGCAGTTAGCTCATTCCTGGACTTTTCAGGAACTTAATACTCATAAGAACTATAGATGACAGCAATTTTTCTGTTTAGATGGGGAGATAGAAAAAGACATGAGGGAGGTGATGAGAGTATAATGGTTAAAAGGTAACATCAATTGAGCACAAATTAATTTGAGGGAATTAAGTATTAAGAATCTGAATTCTGTAAGAAGATTCAGTTAAAAAAAGTTAAAAAAAGCATTGGAAAGGTCCGTTAAAAAAAGCAGAAAAGGACAGTTTATATAACAAACACCTGTATTTCCACCACCCAACATGAACAAATGCATTGGAATGTCATGTGTTCTTTAGCTCTTTCTTTCTCTCTCTCTCTTTTAAAAAATGTATATATTTTCAAATGGTTTGGCTTTGTTTTTTTTTGAGACAACGTCTCGCACTGTTCCACAGGCCAGAGTACAGTAGAGTGATCACAGCTCACTGCAGCCTTGAACTCCTGGCTCAAGTGATCCTCTCACCTTGGCCTCCCAAAGTGCTGGGATTACAGGCATGAGCCACAGTGCCCAGCCCCCCTTTTTTTTTTTTTTTTTTTTTTTTTGAGGCAAAATCTCATTCTGTTGCTTAGGCTGGAATTCAGTGATGCATTCATAGCTCACTGCAGCTTCAAACTCCTGGGCTCAAGTGATCCTCTCGCCTTGGCCTCCCAAAGTGCTGGGATTACAGGCATGAGCTACCACACCCAGCCTTCAGCCCTCTTTTTAGATAGCATATATAGTGTAACTTTATGCCAAGCACTTTTCTAAGCACTTGATGTATTAGCTCATTTAATTCTCACAATAAGCTCATAAATTAGGTAATGATCTTTCCTTTTTTACAGTTAAGAACACACTAAGGCACAGAGAGATTATAGTGTCACCCAAATAGGTGGTGGAAATAAGCTCCAATCCAGCATCTTGTCTCTGCTCTTAACCATTGTGTTAAACTACAGTTAAACTGTAGAGTGGAGTCCCCTCCTACCTTTGAGGCAACTATGGCCATAACAATAGATGTTTCTGCATTTTAGAACATATTGTTTTGTGTGGCATTTTAAAAGTTTTTAGAAATGGTAAAATATAGCTGGGCGTGGTGGCTCTTGCTTATAATCCCAGCACTTTGGGAGGCCAAGGCGGGAGGATAGCTTGAGCCCAGGAGTGCAAGACCATCCTAGGCAATATAGTGAGACCTCATCTCTATTAAAAAAGAAAAAGAAATGAGATAATATAGATGTATTTGTGTGCATTTTTTACTCTTATTTTTGAATTTGATCTGTATTCATATATGTAGATGAACATTTATTTCTAATTGCTGTAATTTTTTTCTTTTTTTTTCTCAACTTCTGCATGATGGTCATTTGAAAGTTTTTCTTTTTTTTTTTCATCATGTAACAGTTTATTGACATATTTTCCTACTGATGGATACTTATGTTTCCAATTTTTGCTATTAATTTCAAAGTTAGTATCTTTGCACATGTCTCTTTTGCACATGTTTCTTTAAGATTTATCTATGGAAGTGTAGTCACTGGGTCATACCTAGTCTGTTAGCTTTCTTCACTTGACTACCGGACATTTTTCTTTAAACTCCATTAGATTGCTTTTGTTGTTAACTCTTGTTTCATATAATTCATGGTTTACCAGAGCAACCACAAAGTAGTTATTAAACATGTTGACCTAAACTAGTATCTCCATAAAAACTTTCCAGGCCAGGCACGGTGGCTCACGCCTGTAATCTCAGCCCTTTGGGAGGCTGAGGCAGGCAGATCACGAGGTTAGGAGTTCAAGACCAGCCTGGCCAACATGGTGAAACCCTGTCTCTACTAAAAATACAAAAATTTGCTGGGCGTGGTGGCGGGTACCTGTAATCTCAGCTACTCCGGAGGCTGAGGCAGGAGAATTGCTTGAACCCAGGAGGCAGAGCTTGCAGTGAGCCGAGATGGCACCACTGCACTCCAGCCTAGGCTACAGAGCAAAACTCCATCTAAAAAAATAACAAAAAGAAAAACTTCCCAATGGCTGTTTCCTATTTTCAAAACTTACAGAATAAACACATTTTTAAAACTAATTTATTGATGAGAAGTGACCTTACTATGGATTAAGAGGTGGCATTATATCTGTATCATACCTCCATTAGGTGGCTTTTTACCTTTCTGAGAAGATTTAAGGATAACTCTGAAGAACTAAGGACTAGATATTTCTGTCATTGGTTGGTTGGTTGTATTCAGGTAATAGTGTGCCAATTTCAGGATAGGTCTTAGTGCCTTTGGACTGAATTAGATGTAACTTGTATCCAGTCATTCCATAGGCTACAGTCATCGGTTGCTCCAGATATGAATTTGAAGTTATTCCGGAACAATGATGTTTTATATGAAACTTTGCCCAGATAGAGGAATATCCCAGAATGAACCTAGGTTCCTAGAATGATGTGAAAGATCATTTGCCCTTGACTCTAATGCAGAGGTTAATTGTACTTTAATTTTACTTGGATTATCTGCTGCAGAAATTTCTTTTTTGCATGCCTGGATTCTGAGTTTTGGTCAGTTACAGTTGAGCAGAATCACAGAAGCAGAATCACAGAATTCAACTGTTTGAACTCACAAGGTTGAGCCTTGGGAATTTCTTGGGTAAAGGATGCCATGGAAAGGACAAGATAGCTAGCAGTTCAGAATGCAGTTTTGCATGTATAAACTGTTGACAAGAAGATGTTAATAATGATTGCACTATAATCCACATCCCTCATGTTACCCCTTGATTGCTAAACATTTTTTATCCTTGTTCTTATGATTGCATCTGTATACAGCTTCTTTCCTTAACCAAACTATAAGCTCTTCCAGGACAGGTGATTATCTTTGGCTATGTCACACACTGGGTACTTAAGTACTTACTTACTTGATGGAAGTATAATATGTCCCTACTATGACCTGATGTTATTTGTAGTTTATGGTACGAACAGAAAATAATCTGAAACTTCCCTTAGTCTCTATTGTTTGAGTTTTTGAAACAAATCAATAATAATTTATGTAATAAAGAGGGTGAAAACCCACCTGAGTGAGAAGAAATACTTAACTTTCAACTCATAACAAATGAATACTACTATCCAGAATATGCATAATGAGTGTAACTAGTATCCTATTAATAAGAAAAGAACAGCCAGCACAAAAGAAAAATAGACAACTTCCAGAGACACTTTACTAATTGAAATAGCCAATAAACGTGGAAAGCTGTTCAACTTTATTAGTAATTGGGGAGTGCAAATTAAAATTACTATTAGATGTTATTTACACTCTCACCAGATTGATAAAAATTAAGTTCCATGGTACATAAGAACAACAGATCTCATACACTGTTGGTGAGGGGTGTAAATGAGGGACAACCACTTTTGAAAATACTTTGACATTATTTACTGAAGTGAAAGAACATATACCATATGAGCCAGCAGTTCCTGGGTGTATAAGCAGAGAGGCTAGCTATAATGTATATCAGAAGTCACAACAGCATTGCTTATGATATCAGAAAAAGTAGAAATAACTCAAATATTTATTAACATAAGAATGGGCCAGGCGCAGTGGCTCATGCCTATAATCCCAGCACTTTGGGAGGCCGAGGTGGGCAGATCACCTGAGGTCAGGAGTTCGAGACCAGCCTGGCCAACATGATGAAACCCTGTCTCTACTAAAAATACAAAAATTAGCCAAGTGTAATGGTGGGTGCCTGTAATCTCAGCTACTTGGGAGGCTGAGGCAAGAGAATTGCTTGAACCCAGGAGATGGAGGTTGCAGTGAGCTGACATGATGCCACTGCACTCCTACCTGGGCGACAGAGTGAAGCTCAGTCTCAAAAAAAAAAAAAAAAAGGATGGATAAATTATAAAAGAAATAGTCATGAAAATAAACTGGCTGCATACAGTAACATGGATAACTCTTAAAATGTAAGGTTGAGTGAAAGAAGCATGACAAAATATTTTGTCCAGTATGATTTCATTTCCATAAAGATAGACAAAATTTTATATACCTATGTAACAAACCTGCATGTTCTTGCACATGTATCCCAGAACTTAAAGTAAAATTAAAGTAATTAGGGAGCAAGGACAAGAGTGAACCTTTCATTTCTAATAAAGTTAGCTTCCATCACTTAAAAAAAATTAATATTTAGGAATTTGCATATGGATAGTAAACCTATAAAGAAAATTGAAGACCTATTTCTTAAAATGTTAGGATAAGTTATCTCCAAAGCATAGGAAGGGTTGCTGTTATAACCAGGAAGGGGTAGGTACATGGGGCACTACAGGAATGCTAGCAGTATTCTGTTTTTTAAACTTACCTGGATGGTGGCTGTATGGGTGTTGCTCACCTGTTTATTAAACCTATTTACTAATTGTTTTTATATATTTCTGTCTATATGTGTATTCTGCATACTGTATGTTGTATTCCATCAAGAAGTATTTAAAATGCTACTTAGACCCCTTAGTGCCACAAATATTCAAGTATTAAAAAATAGTATCTTGCAATGATTAGGTACTTAATACATTTTCAAGTACTATAGAATTGTGCATATATATGCACTATATATAGTAAATATATACTATCTATAAATTACAGATAAATATATAATGTATAAATATATATTTAATATATATAAATTTTCAGTTTATCAATAATTTAAAAATACACCCTAATCATTCTTACATTTATGTTTACTTTTAGTTACTTACCTCATATTCTTGGATGATGTTGACCCATACATAAAATCTAAGACTTTTAATAAATGTAATTTAATTGAAAGGAAGGGAGACAAACTCAGTCTTCCCACCTCTGTCTCCCAGGTACCCTAAAAGTTATTGCACAATTGATTGCTATGCTTGAGCACCCAAAATTAGGGAAGCTGTATTATCACCACTGGAATTGGCATGCATTTATGTGTATGTGTGTTACAGTATAACCGCTGAGGAATGTTCAAGGGTTATTCATCTTTATTTTGTTTGCAAAACTTAATTTATACTGCAGTTTCTGCATTTTTACGGTTTATTTTTCTTTAGTTAGAACGTGATTTTCTTTATATCCTGGAAATGCCTTACACAATATCTATTCAATAAATGTTATTGAATGAATGTAAATAACATAATTTAGAGTTTTTAAACAGTCATAACATGCCTAATTTTAAAAAGAAAATACCTCTTTTTTTTTGTTTGTTTTTAAGAGAGTATTTTGCTCTGTCACCCAGGCTGGAGTGCTGTGGCATGATCTTAGCTCATTGCAACCTCCGCCTCCCAAGTTCAAGTGATTCTCCTGCCTCAGCCATCAGAGTAGCTGGGATTACAGATGTGCATCACCACACCTGGCTAATTTTTATTTTATTTTATTTATTTATTTATTTTTGAGACAGAGTCTTGCTCTGTCGCCCAGGCTAGAGTACAGTGGCACGATCTTGGCTCACTGTAACCTCCGCCTCCCGCGCTGAAGTGATTCTCCTGCCACAGCCTCCTGAGTAGCTGTGATTTTAGGCACCTGCCATCATGCCCGGCTAATTTTTGTATTTTTAGTAGAGACTGGGTTTCACCGTGTTGGCCAGGCTGGTCTTGAACTCCTGACCTTAGGTGATCCACCCACCTTGGCCTCCCAAAGTGCTGGGATTACAGGCGTGAGCCACCGTGCCTGGCCTAATTTTTGTATTTTTAGTAGAAATGGGGTTTTACCATGTTTGCCAGGCTGGTCCCGAACTCCTGGCCTCAGGTGATCTGTCCGCCTTGGCCTCTCAAGTGCTGGGATTACAGGTGTGAGCCACTGTGTCTGGCTGAAAATATCTCATTTTTTAGCCCTGTGAATATTTTCGTCTCAAAAATCTGTCAAAAGCAGTATTCTGGCTGTTACAGTTGAGGGGGAAAGTAGAATTTTAAAGCCCTTGAACTCATCTAATACCGTAGAATTTGGGACACAGGAAGGCTTACATTTAGGATATGCAAGGAAAAGATATCTTTAATGAAATTGTCTTTCTTGGATTAAGACAACTTTAAATTGGTTTTTCTGTTCATGTATTTACTCAAAAACTTAAGTGGTATTGGAAATGAAAAAGAATGAGCCTTAAATGTACATTTTAGAAAGAAAAATGGGTTTGAGTTTCTACAACCTCTCTCAGGCAGCACTTTATTTTTTCTCATTTATTCTTGTTCTTTACCAGAATGTGAATTTTTGGGTACAATATGAAATAAAAATGTTCAGTGCCTTGCCTGAAATTATATTAAGGGATAAATAGCTAGTTAAGTAAAAGAAAAAAGTAATAGAAAATTTTCTTAAGATTCTTTCCTTTTAGCTTGCTTTTCTCTGAATCATTTCATTCTAGACTTTCATCATTTCCTGCTAAGTTGTAATGTTACCTGTCTTCTCCTTAGTCTCTAGCTTATCTGAATTTTATTCTGTTATTGCCGCACAAATTATTATCAAGTTCCACTTTGGGCTGGGCGCAGTGGCTCACGGCTATAATCCTAGCACTTTGGGAGGCTGAGGCGGGCAGATCACAAGATCAGGAGATCGAGACCATCCTGGCTAACATGGTGAAACCCTGTCTCTACTAAAAATACAAAAAATTAGCTGGATATGGTGGCACGGGCCTGTAGTCCCAGCTAGTCAGGAGGCTGAGGCAGGAGAATCACTTGAACCTGGGAGGTGGAGGTTGCGGTGAGCTGAGATCCGCGCCACTGCACTCCAGTCTGGGCGACAGAGCGAAACTCCATCTCAAAAAAATAAAAAATAAAAAAATAATAATCCATTTTGATCATATATATTCCCTTGTTCAGGATTCTGTTCAGGTTTTATCAAATTCAAGTTATTTTATGTTAAATTGAGATCTTCTAATCTAACACCAGTCTTTTATTTGTTTGTTTGTTTGTTTGTTTTTGAGAAGGAGTCTCACTCTGTCGCTCAGGCTAGAGTACAGTGGCACAATCTTGGTTCACTGCAACCTCCACCTCGTGGGTTCAAGCTATT
This sequence comes from Homo sapiens, assembly GCF_000001405.40. NCBI lineage: Eukaryota > Metazoa > Chordata > Mammalia > Primates > Hominidae > Homo > Homo sapiens. The sequence goes on along the minus strand of NC_000003.12, from coordinate 47,090,157 downwards.
CTCCTGCCTCAGCCTCCCGATAGCTGGTACTACAGGCTCCCGCCACGATGCCCGGCTAATTTTTGTATTTTTATTAGAGACAGGGTTTCACCATGTTGGCCAGGCTCGTCTTGAACTCCTGACCTCAGGTGATCCGCCTGTCTTGGCCTTTCAGAGTTCTGGGATTGTAGACATGAGCCACTGCATCTGGCCCAGTCTTTTATTTGGTATGGTTTTTCTCAGTCCGTCACCATGCCTTACCTGTTTGAGCTTTGTTGACCTAAGCACTGTCATGATTTCTTATTTTCCTTTGTTCACACTTTTCCCCACTACTTTGCTTACCCTTTCCTCTTGTCTTTATCTTACCTATTTCTAATCTTATTTCAGTGACTCATTCTAATTACTCCCTTATGTAGGCCTCTTAGTTCTATGTAACATTTGCAGTTAATGCTTCCTTGTTTGGTTTCATATGAATTAATTTAATCTCACCCATAATAAATTCTTTGAAAGAATCTTTATGTCCTGTAACTGCCATAATGCAGGGCTGGAAATAACCTTTGGTAGGTTGATTCCCACCCCCCGTTATTTACATTTAATATTTAAAATACTTAAAGAATATATATGTTACAAAGCATAATTATAAAATCCTTGTTAGTGCTTCTCTGCTTCCTTCTCCCTACCTAGAGGTTACCACTGTTGTACATTTTGGGTCTTACTTCCTTGCCTTTTTTTGAGACAGGATTTCACTGTGTCACCCAGGCTGGAGTGCAGTGGCAAAATTATAACTCACTGTAGCCTCAATTTCCCAGGCTCAGGTGATCCTTCTGCCTCAGCCTCCTGAATAGCTGAGACTATAGACACATGCTACCACACCTGGCTAATTTTTTTGATTTTTAGTAGAGATGAAGTCTGGCTGTGTTGCCCAGGCTGGTCTTAAACTCCTGAGCTCAAGTCATCTTCCTGCCTCAGCCTTTCAAAGTGCTGAGATTACAAGTGTGAGCCACCATGCCCGGTCATCCTTGCCTGTTTAAAAGCAGTTTTTCACATATGTATCACTAAAAAGTTCAGCTTTGAGGTGCATAAAAATGGATTCATATAGCATGTAATTCTTTGGAACTTGCTTTTTCTTAATGACATATTTTTAAGATTGATGGATGTTGTTGCATTTGGCTGTACTTGATTCCTTTCACTGTAGTATTATATTTCATTGAGTGAACATGGCCGTTTATCCAACTTGTACAGATATTTGGGTTGTTGGCAATTTTTTGCTATTATAAATATTGCTTCAATGAACATTCTTATGAATCTCCAGGTACACATGTGCAGAATTTCTCTACAGTTTATTCTGATAAGTAGAATTTCTGTGCATGGGGATACAACTATTTTATTTTTCAGGCTAATGCTTTATTTTTTTCTGAAGCACCCGGCCCCTATCAGCTGGGTCATTCATATGCTGACATCATAAAAAGGTCATTATATATTATAACATATAAATTATATAAGTTTGAAGGAGATATATCTCACACAGCAGCGTGAAAACCCATTCATCATATTTATGAACCATAAAGGATCTCTGAAGTCCTTTTGGTTTAATGTAATTTGTTCATGGTCTCCCATAAGGGCAGGTTTTTCTGTTTTGGCTCATTGCAGATCTCCACCTAGAATTATACTTGACTCATATAAGTTCTTGCTACGTATTTGATGAGTGAATGAAATGCATTTCAAATGTATTATACCACTTTATACTTTCATCAACAGTAGACTTGTTATTATCAGCCTTCTTAACTTTTTCCCCCAGTCTAGTACTTTCCCAGTTTGGTCTTCATTTGTGTTTTCCTGATAATTGATAAGGTTGAGCAACTTTTTGGGTTTTTGGTTTTTTTTTTTGTTGTTGTTGTTTTATAAAAAGGTATTTTTATTTGCTGTGGTAGGTGGATGGAGAGCTAGAAGCTCTGATGGAAAATGGTGAGGGTCTCTCTGATAAAAACCAGGTGCTCAGCTTATCCCGGCTAATGGTTAGAATTGAAACTTTGGAGCAGAAACTTACCTGTCTGGAACTCATACAGGTGAACACTTTAATGTTTGTTTTTTATTTCTGGTTTTGTGGTGGGAATGAATGAATGAAGATGAATGAAGAAGGAATAATTCTGATAAGAGTTAGTCTTATTTTATTTATTTATTTATTTGTTTGTTTGTTTGTTTGTTTGTTTGTTTAGATGGGGTCTTGTTCTGTCATCCAGGCTGGAGTGCAGTGGTGCAGTCTCGGTTCACTGTAACTTCTGTGTCCTGGGTGCAAGCAATTCTGCCTCAGCGTCCTGAGTAGCTGGGATTACAGGCGCCAGCCACCACGCCCAGCTGATTTTTGTATTTTCTTATTAGAGATGGGGTTTCACCATGTTGGCCAGGCTGGTGTGGAAATCCTGACCTCAGATGATCCACCCGTCTCAGCCTCCCAGAATGCTGGGATTACAGGCGTGAGCCACCATGGCCGGCCAGTTTTATTTTTTAAATGGATATGTGAGTTGTGTATGACTTTCAAAGCTTGTACCATATTATTTAAAATGGCTAAAGAGTTCAGTATCATTTAATCTATTAGTACAGGGATCCCCAATCCCCAGGCCATGGGCTGATTAGGAACGGGGCCACACAGGAGGAGGTGAGTGAGCATTACTGCCTGAGCTCCACCTGCTGTCAGAGTAGCAGCGGCATTCGATTCTCATAGGAGCACGAACCCTATTGTGAACTGCACATGCGAGAGATCTAGGTTGTACACTCCTTATGAGAATCTAATGCCTGATGATTTGAGGTGGAACAGTTTCATCCTGAATCCATCCCCCACCCAGTTTGTTGAAAAATTATCTTCCCTGAAACTGGTTCCTGGTGCCAGAAAGGTTGGGGACCATGGCATTATTAGACCTGGTTTGCTTTCTGTCTATATTCAAAGAATGTGGTGGCTTTTTTTTTTTTTTTGTAATAATTCATCACACTTGCCATAGCCTTTTACCCTCCAGTTACTAGCATCCCAAAGCCATTTGTACTACGTGATCTCCAAGCACAAAATTTTAACGGTACCCTTTTTTACACCAGTTTATTAAGTATGCCACAAGATGTTAGATAACACAAAATGATTTTTTTTTTTTTTTAGGGTCTTGCTTTGTTGCCCAGGCTGGAACGCAGTTGTGCAATCATAGCTTACTGCAGCCTTGGAACTCCTGGGCTCAAGTGATCCTCCTGCCTCAGTTGCCTGAGTATCTAGGACTACAGGCACACACCACCACATCCAGCTAATTTTTATATTTATATTTTTGTAGAGATAAGGGTCTTGCTATTTTGCCCAGGCTGGTTTTGAACTCCTGGCCTCAACCAGTCCCTCCCTCTTCCACCTTCGAAAGTGCTGAGATTGTAGTTGTAAGCCACAGTGTAAAAAAACCATGATGATTAAAAAAAAAAAACTAACAGGAAAAAGAGGTCTTTTCAACAATCATCTGAAAGGGAGAGAAGAAAGAATTATTTAAGGACTAATTTTTATGGTTTTAGCTTTATTTAAAAAGTTAGATGCAATTTTTTCTTAGTTCTTCAGAATTTTCATTATAAATGACCTATTAATATTCATATAATTTTCTACGTTAGTAAAATCCCAGTTGACTGGCTGTATTTTGTGTATCAGAGAAGATTATAATCTGTTTAAAGCATTTGTTGTAGAGTTCTATTTAGGCTAATGAAAACAGAGTTTCTAGGTTTTTTTTGTGAATGTAAGTGAACCCTATAATGTGTAACGTATACATGAACTCTCCTCGGGCTCTTTGTAATATTCTGATATTGCCTCCCAATGCTCTGCATCGTGTCTCCCTTCCCCCATGAAAGAACACACACTCACAGTCCTGCCTGAAGTCCTTTCTGGAACGTCATGGGCTGTCTTTGTTGTGGATCTGGATGGCAGAGCTAGGTGACGGCCGGGAAAGTAACCAGAAGCTTCAGGAAGAGGTCAGTTCACATTTAGCTTGCTTGTTTCTTAAAACTGTTATATTGATTGCCTCGGTTGTGGATATGTGATAATATCAGTAATTATGAATTTAGCACTGTATCATTGGTATTAAATAATCAAATAATTTTTTCATCTCAGTATCATTCCTTTAACGTATCTAACCGTACATACACCTTGTTAGTAGTTTGTCCCATGGTTTTCCTATAGTATCTTTTTAAAGTTGGTACTACATAGCAGGGAACTACAAGAGCAAGATATAATAACAACAACATAGTTAAGTGAAAGATCCAGTTTGTTGTTAAAACCAGAGTTTTAAAAAGATGGGAAGTCATATAAAATTTGAACTGTGGGGTCTAAAGAATTGGTAAAGATCTGAATTCTGCATAACAAGAGTATGAACATTTTGAGGAATCTTTTAAATAAGTGTTTTAAAAGATCTAAGTAAAGGTTCATTGGCAGCATTATTAGTGGAGTTACGATGTCTTTACCTTTCTATGAAATTAATAAAATTTTCTAACTTTCTAATTTGTAATATAATCCCAGAGTCTTTTATTTAATAAAACACTTTTAAAAACAAACAAAAAGGAATGGGCAGATAAGTACTTGTTCTTGCCTCTGTCCTTCTCCCAGGAGATTTGGCTTGAGGAAATTGAGGAAGCCTTGGGGTTTCTGTGGAACTACATTGAGGAATACTTCAGAAAAAATTCTTGGATTTCAAAATGGGGGAGGTTGTCTAAGAATGAGGAGGGGATCTCTCTTTGCTAGACAGCTGTTTATCAAAAGCTGAAGAGATGTCTGCATTTTTGTGTGTATGACAGACATCATTTAAATATGTTGTTACATAGCTGCTAAGTGTATATCACAGACACTTGGTAAACTTTTTAAGAAAAGATACCCAGGATTGGTCCAGTAGTGTATATGTTTAAAAAGCTACCCAGGTTTAGGAACTACTGGTAGAGAATATTAATCAGTCCTATTTGATGTTGTGATTCTTGCTGATCAGTCTTATTAAAAGTTTTTCTTTCTTAAGGAAAACAATATTATGATTTTTAAATATGCTTGTGTTTACAGAGATGTAGTTCTTAATAAAGCAGTAGCAAAACTGCACTACTCTTGCAGAAATAATCTGAGTCCCATCCAGAAATTGAAAAAGTCAACTGTAGGCCAGGCGCTGTGGCTCAATGCCTGTAATCCCAGCAGTTTGGGAGGCTGAGGCAGGTGGATCACCTAAGGTCAGGAGTTCAAGACCAGCCTGACCAACATGGAGAAACCCCATCTCTACTAAAAAAAAAAAAAAAAGCTGTGCATGGTGGTGCATCCCTGTAATCCCAGCTCCTCGGGAGGCTGAGGCAGGAGAATCGCTTAAACCAGGGAGCCAGAGATTGCAGTGACCAAGATCACATCATTGCACTCCAGCCTGGGCAACAAGAGCGAAACTCCATCTCAAAAAAAAAACAAAATCAACTGTAGCCAGGTGTGGTGGCTCATGCTGGTAATCCCAGCATTTTGGGAGGCCGAGGTGGGTGGATCACTTGAGGTCAGGAGTTTGAGACCAGCCTGGCCAACATGGTGAAACCCTGTCTCTACTAAAAATACAAAAGATTAGCCAGGCGTGGCAGCTAGCGCCTGTACTCCCAGCTACTTGGGAGGCTGAGACAGGAGAATTGCTTGAACCCAGGAGGCAGAGGTTGCAGTGAGCCAAGATCATGCCATTGCATTCCAGCCTGGGTGACAGAGTGAGACTCTGTCTCAAAAAAAAAAAAAAAAGTCAACTGTACAAAGTGATGTAATTTTTTTTTATGTTTAATCAGATTATAAAGACTTTGGAACACTTGCCCATTCCTACTAAAAATATGTTGGAGGAAAGCAAAGTACTTCCAATTATTCAACGCTGGTCTCAGACTAAGACTGCTGTCCCTCCGTTGAGTGAAGGAGATGGGTATTCTAGTGAGAATACATCGCGTGCTCATACACCACTCAACACACCTGATCCTTCCACCAAGCTGAGCACAGAAGCTGACACAGACACTCCCAAGAAACTAATGTTTCGCAGACTGAAAATTATAAGTGAAAATAGCATGGACAGTGCAATCTCTGATGCAACCAGTGAGCTAGAAGGCAAGGATGGCAAAGAGGATCTTGATCAATTAGAAAATGTCCCTGTAGAGGAAGAGGAAGAATTGCAGTCACAACAGCTACTCCCACAACAGCTGCCTGAATGCAAAGTTGATAGTGAAACCAACATAGAAGCTAGTAAGCTACCTACATCTGAACCAGAAGCTGACGCTGAAATAGAGCCCAAAGAGAGCAACGGCACAAAACTAGAAGAACCTATTAATGAAGAAACACCATCCCAAGATGAAGAGGAGGGTGTGTCTGATGTGGAGAGTGAAAGGAGCCAAGAACAGCCAGATAAAACAGTGGATATAAGTGATTTGGCCACCAAACTCCTGGACAGTTGGAAAGACCTAAAGGTAAGGAAGCATCTTTTGTTCATTTCAACTTGAATTACTCAGGTTTAGAGTTCTACAAACCTAAGCAAAATTAACTACTTTTTTTAGCCATGCATATTTCTGAAAAATGGAATACTGTCTCTCTTACTGTTTTATTTATAAGTGTCTCAAACATCCTCTAAACCGTGGCAAGAGTCATATTAGCCAAACTAATATACAAATGTCTTCTTTTCTGTCACTTAGAAAAGTACATCACAATAGTGAGTTCAGTCATTTAAGTGCTCTTCACATTAAAAACAAAAATCCTTTGAGGAGCAAACTTAGGATTCTATTTGTAATGAGAAAAAATTAGTGTTTAAATTTATTGGAAATCAGTTGTATTAATGGAAAATTAAAAATAATTGGAAAACTAAGATAATTTAGCAGCTTACTAAAAATGATTGAATGTAAATTTTTATTTTAGAAAAACAACTTTATGGAACTAGTTCGTATTCACTTCTATTATTGTTTCTGAAATGGGCCTGCTTTTAAATGCCTATTTCTTTGGACAAAAGAGGAAAAATAGATCTGGAACTCTTATGCCTATTACATACATAATCTCTTGTTGAAGAATGTAGCAAGATGTGCAGGGTTTGCTTTGCAGAAAACCCAGACTGAGTCTTGGATAAACACAAGAATGAATAACAGGATAAACCTAGGAGAGGTGTGGTACATTTCATTTGTAAGTGATCTGGACTTGGGATCCACGTCTTGAGGACCCTGTGGGAACAGGTTACTTAACTAGCTTCTATTTTTCTGTTCCTCCTTTCTTCTGCCGGAGATGAAGCAACCAAATAAACCAGCAATCCTGACTCTTTGCAGCAAGATGAACACCTGAATCCTCCCTGCCCCTAATTATGATGACAAAGCTCACTCCATTAGATCCTGTGATTTGACCCAATGAAACTGGCCTTAAACACTGAGCAAAATGAGTAGTTGGTGGTTGTGTACTATGCTTCCTCATTTGCTGTGTTGAGACCCTTCTTTAAGTATGTTGTGGTTTCAGCTTTTGTTTACCCATTTGAGCTCTTACTCATGTTACTTTCATCACTTACAATTCAGTATAAAGTCAGCCTTATTATGTCTTAGGAAATCAGGCCTTTTTCTAAATATGAAAGGAAGAGTTCGTAGTAAATTTACTTATGAAGTCAGTATGTGAACTGCAGGAATCAGAATTGCAGTTAATTGAAAGAAGTGCTGGGATAGTCACTTGATGGATTTTTATTTAAGGCCTGCTTTGTGACAGCACAGGAGTCCCTAAAAGGAGTCCCTCTTGTGTTTGGAGGCTGCTAGTGGAGCCTGTAAAGAAGCTCAGTTAAGAAGGTGGAGATGAAGACAAGTACACAAATGGACACAGAAAAGGCCTTTATAGCTGTACTTTTATGGAAGGAAGAATAAGTAGGGTTGTAGACCAGTAGTTTACTTTTGCCGGAGAAGTCTCTGGTTGATGTTATTTTTTAAAACTGCTAAGAAGTAATCATTGTAAAGCTATCTTAAAATCTGGAAAAAGTAAATATTCTTGTTTCTTCGTATGATAGTGGGTTTCTGTAATTGTGATGGTATGAATTACTCTCTAGGATATACTTAACCCAATTAGATGTAACCATGGTAATTTAAACTCACACTCTGGACACACATTTGAGTCCTACAAAATTATTTCTTCCCCTTCTTCTTATCTTCCCCACTCCTATCTGAAACATCAAAGCAATTTTATATGTAGCTTGATGATCCTCTTGATTTGAGGTTTAAAACTTTATTTGTACTTAAAATATATCCTTCTTATCCTTCATACTTTGGATTTTTCCTGATTCTTAGTGTCAAGGGAGCCGTTAAGTAAAATTCTCCTCTCTTCTTCAAACTTTAGTTTGCTCTGGAATCATTACCCATCTAGAATTGTATTACTGAGAAATGTTTTTACTTGACTGTGAACTGTGATGTTTTGTTATACATTGGTGCTGGGGTTCTTAATTCATCCATCATTCTAATTAACATTTACTATGGCTCTGTTTTCAAAACTCTGATTATGGTGGTTCTTAAAAAAACCAGACAAACATAGATAGCATTTAACCAGAAGTCTGAAATCAGGAATCCATAATTTGAACATGTTTTAGAGAAACACATTGACATGATGTGATTACTGTATATCCATACGATCCCGGCATTGAAAGAGTTAACTACTTCTGTCTGACTTCCACCTATGTGTTCGAGTAGACATTGGCTGAAAAGAAAATGTCTTATTCAACCAACCTTTATTAGGCACCTATTGTCAAACACTGTGTTAGTTGCTGATCTTTAATTCCAAGATCGTACTAAAAAGCATTGGTCTAAGATTGTGGTTATGTGGTTATGGCCATTTCAAGTCTCCCCAGCCAACCGGGGGCCACCATAACATTGGTGGACATGTGTTCCGCTTGGCTTTTCTACACACTGGATGGAGTGAAGAACAGAAAGGGATTGCTTCAGATTCCTTAATCTTGGTTTTGCTGTGATGGCAGACTATAGGAATCATCAGTAAATGAAAGAGGGTGGGAGGGAAGGGAATGAAGCTTCATGAATTACTCTTTGTCCTCCCAGATCTGATGATGATCCCCCTTGTAACTTGAACCATTTCCATCTAGCTTCTCAGGGCAGCAAGGAGCTTGTTAACATCACCAGCTGACCATGTGTCTCCTTTTCTCAACTCCATTTCCAACTTCGTGCTGAAGAAAAACGAGAACCTAGCGTGCATTCTGTGAAGAAACAGGAAGATGGTTGGGAAGTTGGATGATGCATGAAAAATATAATAGGTGAAAAGAGGACAGAGGTGGTTAACTCACTGGCGCCGGCGTTATTTTGGTGCGTCCATTGCCGACAATGGATGTCGTTCCGGGAAAATCCCTACTCCTGGCGAGAAAGGATTAAGTGAGCTACTTTTTCTATACCTATATACACAGGACCACTGCCTTGACTCCACAAGGCTTACACATTTTGACTCCTAAAGTAGACCTCAACCAGAAACATCACCTAGCACATTGCCACTTGTGAGCATGTATTCATTTTCATGTGAAAATTTACTAGGCTACATTTTCAGCAGGGATATGTGCATATATTTCTGTTTGCAGAAGAAATTGTTGCATATCACCCTTCATGCTGAAAATATACCCTAGACTTCATAGGGCAAAACAGCTGGTTACCAGTGGTGACTAAGTGTAACTTGACTGGAATATCTTCATTCATTTGGATCATAAGAAGAGGAGGTAAGGTTCCTGTGAACTTGGCAATTTCATTTGCCATTAAACACCGAGAGATTGTAATGGTTAGTGATTCCAGAGCCTCTCTTATAAACACTTAGATTATAGGATGTGCATTTCTCCTTAGAATGAAGTCTGGGTATTTCCATTTGCATCTGGATTTAGATGATTTAGGGACAAAATTACCTACATGTGATAAGTTGAACTCTTCCTAATGACTATTCTTATTCTTCTCTTATTTCATCTTTATCTCAAGACATTATCTTTAATTCAGCAAATCAAGTATTTCCCTAGAAAGCTATGTATTAAAACTCTCTATGAAAAGTTAAAATAAAACATAGAGTTGCCTAAACTGAGAAGTTTTGAGTCACTGTTTGGAATTTCACTCCCTCGCTAATATTGTATGTGAAATCTGCTGTGCAACATTTGAAAATGAAATTATGTTTCCTGGATTTCTGTGATAATTTTTGAATTCTTACTAGAGTAAGATTATTCTGTATCCATAAGGATTAATATTACTTATCCTTTAACAAAATTAGAATTGCCCCTAAAGAATGCTGTTTTAGCTACAGCAACATTGAAATTTTTAAATAAATGTCTCGTTTGGTAGAAGGCAAAAATGGTCTAAAATTTATTGGTCCATTTTTTAACCAAATACTTTCATCTAAATCAAGGGTTGGCCAAATCTGCCCCACTGTCTGTTTTTGTAAATAAAATTTTCTTTGAAACACAGCCATGTTCATTCATTTATGTACTATCATCTGTGGCTGCTTTTGTACTTCAGTGGTAGAGTTGAGTAGTTGTGAGAAAGACTGGATGGCTCACAAAGCCTAAAATATTTACTATCTTGTCCTTTACAGAAAAAGTTTGCCAACATCTGATCTAAAAGATAAAGTGCAGAATCTGGCTGCTCTAAACATTCTGGTTTTGAATGAAGTCATTTTCACTTTACTCTTTTGGGTGAGCTCTTAATTCTGTTTCCCTAAAGACATAATGATCATGTTTCTATTGCTGCCCATGAAATTAGTTTTTTTAAAAAAGTCTTGATGCTGTTTAGGAAGTGATTTGGTTGTACAACTATCTTGAGAGGTGGGAGGGTGTATACATTATAGAATTTCCAAGCTAGAAGTGATCATTAAGGAATATTGTTATTCCCTTAGGACTGTGACCAAGTCAGAAACTTGAGACTGTTTTAGTATAGATGTAGGCAGTATAATTTAAGTCTTATAGTAACCATAATGAAAACACATACATTTTCCTTCTTAATACTTTAAACTTTTAATTATGATATAATTTCAGGCTCAATGAAAAACTGCAAGAACAGCATTCTGTACATATTCTACATGTTACACACATTCTAGTGACGAGTCTAGAGAAAATTCAGTGAAAAATTCCTCTAAACTTTTCACTGAGATTCCCCAGTGTTAACATTTTACCTTATTTTTTTTATTGTTTTCTGTTTCTGAACTTTAAAAAAGTAAGTTACAGCAGAGGTGGGCAGATCATTTGAGCCCAGGAGTTCAAGACCAGCCTGGGCAACAAAGCAAAACCCTGTCTCTACAAAAACTAAAAAATTAGCGAGGCATGGTGGCACATGCCTGTAGTCCCAGCCACTTGGGAGGCTGAGGTGGGAGGATTGCTTGAGCCCAGGAGGTTGAGGCTGCAGTGATCCATGATGGTGTCACTGCACTCCAGCCTGGATGACAGAGTGAGACTTTGTGTAAAAAAAAACAAAACAAAACAACAACAACTAAGTTATAGATATGATGCCCCTGGATATTGTGTATTTCCTAAAACCAAGGATATTCTTCTGTGTAACTTTAGTGTACTTACCAAAATCAGCAAATCACAGTGATAAAATACTATGATCTAATCAGCAGACCTCTTTCAGATTTTGCCAGTTGTTCACATAATGGCCTTTATAGCAAAAAAAAAAAAAAAAAAAAAAAAAAGGCTGAGAATCTAATATGGGAGCACACATTAATTGAGTTGTATGTCTCCTTAGTATCCTTTACTCTGAAATAGTTCTTCGGTCTGCCTTTATTTTTTATAAAGTTCACATTTTAAAGTATTTTTGAATTTTTGTAGAATACCCCGCAGTTGGGTTTGTCTGAAACTTTCCTTTGCTTGGATTCAGGTATACATTTTTTTGGTCAGGAATATTACAGTAGTGTTCTTCTCATGGTACTGAATTGTCCCATTACTAGCATTGTCAACTTTTATCACTCGATTAAGCAGTAGTCTGCCAGACTTTTCCAGTGTAAAGTTACGATTTTTCCCTTTATAATTAAAAAGCATCACATATGAGCAACTTTGGAAATATGTAAATACCCTATTTTTCATAAAATGTATCCATTAGATTTAGCATCCAGTGATTTGCTTGAATTACTTACTGTGGTGGTTGCCAAATGGTGATTTTCTAATTCATTATTCCTTTTACTTTGTTTATTGGACATTCTTTTTTAAGCAAGAAGTTTACTTGTTCTCCTATTTGTTCATTCATTGATTTATACTATTTTACTCATAGATTCTTATTTTACCCAATAGATTATAATCCATTAACTTCATTATTTACTTGATGCCTTCATTGTCCCATATTTGGCCAGTAGAAGCCCTTTCATGTTGGCTTTTGTGTCATTCTGACATATCTCCATTATTTTCTTTTACCTTTTTGCTACAATATGCTGTTCCAGGCTCATCTTGTACTGTCCCTTCCCCAGCCCCGGAATTGGTCATTTCTTCAAGAATCTCTTGTTCCTCGCGTTGGGAAATGTTTTTGAAACCAATATCTGGATTCTAGATGAAGTTGTCGATACTAGGACAGTGTTTCTAGGACCCGTCAGTAGATTGTATAAAATATATGTGTGTGTGTATCAATTAACATGTACGTACACACAATGTACTTCACCACTCTATTATCTATCATTTGTTTCCATCTGTTAATCTGACACCATACCCTCCTTTGAATCTTTTGAGATTCCTTCTGTAACTCTCAGTTGTTCATTCTTCTTTTGCCTGTCCCTTAAAAAGTTGTATTTCTTGGGGTACCTGAGATGTATTTTGTTCTACATGTTAAATAGGGCACAGCAGGCCGGGCGTGGTGGCTCACACTTGTAATCCCAGCACTTTGGGAGGCCGAGGCAGGTGGATCACCTGAGGTCAACAGTTCAAGACCAGCCTGGCCAACATGGTGAAACCCTGTCTCTACAAAAATACAAAAATTAGCCGGGCACGATGGCAGTGCCTGTAATCCCAGCTACTCGGGAGGCTGAGGAGGGGGAATTGCTTGAACCCAGGAGGTAGAGGTTGCAGTGAGCTGAGATTGCACCATTGCACTCCAGCCTGGGTGACACAGCGAGATTCTGTCTCGAAAAATAAATAAGGCACAGCATCTCTTCTTTGCCACTTTTAATTCAGGCTCCTGCCATTTCTTACTTACACTTTTACAACATTTATCCTTCTTGCTCTCATTCTTTTCCCCTTTCATGTAACCCTTCATTATGCTACAGTATTTTAAAAACATAGATGTGATTAACAGGAACCTCTAGTAACATCTCAGAGACTCCATTACTCTAAGAACAAAGCCTTTAGTGTATGATAGAGAAAGTAATTCCGTATCTGTCTAAACTTCTTGCCTAGCAGGCAGTTTCTCTTTACACACTCAGTGCATGAGGCACATCAGTCTTCTCATACATATTCACCTCTTCATGTCCTTGAACATACTGTTCTCCTTACTTGGAATACTTTTTTTTCTTTTGAATGAGTTGCAGTTCATGCTTTGTCCTTTTCTGTACTTCTATACAACTGTAATTATCTTAACCGATTACTAAAACTTCTTGTGTAGATGCTTGTTTCCCCTCACTAGACCATGGAATTGCTTTCTTCAAAGGCATGGACAATTTTTTAATCTTTGTAGTAAGAGTTACTTTTATTGTGGCATCTTGGCAGTAATGGTTATTATAAATTACTTCTTACTAATAGTGAGTGACTACTATGTGCCCTCTATAATCTGTGCTACATTCAGTAGCTAGAGCAATCTTTCGGAAATATAAATCCTTCATCTCAGTTTCCTATTTAAAATTTTTAAATGGCTCACCATTACACTGTTGAAATTAAGTTCATTTTTCTTAACGTGGCTTGCATGCCTGGCCATGGTCTGGTTTCCATTTATTTCTGCAGTCTCCTCTCAAGCCATTGTAGACAGGCAGTAGACCTCTGCTGCTAATATTCACACACATACATTCATTCCTGAAAACTCTTTTGTTTTGGATGTCTCTTCTCATTTAAATTTCTTCCTTTTCCCCCCCGGAAAGTCTTTCCTGTTTCTCCAAGATAGAGTGTTTGTTTTGCCCTTTGTATAGGCTCTCACAACATCTTTTCCAATCAAAGGCAGATAACATTTTATAGTGGTACATTGAGTGAAGGAAGAGACTGCTTATGTCTTGGTCACTTGGGTCTTCCCAGTGTCCTGTGAAGAGCTTGGTAATGTAGTTTGACATTTCAAAAATATGTGAATGAAAATATGAAGAAAGTCCATCTTTTTCTGTGGTAACTTCATACTTTCTTTCATACTGCTTCTCGAATCCCTAGAACATATTTTTTATTTGATAGATGGTCAGAAAATATTTTCATAAGCACATTGTTATCTTTTCAACCCTGTGAAGTTAAGTGGTGGTGTTTTTATCAGCTGTAAAGTGGAATCAAACAGGCCCATGAGGTTGTAACTTAGCTTTTAAGTGACAGCTGACAATTGACTTATGTCTTCTGATTTAAATACTGCCTTCTTCCACTCACTTTTCTGGTCCAAAAAATAACTATTTCTCTGTCTTTTCTAGGCAGTTCATGCAATTGTGTTTCTTTGGCAAATACTTTTTAGATTCTTCTTTTTTTTTTTTTTTTTTTTTTTTGAGACGGAGTTTTGATTTTGTTGCCCAGGCTGGAGTGCAATGGCATGATCTTGGCTCACCACAACCTCTGCCTCCTGGGTTCAAACGATTCTCCTGCTTCAGCCTCCGGAGTAGCTGGAATTACAGGCATGCACCACCACGCCCGGCTAATTTCTTTTTGTATTTTTAGTAGAGATGGGGATTCTCCATGTTGGTCAGGCTGGTCTCGAACTCCCGACCTCAGGTGATCTGCCCACCTCGGCTTCCCAAAGTGCTAGGATTACGGGTGTGAGCCACCGCGCCCAGCCTTTTTAGATCATTCTTAATCTGCTTCTGATTTAGAAACTATAATAAGTCTGAATTCATTCTAATGTCATAGAAACCATTTTAGTGTTTTGTTCAAGTATCTTTTTTTCCTTTAATACTGCAGAGATTTTTTTTTTTTTTTTTAAGAGACGGAGTCTCGCTCTGTCGCCCAGGCTGGAGTGCAGTGGCGCAATCTCGGCTCACTGCAAGCTCCACCTCCTGGGTTCACGCCATTCTCCTGCCACAGCCTCCGGAGTAGCTGGAACTACAGGCACCTGCCACCACGCCCAGCTAATTTTTGTATTTTTAGTAGAGACGGGGTTTCACCGTGTTAGCCAGGATGGTCTCAATCTCCTGACCTCGTGATCCACCTGCCTCAGCCTCCCAAAGTGTTGGGATTACAGGCGTGAGCCACCGTTCCCGGCCTACTGCAGAGATTTTTAATCTGTGATCCATAATTGAACTTCAGGAGATGTTTAGAACCTCTAAAATTACATGTAAGACTATAGCATTTCTGGGGTGAGGGTCCATAAATATAAGCAATTTCTCTAACAGGGGCGTGTATATATCTGGGTTGAGAAAGGAATGAACTGTGGTTCAAAAAGTGTTTCTAGATGATTTGGGTATCAGGAGGGCTCCTACTCTTAGCTTTGTAGTGAAGGGTGGGTAAGGCTAGAAAAGAAGGTGGTTGGGGGACCAAGTTTAAATAGAGGCAGTGAACTAGGAGGACTTTCTAGGTATGGCACTTACTGAAGAACAACATTTACAAGTTGCCTTGTGAGTAGCTATGGTCTTTACCAAGAATACACCCATAATGCACAAGAGTCTTTGGTACTATGCCTAGGACTTTTTCTGAGGTATTTTATCTTTTCTTCTTCTTTTTTAGTTTTAAAAACAGGCTATTTCTGCACATGAGGCAAAATATGAAAGACATACAGTGAAATGTTTCCTCCCTACCCTTGGCTTCCATCTGATTTCCTTGAGGCAATCAAGCAGTTTCTTGTGTAGCTTTCCAGAGATAATTTATGCATATTATGCATATATTTTATTTTTTAAAATAAAATTGGCAGCATTATTCAGCTCCTTTTTAATAGAATGTGAAGATTACTTGATATCAATTTATAAAGAATTTATTTTTCAGAACTGCATATTATTTTACTGTATAGGTATGCCATAATTTATTTAATCATTCTCATAGCCATTTAGGTTGATTGCTTTCTTTGCCTTAGCAGCAAGTAATTTTCACCTAAGTCATTGCACACATTCACACGTAGGAATATGCATGTTGGCTAAGTTACTAAAAATTAGTGTTGTTGAGCTACAGTCTGTGTTGTAATTTTGATAAGCATTGCCAAATTGCTCTTCATAGTTATTATATCAATTCAGCTCTCATTGGCAGTGTATATACGTAAGAATGAGAATTTCACCACCCCTGGCCAGCACAAGTACTGTCAAGTTTTATCTTGGTCAGACTGATAGGCAAAAATGGAATATTGCAGTTTTGATTTAATTTTTCTCATATGTATTAGGTATTGAACATCTTTCTGTTTGTATTTCCTACTTTAAGAACTTTGTTCATATTCTTCACCCATTTTTCTTAGTGGCTGAAAACTGCACAGATCTTGTTACCTTTCATTTCTTCGGAGCCCTGCTATTCGAAGTTAGAGTGTTTCTTCAGGGGTTTAAAAGCATAAACAAAATTATTTCATTCCCCTTTTCCTCTTCTCCCTCTCACTCTTTTCTTCCTCTTTCCCACCCATGTATGTGATTTTTATGAAACCCTCCAGACATGTATAGTATCTTCTAATCAAATCTCTTTGACCTACTTGCGCTTCCCCTCTACTCAGGTGCAGACTTGCTAGGTCATAATCCTTCTGTTTTCCCTTTGGCCCTCTTAGCCTTATTGCTCAGTAGTATTTCATATTTCTTTAATTCTGGAAAATTTATCTGCTTAATTTTGTAAAATATTTTCTTCTTTCCTAGAATGCCTTTTACCTGAAGTTGGCACCTGAACTTCTAGGCTCCATAGCTTTGCTTTTCTACTTTCTTTTTATCCATTCCTACTGCGTTTTGTCTGTTCTTTTAGCTATGAAAGTGACAGTTTACTCACAGTATTTTTTTTTTTTTTTGAGATGGAATGTCACTCTGTTACCCAGGCTAGAGTGCAGTGGTGCTATCTTAGCTCACTGGAACCTCAAACCTCCTGGGCTCAAGAGCTCCACCTGCCTCAACCTCCTGAGTGGCTGGGACTATAGGCATGGGCTGCCATGCCCAGGTAATTTTTTCATTTTTCCTTTTTTTTTTTCTTTCTTTCTTTCTTTCTTTTTTTTTTTGAGATGGAGTCTCGCTCTGTCACCCAGGCTGGAGTGCAGTGGCAAGATCTCGGCTCACTGCAAGCTCCGCCTCCCAGGGTCACACCATTCTCCTGCCTCAGCCTCCTGAGTAGCTGAGACTACAGATGCCCGCCACCACGCACAGCTAATTTCTTGTATTTTTTTAGTAGAGACAGGGTTTCACCGTGTTAGCCAGGATGGTCTGAATCTCCTGACCTCGTGATCTGCCTGCCTCGTCCTTCCAAAGTGCTGGGATTACAGGCTTGAGTCACCGTGCCCGGTCCTAATTTTTTCATTTTTCTAGAGACGAGGTCTTGCTATATTGCCCAGGCTCCTGGCCTAAAGCGATCTGCCTGCCTTGGCCTCCCAAAGTGTTGGGATCACAGGTGTGAGCCACTGCACCCAGGCTTGCTTGCAGTCTTTTTTTCTCTTTCTCAGTATTGCTGTCATTTAGGAAAATATTTAGGAAAAAAGGTTTGGTTGGCCTATACGAGATTTGATCTGTACTTGTTAACAAGGAATAACTAAATCTAGTCTTAGTTTTCAAAAATAAATCTGTTATTACAGAACAGATAATCTGATCTCTATATAACAAAAGGTGGAAATCTTGCGCCTGTAAATTATTTTGTTCTTTTTTTTGAGACAGAGTCTCACTCTGTCGCCCAGGCTGAAGTGCAGTGGCGTGATCTCAGCTCACTGCAAGCTCCGCCTCCCGGATTCATGCCATTCTCCTGCCTCAGCCTCCCCAGTAGCTGGGACTACAGGCACCCGCCACCAGGCCTGGCTAATTTTTTGTATTTTTGGTAGAGACGGGGTTTCACCGTGTTAGCCAGGATGGTCTCGATCTTCTGACCTCGTGATCTGCCCGCCTCGGCCTCCCAAAGTGCTGGGATTACAAGCGTGAGCCACTGCGCCCCACCAATTATTTTGTTCTTATAAGTGTTGTTTAGCTCAGGAACAGTCTAAACCAGTGGTAACCTTTTTCTTGTCAGAAAAAGATTTCTTATAAATTATTTAATAATTTTGTTTTAATCCTGTTTCTACAGTATATTTTTAGAGTTTATTTGGGATGTATTAATGAAGTGCTGCATTGCTTCCAATGAGTACCTTTTGAGCCTGTCATAAGAAAACGTTGTAAAGTAAGCCATGTGACCTGGTAGTAGTAGGTAACTTGTTCAAGTGTTTATTAATAGAAAACATACTATATGGAACATACTATTTCGAGTTAAAGACTTTCTACCTTTTACTTTTATTTGTTTTTTTTTTTCTGTATGTTTTGTGTCTGGGCAATCTCCAGCAGTATCACTATATGTTATTGTTTCTTAAATTTCCCCAAATTGTGATCTTTTGCTTTAGCCTGTTTCCTGAATTTCAAATGTATATTTATCACTCTGACCCTGGAAACACAATGTTTTGGGCTGTAGGTGAGGCCTTTAAACAGTAGTTCTTTCCAGGGATAAAAGCGTAGGGTATATGCAGTATTTTGAGTTTATGTAGCACTGTGTAGGTGATTTCTATAAATTAGAAGTAGAATTTCACTTGTTGGTCCATTCAGAAAGGAATTGAGTGTTGATTATGTGCCAGACACTGTTCTTGGTGCTAGAGATACAATAAAGAATAAGACAGTATGGGCCCATAATAATTATAGCTTGAGTGTGTATGAATTGTGTGTTAGTTGAGGTTTGCACCTAGACACTAAAGAAATAAGAGGACAATATGTAAAAAGTATCAGATGGAGTGTGGAAGCAGATTCTTTTAGGTCTGTCTGAGGGCAAGAGCAGTCCTAGAACCTAACTTACAGAATATCAAACCTGCCAGGCATAGTGGCACGCACCTGTAGGCCAGCTACTTGGGAAGCTGAAGATCAAAGCATCCCTTGAGCATGGGAGTTTGAGGGTGCAGTGAGCTATGATCACACCACTGCACTGGACATGATGGCTTCCAGCACTTCGGGAGGCTAAGACAGGAGGATCACTTGAGGCCAGGAGTTTGAGACCAGCCTGGGCAACAGAGCAAGACCCCATCGCTATACACACATATACACACACAATATTAAATCTTAGAACATCCACAGTATTGTCTTCAGTATTCTCTTCCAGTAAATAACATTTTGAGACCTTATAGATCTGAAAAATGTCCTTATTCTATTCTCCCTTGTTTGGCAGATCATATAATTATCATTTTGAAATCTTCTGTTATAGTATGCCAGTCTCTTGAGTGGAATATTTAACAAAGTAAGGTGATCTTACATTAAGGGTTAACATGAATGAAGCCAATTTAAACATTTTCTGTAACAGACTCTGTGGCCTATGGATGTGACATTATTCCAGACAGACTCAAGTATCACTGAGACTAATACTATTATTCACAAGACAGAATGATCTTAAGAAATGTCAAAGTTATCCTCGCGTGGCTGCTTCCTTCTCAGCTTTCAATGTTGTGGGACTTTGGAAAACTTCAGTTGTATTTTCAGGACCCCATTCTCTTAATATATAAAATAAGGAGGAGACAGTAGGTAATTTGAGTTGCCAGCTTAAATTTTGTATGTAGCCTTGACTAGAAAGAGAGAGGATCAAGTTAGCAGCTCCAAGTGCTTAGGTACATATTGATAGAAATTGTTTCTCATGTGATTAGGCACACAGTAAATAGTAGCTCCTGGTCATTAGTCAGTAGTAATCATTATTTTGTGAACATCAAAATACATTTTCAACTTAGTAGTTGATCTAAACTTTTGAACGTAACTAAGAATTTATCTTTGAGAAGCGTTTCTGGTGGTACATTAACTGCCGCTACAGAGTGGGTCCCCAACTTGAGGCCTATGTAATAAATTACTTTAAATTTTTGTAATAAATGCTTATAATGCCAAGATATTATGCAAAAGAAACTAGGTCAAAATTGTGTTATTCTTAGTGGGACCCTCAATACACCAATTCTAAGTACCTTTTGTGAATGAACCTGCTGTCTTTTGGAGTGCCTAGGTTTACAGAGTACCTAATGCAAATGTCATTTCCAAGCTTCTTAAAATTAGCAGAATACCTTTTTTCCCTTATAGTGTGGGTAGATGGTAATAAATGGCGTTCTTACTTTTTCCTGTCTAATAACCCCTCTGAGAGGCAGACAGAGGAGTAAGACACACAGAACTAAGAGTGCCAGCTTGCTCCTTCCTGTCTTTATTCCTGATTCAGTATTACCCACAGCTAGAAATTGACAACTCAGTAACTTCAGATGTCCCTCATAGTAGCAGATGGGAATGTACCCCCTCTCTAAAGGCAAAAGCAGATCAAGAGAAAAGAGAGCCCAGATGTCTCTTAGCTGAGGGCAGGCCTACCTAGTTTTTTCTCCCAGATTCTCTCTTGTGGGGAGGGGTGGGTGAGGATAAGAATAGCCAGTAGTTCAGTAGTTCTCAGCCTTCTCTGTGCATCAGAATCATCTGAGGAGCTTCTAAAAAATACGCATGTCTGGCATCCACATCCAGAGATTTAGATTCACTTTGTCTGGGGTGGTATTTCCATGAACGCTTCTTGGGTGGTTTAATTGTACAACCAGGGTAGAGAATCACAGCTCTAATGAAAGTTCTTCTACATAGGAAGGAGAGGTTAAGGGGATGGAGGATGTCACCTGCATTTGTGCATAAATCTCAGAATGGTACTCCTTCTCAAAATAATGTTGTTAGGCATGTCCTGTGTCATCTAATACAGAAGATAAAAGTGCTCTTGAGTTAGACTGTCTGGTAGCATCATAACCTTGGGTAGATTGCTAAGCTTTTTAAGTAAGTTTCCTTTTTGGAAAATTGAGGTAATAGTACTTACCTCATAGGGTCGTTTTGAAGCTCAAATAAGATAATGTATTTGAAGGGCCGGGTGCGGTGGCTCACATCTGTAATCCCAGAACTTTGGGAGGCCAAGGTGGGCAGATCATGAGGTCAGGAGTTCGAGACCAGTCTGGCCAACATGATGAAACCCCATCTCTACTAAAAATACAAAAATTAGCCAAGCATGGTGGCATGCACCTGTAATCCCAGTTACTGGGGAGGCTAAGGAGAATCGCTTGAACCTGGGAGGTGGAGGTTGCAATGAGCTGAGATCGCACCACTGCACTCCAGCCTGTGCGACAGAGACCCCGGTTCAAAAAACAAAACAAAACAAAAAGATAGGCCGGGCGCAGTGGCTTACGCCTGTAATCCTAGCACTTTGGGAGGCCAGGGTGGGAAGATCATGAGATCAGGAGTTCGAGACCAACCTGGCTAACATGGTGAAACCCTGTCTTTACTAAAAATACAAAAATTAGCTGGGCATGGTGGTGTGTGCCTATAATCCCTGCTACTCAGGAGGCTGAGGCAGGAGAATTGCTTGAACCCAGGAGGCAGAGGTTGCAGTAAGCTGAGATTGTGCCGCTTTACCCCAGCCTGGATGACAGAGCAAGACTCCGTCTCAAAAAAAAAAAAAAAAAAAAAGATAGTGTATTTGAAATGTTCAGCATGATATCTGGCACACAGTATAAGTGCACAATTAATTATAATCATCTTTATTAATTTGTCAGCATGCATATAGTATTGGAGGTTTAAAAAAATTTTTCATTTATATAGATTTCCCTGGATCTGTGCAGTCCATATTGATCCTTTTTAATGGCAACTGAATATTACATCATGACCTTTCCTCAGTTGTGTGACATGTGGCTTATTATTTTTCACAAATATTGTGAGAAGCAACAATTGTGGAGAGGAGGCCACAGGTGTGGTTAATATTATGAGATTCCTCTGAAGGGATGATATCACCTTATGTACTATTGAGAGTGTGTAGGCTTGTTACTGTCCCACTTAAGATGACTGGATAAGAAAGTATTGTGCCCAATAGTTACTCGATGGACGGTGGAATAGTGAAGAGCTGTTAAAGAACAAAATAGGTTCTAGGCCTTAGATAACACAAGAAAAGGTACTTAAAAGCCTTTAAAACAGTTCACATTTCTCAGGATCAATTTTGGTACAGTGATCAAGAGGAGCAGTGATCTAATGCTTATCCTTTATATTTTTTATTTTTTATAACAAACACAATGTGAAAGTAGATATTACATTGGCCATTAGTCATGTTGGTTTTGCATTTATAGAAAAATACACTGAATAGTAGGAATTGTCTTTACACATACAATTTTTCTGAAGTGTTTTTATATAACTGGGTAGTTATTAACCTTTTCTTTCTCTAAGTAGAGATGGCAAGTGCACATTAGAATTATGAATACTTGGCCAGGCATGGTGGCTCACGCCTGTAATCCCAGCACTTTGGGAGGCTGAGTAGATTGCTTGAGCCCAGGAGTTCGAGACCAGCCTGGGCAATGTGATAAAACCCCATCTCTACAAAAATAGAAAAAATTAGCGGGGCATGGTGGCATCCACCTGTGGTCCCAGCTACTTGGGAGGCTGGGGCAGAAGGATTGCTTGTGCCTGGGAGGCAGAGGTTGCAGTGAGCCGAGATCATGCCACTGCCCTTCAGCCTGGGTGACAGAGCAAGACCTTGTCTCAAAAAAAAAAAAAAAAAAAAAAAAAAGATGCTCAGGAAGCGTATCCTTGCCCAGTCATTTAGTATGCTGCTTTGCTAGTGAGATCGTACAAGCTTGATAGATGTAAATATATGTATTTCTGCTATATATTTTTTCTTGTTTTTAAGGGGCCAGGATATATTCTTATTTAAAGCCCAGATATAAGTCAAATTTTAGAGAATAAGTACCAGCTTGTTACTTTCCATTTCTTTATTGTCATGTGAAAACAGTCAGTTTCAAAGCAATCACCATTTCCACCCTCACTAATAACCCTCCCTCTGGTTTATTTTTTGCAGGAGGTATATCGAATTCCAAAGAAAAGTCAAACTGAAAAGGAAAACACAAGTAGGTATTCAGAGATACTCTGTGTTGATGGCTTTACAAATATTCTTTTGTTATGTGCAGAGGTAACTGATAAGAACTTAAGCGTTTTTGTTTTTGAAACTAGAGAATATATAACTAGGTAAATGAAATATTTGGTGTAAAAGTTTGGAAACTTGTGCTTTTATTCTTAATGCATTTTGCCAAAGGAAATGTCTCTTACACTGTTTTGTTGTCGCTTTCCTTGAACTCAGTCTTTACTAGCTTTTTTTCTATTCGTTTGTCCTCTAGAGCAGACATTCTTTATTTTTTTTATTTAGTCTTTTTTTCTTTTATTATTGTGATTTTGATTTTTTTTTTCCTTCGCACCAGATAGAGCAGACATTCTTAAACCTATACTTCTAGATGTCTTTGGGAGGGTCTTTACCTCAAGATATTTATATGCAGCTGGGCAGGGTGGCTCACACCTGTAATCCTAGCACTTTGGGAAGTTGAAGCAGGTGGATTGCTTGAGCCCAAGAGTTTGAGACCAGCCTGGGAAACATGGTGAAACCCTGTCTCTACAAAAAATACAAAAATATTAGCTAAGTGTGGTGGTGTGTGCCTATAATCCTAATTACCAGGAGGCTGAGGTAGGAGGATCACCTGAGCCTAGGAGATTGAGGCTGCAGTGAGCCATGATCGTGCCACTGTACTCCAGCCTGAGCAACAAAGTGAGGCCCTGTCTCTAAAAGGAAAAAAGATGTTTACATGTAAAATTCTGTATGTACACAGTTGACCCTTGAACAACATAGGAGATACAGATACCCTGTGCGTCGAAATTCCACATAACTTTTGACTCCTCATATTATGTATGTTATGTGTATTATGTAACTGTATTCTTAAAATAAAGTAAGCTAGATAAAAATGTTATTAAGAAAATCATAAGAGAAAATATATTTACTC
This sequence comes from Homo sapiens, assembly GCF_000001405.40. Taxonomy (NCBI): domain Eukaryota; kingdom Metazoa; phylum Chordata; class Mammalia; order Primates; family Hominidae; genus Homo; species Homo sapiens. Next base: position 47,066,148 of record NC_000003.12, on the reverse strand, counting down.
TTCATTAAGTGGAAATAGATCATCATAGAGGTCTTCATCCTTATCTTCACCTTGAGCAGACTGACGAGGAAGAAGAGGGATTAGTCTTGCTGTCTTGGGTGGCACAGTTAGAAGAAAATCCACATATAAGTGGACTTTCATCCAGTTCAAACTCATGTTGTTCAAGGGTTGACTGTATTTACTTTTCTGAGGCAAGTTCAAAACTTTGATCAGATTCTCAGTCACCCCTGAAAAAGTTAGAATCATTGTTTCAGAATGGATAGCAGGGAGGCCATGGGAATCTGGTTTCTGGACTTTACCACTTAGTTACATTTCCAACAAACTTATTTATTGATTTATTTTTTAGAGACAGTGTCTTATTCTGTCATGCAGGCTGAGCACAGTGACACCATCATAGCTCTCACTGCAGCCTTGAACTCCTGGGCTCAGGCAATCCTCTTGCCTCAGCCTCTTGAGTAGCTGAGACTATAGGTGTGTGCCACCATGCCTGGTTATTTATTTATTTATTTATTTTTTGTAGAGACAGAGTCTCGCTATGTTACCCAGGCTAGGCTTGAACTCTTGTCCTTAAGTGCTCCTGTTTCCACCTCCCAAAGTGCTGGGATCACAGATGTAAGCCACTATGCCCAGCCTTAAGAATTTCCTTCCTTTCTTCCAGCACACTTACTTAGAGATTCAAGGAATAGGGTCACTTATGGTGGTTATTGGTTTCATGAGTACCTCCACCACTGACCCACTAAAAGTAGAATGAAGAAGCCAGTGTGATTTTTTTTTTTTGTCTTTTTATTTTTGGTGTGCATAACTTTTTATATAATCTTAGTCTTATTGGTTAAAGACCTGTGAGATAACCTTTGCACCATTGTTTGTCTTTCGAATATTTTTAGTTCCACTCTCTGGTTTAGTCTCTTCATAGCCTCACATTCTACTTAGGGCTGCAAATAACTCTTCCTATAAAAAAGAAGGCAGGACTGGGCAATAGTGGTTGGCAAAACCAGTGGCACCACTATAGGGTTGATTATCAGAAGCTAGCTTTCTGGGATCACTGAGTTAAAACTATTAGTAGCACACAAGCAAAGCTTAAATACCTATGAGCGTTTCTCCATAATATTTTGTAAATATCTAGTCTGGTGTGGCTAGATATTTGCAAATTATTGTGGAGAAATATTTTGCATCCATGAGATGCAGAGGATGATCTGTAATGAACAACTATATCTTTTCAGGGAGTAGCCTCTTTTCTGCCGACCTTAGTCTCTCTTTCACATGTAGAACCCTTCATCTCAGTCTCAGGTTTCTAAAATAAGAAAATGCTTATAATATATAATGCTTATAATTATTTTATATTTTTATATATTATATTATTTTATATATTTTATATATATTTACATATATATAATATATATAAGCCTGGTTTCCATTTCTTAATGTCAAACAAAGCATAGAACCTTTAAAATTTGGAAGGATTGTGAAACACTTCAGGAAATACGTAGTCTAACTTTACCCTCATTTTTATAATATTAGGAAATCAGCCTGAATAAATGGAATGACTTGTCTGCCTCACATATTCTAAGGTGCAGAGTCAGAATATGAACTGTTGGTATGATTCCTTTTTTGTTTTATCAGGGTATAGTGAAGAAATAGTCACATTTTAAGGAAATTTATACTAGGTAAGAAACCTGGGTTTGCAGGAGGAAGCAAGATAGACGTGGGTAGATCCAGATGCAACTGGATAATGGTACCTCATAAAAGGATATAGTGCTAATACCTTGTGAACTGGAGCACTTAATTTAATTATACTGCATTTTCTACCCGGATGTGGTACAAATGAGTTCTGTTAGCTTCTTGTTGACGAATGCTCATACCTGGCTGTAGTTTAGTAACCATGTTGCAAATACTTGGGGTTTTGGGCCACCTAAAAGAACTGTGAGAAATGCTTATGAAACCTAACTCGGTTGCTGAGGGAGTAAAACAACCCATAGAACATTTTTATGAGATGAGAAAAAGAAAAAGCAGTAAATGTTTATTGAGACTCTTCCTTGTCCTATGAGAGAAATTCTCAATAAGAGAGCAATACTAACATACACAAAGCAACAGCATATTATGCCAGTCAATTGATACTGAAATGTTTAGTGGTGAGATTTAGTAGTTGTTGTTTTTTTTTTTCCTCCCGAGATGGAGTCTAGCTCTGTCGCCCAGGCTGGAATGCAGTGGCGCGATCTCGGCTCACTGCAACTTCTGCCTCCCGGGTTCAAGCCATTCTCCTGCCTCAGCCTCCCAAATAGCTAGGATTACAGGCACCTGCCACCGTGCCCAGCTAATTTTTGTATTTTTAGTAGAGGAGAGTTTTTACTGTGTTGGCCAGGCTGGTCTCAAACTCCTAACCTCATAATCTGCCCGCCTTGGCCTCCCAAAGTGCTGGGATTACAAGCGTGAGCCACAGTGCCCGGCCGAGATTGACTTCTTAAGGAGATGAGAAACTAGGAGGTGTGATCAGTGAAAAGTAGTACTTAGGACAGCTTTGGAGAGCACTGGAATGGAATTGGGTAAGTGAAAACAGTGAGATTAAGAACGATTCTAGGTAAAGAGAGACACTGTAAATTAAGAAGGTTATTAATACCATCTTTGAATAGGAAGCTGGCATTCTGATTTTTTGGTTTGTCGGTTTGTTTTTTTAAGAGACAGGATCTTGCTCTGTTGCCCAGGCTGAAGCGCAGTGGTGTAAACAGAGCTCATTGCAGCCTAGAATGCCTGGGCTGAAGCAGTCTTCCTGCCTCAGCCTCTTGCAAGTAGCTGGGACTACAAGTGTGTGCCACTATGCTCAGCCTGGTATTATGTTTTTTTAAGATGTAGCTCTCTGGCTTTGATGACTTCCAAAGTTATCACCTGGGTTTGATATATTTTCCTTTTATATTTATACCTTTGACTCTTGAACAACACAGGTTTGAACTGCACAAGTCCACACATACAGTGGATTTTTTTGTCAACCAAATCTACATAGAAAATATAGTATTCATAAGATATGAAACCAGCCTATAAGGAGGGGCAACTTTTTGTATATGTGGGTTCCGTGAGGTGGATTGTGGGACTTGAGTATGCACAGATTTTGGTATGGAGAGAAGGGGGTTCCTGGAACCAGTCCCCCATTTATACCAAGAGATAACTGTAGTTCATTAAAATGTTGCCTGATAAGCCACTTTTTTAATTTTAAGAGATGGGGTCTTGCTTCGTTTGCCCAGGCTGGACTGCAGTGGTGCAATCATAGCTCACTGCTGCCTTGAACTCCTGGGCTTAAGCAATCCTCCCAGCTCAGCCTCCTAAGTAGCTGGGACTACAGCCACCATGCGTACCTTTAAAAAAAAAAATAAACTTTTCTCATTGAGGTTCTTATGCTTAGCACATCAGGCTGCTTTTCTATAGATTATAAATATGAAGAGTTATAGGGTAGTTGAAGGCTTTTACATTTTTGAACTGGCAAGTAAACTGCCTTGCTAAATGTAATGGGAATATCTTGCATGCATGTGCTCACAGAACTTATTATAGAAATGTTAACGGCTTAGACTGAGTCTTTGGAGGGAAAGAGGAGAAAAGGGCATTTGTGAAAGAGACTTTTAGTGAGTAGAGTGAACACAGACATAAGACCTTGTATCTCTTTCAAATTCAGAACTGGGTAGATGACGGAGGAGTCCATAGATACATTTGTTGGATAGAAGTTTTATTATACAGTTGATACATTGTCATGATGGAGAAAAGTCCACCAAATAAACTTAAAAAAAAAAAAAACAAACAAACCACCCTTTTCCCTTAGCAACTGAACGAGGAAGGGATGCTGTTGGCTTCAGAGATCAAACACCTGCCCCGAAGACTCCTAATAGGTCAAGAGAGAGAGACCCAGACAAGCAAACTCAAAATAAAGAGAAAAGGAAACGAAGAAGCTCCCTCTCACCACCCTCTTCTGCCTATGAGCGGGGAACAAAAAGGCCAGATGACAGGTAAGTGGCCTGTGTGAGTTTTTTTGTTTTTGTTTTTGTTTTGAGCAAGTTAAAAAGTACCCAAGTCATATACTTCTGATTGTGAACATCAAGGGCTTTTGGAATTAGTATTTGCATTTTGATGAGTGAGTATACAACTTTACTGATAATCTTAAGACAGATTCTCTGTTGACAGTAGTAGTAGCTGTGAAGATTAATAGGTTTTGATTCTTGAATGGCTCCTATTTGATAATATTTAAATGTCGTTTTGGGAGCCAAAGATTTGTTCTTTCGAGCGCAATGGGGGTTGGTGGGAGATAAGTCTTCAAAGATAATGGTTATTCTTTAAAAGCTAGAACTTTGTTTTCTTATGAGTTTTGTGCCATACTAATTAAAATGCTGATTTTTAATAAATCTAGTCAGAAGCTCTCTTGTTATGCTGGTAGAAAAACAAACCATGTAATCGTTTACTGGAGGCTAGAAAACATTTATCCCAGACAAGTTCTTTTTAAATTAAATTTGCTTTTTAAAAAATTGAGATAAAGCATTTATATACTGCATTTGGCAGAATTTTTTAGTTTTAAAGTATCTCGGTATGTAATGTGATTTTTATTTGCATTCCCCTAATTACTAAATAGATTGAACATCGTGTCATGTATTTATTGTCCATTTCTTTCTTTGGCATGTAGTTACCCAGTTTTCTCAGCACCATTTATTGAAAATGTGCTGTCCTTTCCCTACTGTAAGGTGCTGTCCTTGAAAAGGTGCTGTCCTTTCCCTACTGTAAGTTCTTGGTGCCTTTGTTGAAGTTGAGTTGGTTTATAAACGGGTGGATTTATATCTGCATTCTCTATTCTGTTCTGTTGGTCTATGTGTCTGTTTTTATGCCAGTACCATGTTGTTTTGGTTACTATAGGTTTGTATTGGCCATTTCTGTTTCCTGTTCTGTGAAGTATCTTTTTTTTTGAGACAGAGCCTTGCTCTGTTGCCCAGGCTGGAGTGCAGTGGCATGATCTCGGCTCACTGCAAGCTCCGCCTCCCGGGTTCACGCCATTCTCCTGCCTCAGCCTCCTGAGTAGCTGGAACTACAGGTGCCCGCCACCATGCCCGGCTAATTTGTTGTATTTTTAGTAGAGATGGGGTTTCACCATTTTAGCCAGGATGGTCTCGATCTCCTGACCTCGTAATCTGCCTCAGCCTCCCAAAGTGCGGGATTACAGGCATGAGCCACTGCGCCTGGCTGTTCTGTGAAGTATCTTATATGTGTTGTTCATTCATTGAATTATTTGTCTTTTTTAGTTTTATGTGTCCTTTATATTCTAAATATAATTTTGTCTTGGTGATAATTGTTGCAAATATCTTCTCCCAGTTTACGGCTTGTATTTTGACACTTTTTGTACCTTTTGATACATGGAATTTATTAATTATGGTTTAGCTGAATGTGTCATATATGGTATGTTTTCTTTATGGTTTTTTAAATTGTGTTTTTAGAAATCCTCCCTTGAGGAGGTGATTTTTTTTGTATTTTAAGAGAATTAAATCCTTAATCCATTTGCAATTAATTTTTGTATATATTATAAGGGAGGGATTCAGTTTTATTTAATACCCAATTGTCCCAGCACCATTTACTTGAAAACCCATCCTTTTCACTTGTCTGCAGTGGTGCCTCTCTCCCACAAATTTTCATATATGGGAAGATCTCTTTCTGGGGCTCATGATGACTGTAGCTTCTATTAGGTCTTGGTAGCAAATCACTACTGCCTTCTTGGTTTTCCTCTGGGAAATCTTGTCTTTTCTCAGACTTTTACTCTTCTTTAAAATCTGCTTCCTTAGAACCCTACCCACCAAAGAGATGATTCTGTAGCGACTTGACATTGATACAATTTTGAGTATGCTTATCTCTGTCTAATGAGGTCTCTGTTGAGACAGGGTCTTACTCTGTTGCCCAAGCTGGAGTGCAGTGGCATGATCATGGCTCACTGCAGCCTTGCTTTACCTGCACCAGCTCAGGCAGTCCTCCCACTTCAGCACCCATCCAGTAGATGGGACTACAAGGAAGTGCCACGATGCCCGGTTTTTTTGTTGGTTTTTTTGTAGAGACGGAGTTTCTCCATTTTGCCCAGGCTGGTCTTGAATTCCTGGGTCTCGAGGCTGGTGGATCACCTAAGGTCAGGAGTTCAAGACTAGCCTGGTCAACATGGTGAAACCCCGTCTTTATTAAAAATACAAAAAATTAGCTGGGCATGGTGGCTCATGCCTGTAATCCCAGCTACTTGAGAGGCTGAGGCATGAGAATCACTTGAACCCAGGAGGCAGAGGTTGCAGTGAGGTGAGAACACACCATGCACTCCAGCCTGGGTGACAGAGAAAGACTGTCTGAAAAAATAAATAAATAAAATGCATACAGTTTTGTAACCACCACCACAATCATGATACAGAGCACTTCCATCACCTTAAAAAATTCCCAGCCAGGCGTGGTGGCTTGTGCCTGTAATCCCAGCACTTTGGGAGGCCGAGGCGAGTGGATCATGAGGTCAGGAGTTTGAGACCAGTCTGGCCAATATGGTGAAACCCCATCTCTACTAAAAATACAAAGATTACCCGGGTGTGGTGGCACATGATTGTAGTCCCAGCTACTCGGGAGACTGAGGCAGGAGAATTGTTTGAACCCGGGAGGCAGAGGTTGCAGTGAGCTGAGATTACGCCACTGCACTCCAGCCTGGGTGACAGAGCAAGACTCCGTCTCAAAAAAAAAACAAAAAATTTGCGGCCGAGCGCAGTGGCTCACGCCTATAATCCCAGCACTTTGGGAGGCTGAGGCGGGCGGATCACTTGAGGTCAGGAGTTTGAGACCAACCTGACCAACATGGTGAAACCTGTCTCTACTAAGAATACAAAAATTAGCCAGGCATGGTGATGCACCCCTGTAATCCCAGTTACTGGGGAGACTAAGGCAGGAGAAGCACTTGAACCCGGGAGGTGGAGGTTGCAGTGAGCTGATATCACACCATTGCACACCAGTCTGGGTGACAAGAATGAGACAACCTCTCAAAAAAAAAAAAAAAAAAAAAAAAAGGCCAGGCGTGGTGGCTCACACCTGTAATCCCAGCACTTTGGGAGGTTGAAGCAGGCGGATCACGAGGTCAGGAGATCAAGACCAACCTGGCAAACACTGTGAAACCCTGTCTCTACTAAAAATACAACAACAACAACAACAACAAATTAGCCAGGCATGGTGGCGGGCACCTATAGTCCCAGCTACTCTGGAGGCTGAGGCAGAAGAATGGCATGAACCCGGGGGGTGGAGCTTGCAGTGAACAGAGATCGCGCCACTGCACTCCAGTCTGGGCAACAGAGTGAGACTCCATCTCAAAAAAAAAAAAATTCCCCTGTGCCCCTTTGTAGTCAGTCCCTTCCACATCCCTAACTCCTGGCAACCACTGATCTGCTTTCTGACCCTCTGGTTTTGTCTTCTCCATAATGTCAAAAAAGTGATATATAGTATATAGCATTTGAATTTGCCTTCTTTCACTTGTCGTATTGCATTTTAGATTCATTCATCTATGTTATTTTGTGTCTCGGTAGGTTTTTTTTTAATTGCTGAGTAGTCCATTGTATTCATGTACCATAGTTTATAAATTCATCATTTCAGAGACATTTGGCTATTGTGAATGTTGCTGCTATGTACAAGTCTTATGTGAATATTCTCCCTCTTTGTGTTTTTTTTTTTTTTTTTTTTTTTTGAGACGGTGTCTTGCCCTGTTGCCCAGGCTGGAGTGCAGTGGCGTAGTCTCAGCTCACTCCCACCTCTGCCTCCTGGGTTCAAGCGATTCTCCTGCCTCAGCCTCCTGAGTAGCTGGGATTACAGGCACACACCACCAGGCCCAGCTAATTGTATTTGTAGTAGAGATGGGTATTTCACAATGTTGGCCAGGCTGGTCTTGAACTCCTGACCTCAGGTGATCTGCCTGCCTCATCATGCCTGGCCTCTCCCTCATTTTTGAAAGGAAGTTTTTTTGGGGAAATAGTTTCTCTCAACATTCTGACTCTATTTATTCTTCAGTTTTCTGGCTTCCCTTAACTGGTTTTGTGAGACTTGGTCTAATTTTCATCCTTCTTTAATCGGGCTTTTCTCTTGGTCTGCTTTTAAGAGGCTCTCTTTGTATATGTCTTTCTGCTGTATGTTTTTATGAGGATTTCTTTTTCTTTTCCCAGTTGGAATTCATTGGACTTTTGAATTTGAAGGTTATTTTTCAACTATTTCTCTTCATATCTAATCTCCTGCTTAACCGTACTGTGGAATTTAGGGACAATAAATTGGATTGAGTATTGGATTATTTCTTGGTTTATGACACTTATTTTGTTTTTTATTTTAATTTTAGAATTTGTGATTATAGAAATGTCCCCAGCTATAAAGAATAGGATGCTGTATCTATCTTTAATCTTAAAATTCTAGAAACTAAGGGTAGAGATGAAATTAGAGATGAAATTATTTTCATCTCTTTGTCAATTCCTTGGGATTCTGTTCTGTGTGCAAGACAAGCTGAGTAATTTTGAGTATAGTTGTAAACCAGTGCCAAATAGGGTTTGATGTGGTTAGTGGTTTAGTCATGAGTGACATAATACTTATTAGTGCTTTGATTGTGTCTATGATTTAGGGAGCAACTTTTTGTGGTCCTTATTTTCTTTCTAGATATGATACACCAACTTCTAAAAAGAAAGTACGAATTAAAGACCGCAATAAACTTTCTACAGAGGAACGCCGGAAGTTGTTTGAGCAAGAGGTGGCTCAACGGGAGGCTCAGAAACAACAGCAACAGATGCAGAACCTGGGAATGACATCACCACTGCCCTATGACTCTCTTGGTTATAATGCCCCGCATCATCCCTTTGCTGGTTACCCACCAGGTTATCCCATGCAGGCCTATGTGGATCCCAGCAACCCTAATGCTGGAAAGGTGCTCCTGCCCACACCCAGCATGGACCCAGTGTGTTCTCCTGCTCCTTATGATCATGCTCAGCCCTTGGTGGGACATTCTACAGAACCCCTTTCTGCCCCTCCACCAGTACCAGTGGTGCCACATGTGGCAGCTCCTGTGGAAGTTTCCAGTTCCCAGTATGTGGCCCAGAGTGATGGTGTAGTACACCAAGACTCCAGCGTTGCTGTCTTGCCAGTGCCGGCCCCCGGCCCAGTTCAGGGACAGAATTATAGTGTTTGGGATTCAAACCAACAGTCTGTCAGTGTACAGCAGCAGTACTCTCCTGCACAGTCTCAAGCAACCATATATTATCAAGGACAGACATGTCCAACAGTCTATGGTGTGACATCACCTTATTCACAGACAACTCCACCAATTGTACAGGTAACTAATTCTGAAACTTTTCTTTTCTGCTTTATGGTCTGTTCATGGGATGTTAGTTAAATCTGGTATAGGGGAGGAAGTCTTACCATGGACTACTTGTATATATTGATCAACTTTATATGTATTGGTTATCTATTGTGTGAAATATTGCCAGAACTTGTCAGCTTAAGACAATAAGTAACTCAGAAGCAGCTTAGCAGGGTGGATCTGGCTCAGGGTTTTCCATGAAATTACAGTCAAGCTGTTGGCCATGGCTGCAGTCATCTGAAGGCTGAACTAGATATAGAGATTCACTTTCCAACCTACTCACATTGTTGTTAGCAGGCCTCCATTTCTCCCAAGGGAGAACCCTTCATCATGGTAATATTTTTGTGTTTTCTAAAAATCATGGTCAGGCCAGGCGTGGTAGCTCACACCTGTAATCCCAGCACTTTGGGAGGCCGAGGTGGACGGATCACCTGAAGTCAGGAGTTTGAGATCAGCCGGGCCAACATGGTGAAACCCCATCTCTACTAAAAAATAAAAAAAATTAGCCGGCCATGGTGGCTCATGCCTGTAATCCCAGCTACTTGGTAGGCTGAGGCAGGAGAATCGCTTGAACCCAGGAGGCAGAGGTTACAGTGAGCTGAGATAGCGTCACTGTACCCCAGCCTGGACAACAGGGCAAGATGCCATCTCAAAATAAATAAATAAATAAATAAATAAATAAATAAATAAATAAATAAAAATCATGTTTTCTTTTCTTTTTTTTTTTTTTTAGATTATACAAGGCAGAACTTTTTTTTTTTTTTTTTTTTTTTTTTTTTTTGAGACGGAGTCTCGCTCTGTCCCCCAGGCTGGAGTGCAGTGGCGCGATCTCGGTTCACTGCAAGCTCCGCCTCCCGGGTTCACGCCATTCTCCTGCCTCAGGCTCCCGAGTAGCTTGGACTACAGGCGCCCACCACCACGCCTGGCTAATTTTTTTGTATTTTTAGTAGAGACGGGGTTTCGCCGTGTTAGCCAGGATGGTCTCAATCTCCTGACCTCGTGATCCACCCACCTCGGCCTCCCAAAGTGCTGGTGGGATTACTGACGTGAGCCACCGTGCCTGGCCGGCAGAACTTTTTTTTATTTTTTATTTTATTTTAAGAGATTAGGTCTTGCTCTGCCACCCGGGCTGGAGTACAGTGATGCGATCATAGCTCACTACAGCCTTAAACTCCTGGGCTCAAGTGATCTTCCCACCTCCCAAATAGCTGGGACTACAGGTGTGCATCACTGTACCCTGCTAATTTTTTTAAGAGATGCGGTCTCACTGTGTTGCCCAGGCTGGTCTTGAACTCCTGGCCTCAAGCAGTTCTCCTGCCTTGGCCCTCCCAAAGTGTTGAGATTACAGACGTGAGCCACTGTGCCTGGCCAGCAGTACATTTAAAGCTTTGAAAAAAAAATGTTCAAAGCATTATCATCACCACATTTCTGTCTCTCTCCCAGCACTCCTCATTACCCCTTAAAAATGAATTATTGTGGATGTTGAAGACTCCCAACAATGTTTCCTGCACATAATACTTAGTATTAAACAGTAATTTTTACTTCTGTTCATATTTTCATAATGAAGCTGTATTAAAACATTTGTTAAAATGGCCATGACAAGGTATCCTGTTTTAATTACTAAAACCCTAACTGTATTAACTACTTTCATTTTTTATGATCCTTTAAAGCAAGTTTTATGTATTTTATATATTTGTCTTGACTTGAAGTTTTTTATCCCATGTTTTCCTACTTAAAATGATTTTTTTTTAAGATAGTAAGTCAGACTTTATTTAAGAGGAGCCAGTGGGGATAAGTATGGGGACCACTGTGATGGGATCTTGGAGTAGGGGAAAGAGATTTGACTCAATTCCTTAAAATGATTTGTAACCACTTTTTCAAATTATTTACTATTATACTATATGTGTGTGTGTACATATACATATACATACATAAATGTTTTAATGGGTATAATACCCTATTTGCTTATATAGTCATCCATTTTACTGGGGGTAGTCATTTAAATGAAAAGTTATTTTTCATAATTATAAATAGCATTCCATTAAACATGCTTATAGTTTTTTTCTGCTTTTTGTTTGCTGTTTGGTTTAAAATGACTGTTGTTACAGAAGGCTAGTAAAAATGTGGGCATTATTGGTCATCAGGTGTGAATTGTTTGTGTGTGTGTGTAGGGAGAGAGTATGTTTCATTCTCCCTCCTACAGAATGTTTTGGGTTTTGGTTTTGGTTTTGTTTTACTGTCAGTTTGACTTGGGTATGAGCCATATTCTTTCTTGGACCAAGCCATTAGTTTTGAGTTTTTCCCTAAAAATATGTATCAGGGATACAGTAAAAATGGTTTATGTCTATCCCCATTCCTATTCCTGAAATAGGTCCCATCTCAGTACTAGAGCCTAAGCAACAGCAATGAAAGATATCCATTAAAGACTCCTCAGTAAAGAGCTCCCTGGTCATATGATTTTTCTTATAAAATAAAATCCATTTATTCCTTCCCAATGAGAAAAAAAGATTCTCTTGGTTTTATTCATTAGCCCTAAGAGCCAAGCATCACAATTTACTTGCTTCTAGTCTTTCATTCTGTCCCTATCAAGAAGTACTTACTGATTCCCTAATCTACTTTGTGTGTACTTAAGTAGTAGGTAAATGGGCTGTGGTGGTTCAACTATCCTTCCGTTCCCCACTGTGTGAGATTAATTGATCAGATGATACTGGGCTTTGGGGGTATTGAGAAACATAGAATATATTGTTAGTATGTGTTTTGAGTCCTGGTTTATCATTTACTGTGCATCCTAGAAACAGGCATTAATATTCTTGAGTCTTTGTTTTCTCATCTATAAAATGAGCAGAATGCCTCAGAATGGTTTGATTTGCATTAAGATAAGGGATATTAATAATGATAGATTCAAAGCACCATATACCTTGATGGTTACTTACACAAATAGTTACCTTAATAGTATTCAGGGGAGATTATTGACATTAATGGGCTGTGAAGTAACATCTGGTCATGTTCATCCATCTGTTGTCTAGCCCTAAAAATCTGACCTCTAGGAGCCTTGAAGTTTGTGTTGTTGAAGCCCAGTGTTAACCATACAACATGGCTACTCAGAGTTTGCAAGCTGTGATAACCTTGGCGGTGAAGTAATATGTAACATGATATAATATACATTTACGTCTGTGTATCTACATATTCAGTATCTTTAATATTTGGAGCAAATGTGTTATCAGAGGTGACTGATTTTTTTACACAACTGCATACTAAACATAAAAGCTCAATTTTAACAGAGGTCACGTAATTTGTAGTGGTCTTGTGACACTAATAAGTGACTTACTCTCACAAAGTTATACAAAATTACATCTCAAGAGTTTGAGTGCTTAGACTATAATTTTTCATTTTAGGTTGGTGCAAAAGTAGTCATGGCTTTTGCTGTTAAAAATGGTGAAAACTACTTTTGCACTGACATAGTATAAAGTGAAGTGATCCAGATATAAAGTAATAATGATTTTTTATTATTCTAGAGGTGGTAACAGAAAAATTGTATTTTTCTCTCTATAACCTATTGGACCTTCTCACATTTCTTCTGTAATTCCCATTAGAAATCACATTTTAGGCCGGGCATGGTGGCTCACTCCTGTAATCCCAGCACGTTTGGAGGCCAAGGTGGGCAGATCACCTGAAGTCAGGAGTTCGAGACCAGTCTGGCCAACATGGTGAAACCCATCTCTACAAAAATACAAAAATTAGCTGGGCATGATGGTGGGTGCCTGTAATACCAGCTACTGGGGAGGCTGAGGCAGGAGAATCATTTGAACCCAGGAGGTGGAGGTTGTGGTGAGCCAAGATTGCGCCATTGCACTCTAGCCTGGGAGACAGAGCGAGACTCTGTCTCAAAAAATAAAAAAAAGTCACAGTTTAAAGATACTTCTAGTGGGTATATATTTGAGAAACTAGCATTCGTGTAACAATTTTTTTTTATTTTTGGAGACAGAGTCTGGCTTTATCACCCAGGCTAGAGTGCAGTGGTGCAATCTCGACTCATTGCAACCTCTGCCTCCCAGGTTCGAGATTCTCCTGCCTCAGCCTCACTAGTAGCTGGGATTACAGGTGTGCACCACCATTCCTAGCTAATTTTTTGTATTTTTAGTAGAGACAGGGTTTCGCCATGTTGGTCAGGCTGGTCTCGAACTCCTGACCTCAGGTGATCCACCTGCCTCGGCCTCCCAAAGTGCTGGGATTACAGGCTTGAACCACCATGCCTGGCCACATTTGTGTAATTTTAAGTCATTTGAATGAGTGGGCTCTTTAAATGTGATACAGGTTTTTCAGCCGGGCGTGGTGGCTCACATCTGTAATCCCAGCACTTTGAGAGGCTGAAGCAGGAAGATCACTTGAACCCAGGAGTTTGAAACCAGCTTGGGCAACATAGTGAGACCCTGTTTCTACAAAAAGTAAACAAAATTAGCCGAGTGTGGTGGCACATGCCTGTGGTCCCAGCTATTTGGGAGAGCTGAGGTGGGAAGATTGCTTAAATCCAGGAGGTTGAGGCTGCAGTAAGCCGAGATTGTGCCACCGCACTCCAGCCTGGGTACAAAAAAACGAACATTCATGTTTTTCTGTGATACAGAAAAAACAAAAATCTCGTATAGGTTTTTCCTTAGCAAATAGAAAAGTCACATGATATATGTACATGTGTCAACAAACGTGTATATCTTCTGCATTATTCCAGTCAAACTGGTTTATAGAAACCAAATTAATACTGTTAAAAGCCTAGAAGTCTAGGCTTTTAACATAAGTAGATACTGCTGTTGTTATCTCCCAGCCAACATTTGGAAGTGTTCTTCTAAACCACAGCTTTATTCCATATGAATCAAATACTAGTGTCTGCATAATGAGCCTTACTTAAACATCCGGTCTTGTCAGAAAAATTCTTCATGAACATATTGTCACTGATGGCCAAAGAAATTTTGTCTTCCAAAATATTAGCAGTTTTCTATTGTACATTTGGATGATTGACTTCCTGGTCACTCTAGAAATAACATGTTTTACCCTGGTGATTTTTTTTTTTTCAAAACTAGAATTCGAACTAGCTTTTTTATTATTTTATAAAATCAATATCAGAATATTAAATGTTCACACTCAAAATATGTTAGGTAATTATGAAACCCATTCTATTCCAAATAAGTGAAGATACCAGTAGTAGGAAATGAAGTCAAAGAAGTTACAATAGGGTCTTAGGGGGAGCTTTAAAAGGATTTTTGGTTGTTAGACTGAGTAATGTGGAAATCCACTGGAGCAGTTAGAATTGAATAGCGTGATCTGACATATTTTGAGAGGATCACTGGCTGCTCTGGGTAAAAGAGATTGCAGGAGTCAAGGGCAAAAGTAGGAGACTGGCCAGGCATGGTGGCTCATGCCTGTAATCTAAGCACTTTGGGAGGCTGAGGTGGGAGGATCGCTTGAGCCTAGTAGTTTGAGATCAGCTTGGTTAACATGGCGAAACCTCATCTTTACAAAAAATACAAAAATTAGTTGGATGTGGTGGCATGCTCCTGTAGTCCCAGCTACTCGGGAGGCTGAGGCAGGAGGATCATCTGAGCCCAGGAGGTCAAGGCTGCTGTGAGCCTTGATGGCACCACTGCGTTCCAGCCTGGGTAACAGAGTGAGACCTTGTCTCAGAAAAAAAAAAATGTAGGGAGACAAATAATGGTCATGGCAAGAGAATATGGTCACTTGCACATGGTATGAGTAGAGGGATAAGAAAATAGGCCAGGTGCGGTGGCTCACATCTATAATCCCAGCACTTTGGGAAGCCGAGGTGTGGGGATCACTTGAGGTCAGGAGTTCAAGACCAGCCTGGCCAACATGGTGAAACCTTGTTTCTACTAAAAATACAAAAAAATTAGCTGGGCTTGGTGGCGCACGCCTATAATCCCAGCTACTCAGGAGACTGAGGCAGGAGAATTGCTTGAACACAGGCAGCAGAGGTTGCAATGAGCTGAGATTGCGCCACTGCACTTCCGCCTGGGTGACAGAGTGAGACTCTGTCTCAAAAAAAAAAAAAAAAAAAAAAAAAGAGAGAGGAAATGTATACAGGTTGAGTATCCCTTATCTGTAATGCTTGGGACCTGAAGTGTTTTGTATTTCGGATTTTTTTCAGATTTGGGAATATTTACGTTATATATACTTAGTGGTAGAGCATCCCTAAGTCAAAATCCAAAATATTCCAGCGAGTATTTCCTTTGAGCACCATGTGGACGCTCAAAAAGTTTCATATTTTGTAGCATTTGGGATTTCTGATTAGGGAAATCAGAAATGTTTATGCTCAGCCTGTACATAAATACAATCATGTGCCATGCAATGGCGTTTTGGTCAACAACAGATGGCATTTATGACAGTGATCCTCGTAAGATTATTATGGAGGTGAAAAATTCTTCTGGCCTTCTGACATCTTGATGATCCTGACTCCGTGTAAGCCTAGGCTAGTGTGTGTGTTTATATCTTAGTTTTTGTTTTTTTATGTTGATACATAATAGGTGTACATATTTTCAGGGTACATGTGATAATTTAATATATTCATATAATTTGTAAAAATCAGTGTATTGAGATATCCATCACCATAAATATTTGTCTTTTCTTTATGCTAGAAACATTCAATTATTCTCTTCTAGCTATTTTGAAATATACAATAAGATTATTCTAAAATATAGATACCTTACTGATCTATGAAATACTTGGTCATGTTTCCTCTATCAAAATGTATGTTTTTCCCATATATATATATGTTTATATATATAAGAAACATAAATTTATATATATAAGAAAAACATATAAATATATGTACAAATATATAAACTTATAGAATAAGTTTATATATAATATATAAATTCAGAATAAGTTTATATATATAATATATACTATAAACTCAGAATAAATTTATATATTATATATAATATAAACTCAGAATAAGTTTATATATATAATATATATAATATAAACTCAGAATAAGTTTATATATAATAATATAAACTCATAGAATAAGTTTATATATATAATATATAATATAAACTCAGAATAAGTTTATATATTTAATATATAATATAAACTCATAGAATAAGTTTATATATAGGCCAGGCGCGGTGGCTCACACCTGTAATCCCAGCACTTTGGGAGGCTGAGGCGGGCGGATCACAAGGTCAGGAGATCGAGGCCATCCTGGCTAACAAGGTGAAACCCCATCTCTACTAAAAATACAAAAAATTAGCCAGGTGTGGTGGTGGGCACCTGTAGTCCCAGCTACTCGGGAGGCTGAGGCAGGAGAATGGCGTGAACCCGGGAGGCGGAGCTTGCAGTGAGCCGAGGTCGTGCCACTGCACTCCAGCCTGGGCGACAGAGCCAGACTCTGTCTCAAAAAAAAAAAAAAAAGAATAAGTTTATATATATAAGAATACATATATATATATATATATATATATATATATATATATATATATATTTAGAAAACTTATTCTATAAAAAACTTATAGAATAAGAATAAGGATATAAAAAAAATATTTGGCCCAGTGTGTTGTCTCACATCTGTAATCCCAGCAATCTGGGAGGCCAAGGCAGGAGAATCACTCAAACACAAGAGTTCAAGACTAGCCTAGACAACATAGCGAAACCCTGTCTCTACAAATTTGTTTTTAATTAGCTGGGCGTGGTGGCACATACTCGGGAGGCTGAGATGGGAGGATTGCTTCAGTCCAGGAGTTCAAGGCTACAGTAAGCTATGATCACACTACTGCATTCCAGCCTGGGTGACAGAATGAGACTCTTTTTTAAAAAAAATATAGGCCAGGCACGGTGGCTCACACCTGTAATCCCAGCACTTTGGGAGGCTGAGGTGGGCAGATCACAAGGTTAGGAGATGGAGACCATCCTGGCCAACATGGTGAAACCCCGTCTCTGCTAAAATAAAAAAAATTAGCCAGGCGTGGTGGCACGCACCTGTAGTCCCAGGTACTCGGGAGGCTGAGGCAGGAGAATTGCTTGAACCCGGGAGGTGGAGGTTGCAGTGAGCCCAGATCGCACCACTGCTCTCCACCCTGGCGAGGAGGAGGGAGGAGGGTTGTTTATACAGCTGTAGAATGTGTTTGTATTTTAAGATAAGTGTTATAAAAGAGTTAAAAAGTTGAAAAAATTTGTTTATAAAGTAAAAAAGTTATAGTAAGTTACAGTTAATTTATTAAAAAAATGTTAATAAACTTAGTGTAGCCCAAGTGTTTATAGTCTACAGTAGTGTACAGTAATGTCCTAGGCCTTCATATTCACTCACTCACCACTCACTTACTCAAAGCAACTTCCAGTCCTGCAAGCTTTGTTTATAGTTAGTTCCCTATACAGGTGTACCATTTAAATTTTGTTTTTTTGAGACGGCATCTCGCTCTGTTGCCCAGGCTGGAGTGCAGTGGTGCCATCTCGGTTCACTGCAACCTCTACCTCCTGGGTTCAAGCGATTCTTCTGCCTCAGCCTCCTGAGTGGCTGGGACTACAGGTGCATGCCACCATGCCTGGCTAATTTTTTGTATTTTTAGTAGAGATGGGATTTCACCGTGTTAGCCAGGATGGTCTCGATCTCCTGACCTCGTGATCCGCCCACTTTGGCCTCCCAAAGTGCTCGGGTTGCAGGTGTGAGCCACCGTGCCCCGGCCTAAAAAATTTTTATACTGTATTTTTACTGTAACTTTTCCATGTTTAGATACACAGATACTGTTAAGTTATAGTTGCTTACAAGTCTTTATTACAGAAACATGCTGTACAGGTTTGTAGCCTAGGAACAACAGACTATACCATATAGCCTAGGTATCTAATAGATTTGTGAAGTACACTGTATGATGTGTAAGTACCTCATACACTTAGTAGGTTTGTGAAAGTACATTATATGATGTTACCACAACAATGAAATCTCCTAACAATGCATTTCTCAGAATGTACCCCCCTTGTTAAGCAATACATGACTGTACATTTTCCTCTCAGGCTTTGTGATACTATTCTGATGGTAATTCTGCCTTAACAATTAATGTTTTTCAGTCTGGTTTATTATCCAAGTAGATTAAGCTGATCCAGAATACCAAATTAAGTGTTCTTTTCCTTTTTCCTGTGTCCTGTCAGTAATTATTCATTCAGAAACCTGCTAGATAGCTGCATTGCCTATTCAGACTACTTGAGTTTTTACTGGTGTCATTTGGAATTATATTTTGTATTTTGAGTACTTAGCATTTGATGTTTCTGTAATCATTTTACCTGCTAGAATCTCAGTCCATAGGAGCAAAATCTCTCCTTAAGCACAGGATACATGTCTATTCAATTCCTTAACAGTCACCACCTCTTAGGACAGCAAGGCTATTTTTCAGTCTTCTTATCACCTCTTCTTATTTAAGCAGATTTTCTATGCTTGAGAAATAATTACAGAGTAGGTTTAAGCCCTAGCATAGTACTTATTTCTTATGAAACTCCAGGCATGGGCAGTACCTGGTTTTGATGGTGGTCAGCACTAAATGAGATGATGTATGTTAAGGGGCTTCTTGCATCATAGAACACTGTATAAATTGGTGTGTTGTGAGAATTTCAGATGCATTGATTCTGCTTTCTGCCAAGGGGTTTTATCATAGAAGACTACAAAAAGCTAAAACAAAAGGTAGCTTAAAATTTGATCATCTTATTTACTATGATTCACACCCTTTGACCTTTTCTGATCCAAACAACCTGTTTGTTATTACAAGTTGGTAGCAAAAGCCTTCCTGAAAAGAGCAGCGTGGCATTGTTTCTTGGATATCCCAGGAGCAGCACTTCATTGGTTTTTGCTTATAGAAACTGTCCACCTGTTTAATTTTCAATGTCATTCCAATGTCATTGAAAGCTAAACAGTTGGAGAATTTCTATGACCAAAAAAAAAAAAGCTTTTATTTTCTTATGATAAAGTAAAATCAAAGTAAGTAAATGAATAGGGAATTAGTAAAAAAAGAAACTTTGGGGTTTGAAACAAAAAATTGTTTTGCACATTTATGTCCAAATATATAAACAAAAAATTTTAAAATGTTATGGGTATATCTTTAAGATTGTGCCAACTTGGAAGTCAGTCTGTTTATTAAAGTGACAAAAGCTTAAATTATTGATTTCTTCATTTTATCTTTTAGAGTTATGCCCAGCCAAGTCTTCAGTATATCCAGGGGCAACAGATTTTCACAGCTCATCCACAAGGAGTGGTGGTACAGCCAGCCGCAGCAGTGACTACAATAGTTGCACCAGGGCAGCCTCAGCCCTTGCAGCCAGTAAGAAATGTTTCAGTTGTTAAAACTCATTGGCTGTCTACTTTGTCTTTGGAAGGTTTTCTTTTTGGTTTGGATTTGTTTTGGGTTTTATTTTTGGGTTTTTTTTTCACGTGTTCTTTGTTTTATTTTATTTTATTTTATTTTTTTTTTGAGACAGAGTCTCGCTCTGTCACCCAGGCTGGAGTGCAGCGGCACAATCTTGGCTCACTGCAACCTCCACCTCCTGGTTTAAAGCGATTCTCCTGCCTCAGCCACCTGAGTAGCTGGGATTACAGGTGTGTGCCACCACGCCTGGCTAATTTTGTATTTTTAGTAGAGACGGAGTTTCCCCATGTTGACCAGGCTCGTCTTGACCTCATGACCTCAGGTGATCCACCCGCCTCAGCCTCCCAAAGTGCTGGGATTATTTATAGGCATGAGCCACCACGCCCGGCCCGTTTTTAAATTTGTGTAGCCACCAAATTCACCTGAGCCACCCTGAGGGCGTGAACTCAACCATTTTGTAAAAAAAAAATTTTTTTAATTCTGTGGAATTTATAGTTCCGTTAATACATATTTTGCTCCGCACCTGTAGTCCCAGCTACTCAGGAGGCTGAGACAGGAGAATGGCGTGAACCTGGGAGGCGGAGCTTGCAGTGAGCTAAGATCGCGCCACTGCACTCCAGCCCAGGTGACAGAGCAAGACTCCATCTCAAAAAAAAAAAAAATGCTCCTAGGATCCTTTTTATTTGTTGTTTACCCTGACCTTGTATTTTTATATTTTACTATGAATTTTTGAAGTAATAATTTTTTTTTTTTTTTAACTCTGTCACCTAGGCTGGAGTGCAGTGACACGATCTTGGCTCACTGCAACCTCCACTTCCTGGGTTCGAGTGATTCTCCTGTCTCAGCCTCCTGAGTAGCTGGGACTACAGGTGTGCATCACTGCACCCAGCTAATTTTTGTATTTTTTTTTTTTTTTTTTTTTAAGAGATGGAGTCTTGCTCTGTCGCCCAGGCTGGAGTGCAGTGGCATGATCTCGGCTCACTGCAAGCTCCGCCTCCTGGGTTCTCACCATTCTCCGGCCTCAGCCTCCTGAGTAGCTGGGACTACAGGCGCCCGCCACCACGCCTGGCTAATTTTTGTATTTTTAGTAGAGACGGGGTTTCGCTGTGTTAGCCACGATGGTCTCAATCTCCTGACCTCGTGATCTACCCGCCTTGGCCTCCCAAAGTTCTGGGATTACAGGGATGAGCCACTGTGCCCAACCTTAATTTTTGTATTTTTAGATACGGGGTTTCACCATGTTGGCCAGGCTGGTCTTGAACTCCTGACCTCATGATCCGCCCGCTTCAGCCTCCCAAAGTGTTGGGATTACAGGCGTGAGCCACCACACCTGGCCGAAGTAACAATTTCCTAGACCAGCTATCTATCAGTATTTACCGCGTACAGGTTGAGTATCCCTTATCTGAGCTTCACGGGACCAGAAGTATTTCACATTTCAGAATTTTATGGATTCTGGAATATCTGCACTATAATTACCACTTGAGCATCTCTAATTTGAAAATGTATAGCTTGAAATATTCCAATAAGCATTTCCTTTGAACATGGCCTTTGAGTGTCATGTCAGCACTCAAAATGTTTTGTATTTTTGTATTAGGGCTGCTTAACCTGTACTAGAATATGATACTGTACTAGTCACCATGGACTAGGCATGTAGAATTGTGTGATATACTTCACTATACATGTTGTACAATGTTTAAAAAAAGTTTTTTATATGATGTTTAATATTAAGATAAGCTTTTGGTATTCTGCAACATATGTAGGAGGATATGGTGAAATCTCAAAGTGTTGTTGTTTTTGGATAAAGTGGAAAATAAGAGGTTGGCATGGGAAACAACTGAAAAAACTAAACAGAATAGCATGGTCAAATCAGCACTTTAGAACACCTACAGTTCTGGAGAAAGCTCTTGCAGCAATCCAGCAATTGATGATGACTTTAGACAGGACAGTTAGTGAAGATGGACTAAAAATACTATATGTGAAATAACAGGATAATAAGATAATGTGTACTTAGAGCAGATGTTTGAGTGCTTGTTACGAGTTGAGCCCTTCTAGGCCTTTTTTTTTTTTTTTTTTTTTTTTTTTTTTTTTTTTTTTTTTGAGATGAAGTCTTGCTTTGTTGCCCAGCCTGGAGTACAGTGGTTTGATCTCGCGGCTCACTGCAACCTCCGCCTCCCAGGTTCAAGCAGTTCTCCTGCCTCAGCCTCCTGAGTAGCTGGGATTACAAGTGCACACCACCACACCTGGCTAATACTTTTGTATTTTTAGTAGAGACAGGGTTTCACTATGTTGGCCAGGCTGGTCTCAAACTCCTGACCTCGTGATCCACCTGCCTCGGCCTTCCAAAGTGCTGGGATTACAGGCATGAGCCACTGTGCTTGGCCGACTAGGCATTTTTAATACAAACATAAATAAGTTTCCATTTGTATTCTTAAAAGCTGATCTTTCAAATAAGAGAGATGATGATCACAAGAGAAAGATGGTGACTACACTAAAAATAAAGTTTTGTGTTGGGAATAAGTACTGAATGGTTTGGAATATATATTTTTTCTTTTTTGCCTTAAACTATTAAGAGATAAATGGTTTGGAATATTAAGGGACACAGAAGCTTGGGGAAAAGAGGTCACTTTATAAGCTAAAGGATAGGGTAATGGAGGAATTGAAACTTAAGCTGGGCCAGAAAACCCCAGCTGGGTGAAATAAGAGATAAAAAAGAGTATACACAAAGCAAGAATGCTCAAAGACCCGTGTTTGCTTAAAAGTGAACACATTTTATCTGAGCCTGGGGTCTTCAGGTTCCTCTTTAACTGTGCAAGCAAAGGTAAAGGTAAAAAATGTATTCTTCATTAATAGGCTTGAAAGAAGGAACAAGTATATATCCTTGTGGTGATTACTAGTCTGCTAGGGCTGCGGTAACAAAATACCACAGACTGAGTGGATTAAATAACAGAAATTTTCTCACAGTTCTTGAGGCTGGAAGTCCAAGATCAAGGTGTCAGCAGTGTTGGTTTCTCCTGAGGCCTCTCTCCTTGGCTTGCAAATGGCTGCCTTCTTGCTGTATATACCTTTTCTCTGTGAGTGTCCTCTGGTGTCAGTTCTCTTTTAATAAGGACACCATCCTATTAGATAAAAAGTCCTCACTCTTTTGACTTCATTAATCTTAATTAGCTCTTTACAGGCCCTGTGTCCCAGTAACAGTCACAGCAGGATTAGAGCTTCAACATACATGTTTTGGGGAAACAAAAATCAGTCCATAAGTGATTATGAGGTTTTTATGTTTTTCAGAATGTGGCACTAATATTTTATAGTTTTGAGGTTTCAAGTACGGAAAAAATATAATGGATAATGTTAACATTCTGTCATATTTGCTTCTCAGGGGGTTTTTTGGTTTTTCTTTTTTTTTTTTTTTAAAGATAAAGATATTTCTGTATCCCATTTAGTTAATTGGTATCCTGCAGTTGATATGCCTTAGAATTGGTGTTTTAAAGTTGAAAAATGCTGCTCTATATGATAAACTATATGGTATCTTGGATGGTAAACTTAGAGCCAACTGTCAATTTTCTGATAGCTCTGTAAACCTCTTTATATATACTGTCCCTTATTTCCCAGACTGTACCTTTCCTTTATCCTTTTTTTAAGAGGAGGTAGATGTACATTTTTACATATTTAAGTGGGCTATTTTGTCCTATTCAGCCAGATTAAGAGAGAGATCACTGATCAAAAATGTGTGTGTTTTCTTTGTAGTCTGAAATGGTTGTGACAAATAATCTCTTGGATCTGCCGCCCCCCTCTCCTCCCAAACCAAAAACCATTGTCTTACCTCCCAACTGGAAGACAGCTCGAGATCCAGAAGGGAAGATTTATTACTACCATGTGATCACAAGGTAAGAGGAGCTGTATGGGCGTTCCCATGTCTGCTTTTACTTAATCAAAGAAGTTGCCACTATAAGGGGAGTTTTACAGTTGTAAACTTCTTGTCATTAGCTTTTCACTGTGCTTGAAGGCTGCTGGATTTCCAGAATCACATCTTAAGTGTATTTTAGACGTTAGACTTTGGTTCTTTTTGTATTTGTTTTGGTGTATTTTTATTTTATTTATTTTGTCACCCAGGCTGGAGTACAGTGGTGTGATCTCAACTCACTGCAACCTTCTGCTCCCATGTTCAAGTGATTCTCGTGCCTCAGCCTCCCCAGTAGCTGGGATTACAGGCATGTACCACAATGCCTGGCTAATTTTTGTGTTTTTAGTGGAGACGGGGTTTCACCATGTATGTTGGTCAGGCTGGTCTCGAACTCCTGACCTCAGGTGATCTGCCCTGCCCGCCTTGGCCTCCCAAAGTGCTGGGATTGAGCCCCTGCACCTGGCAGTTTTGGTGTATTTCTAATCTGCAAGACTCTTGGAGAAAGCTGAGGAGATTTTTTAAATGCTCCTTCATCTAATATTGTATAAGTATCAGGGGTCATAGACAGATCTTTTCTGTAAAAGGCCAGAAAATAAACATTTTAGGTTTTGCCAGCCAAGCAGTCTATATCATAGCTACTCAACTCTGCTGTTCAATTTTTTTTACGGACAGCGCTTTTCTATTTCCAAATTAAATAGCTAGATTGTTTATCCTTGACACACATTATTTATGCTTACTGTAGAAAGCAAATATAGTAGAAAAGTACTAAAAAAGGAAGTATAATTCCTGGAACTGCCACTACTCAGAGATAACTCATTTAATGTTTTTAAAAAATACCGTTTAGACAGATAGCTTTATGTGGGTATATGTACTTTGTGTGTGTGTGTCTCTGTGTGTGTGTGTGTGTATATATACACCCATCTATATAATCTTACGTAAATTGTTAAGATAGATGTTTTTGTAGTCTGCTTTATTTACTAATCTATTTCATAGAGCTTTATCAATTAACATAGAACTATGGAATTTTTTCTTTAAAATTTTTTTTTTCTTTTTTTTGTAGAGACAGAGTCTTTCTTTGTTGCCCAGACTGATCTGCACGAACTCCTGGCTTCAAGCGATCCTCCCACCTAAGCCTCCCAAAATGCTGGGATGACAGGCGTGAGGCACCACACCCAGCTACAACTGTTAGTTTTAGTAATTGTTTATACTTTGCTGCAGGGCTGGCAAACTATGCCCACAGGCCACTTGTTTTGGCAAATAAAGTTTTATTGGAGCACAACCATGCACATTTGCTTACAAATTGTCTATGGTTGCTTTCACACTACAATGACAGAGTAGTTGTGATAGAAACCATTTGGCCCACAGGTCAAAATATTTATCATCTAATCATTTACAGAGAAAGTTTGCCAACCCCTGCTCTATTGTATAGCTATATCAAATTGTATTTAACTCACTCTCATTGATAGGTCTTCACTATTTTATATCTAACTATAACCTTGGGCATCCTTAGGGACACTAATCTTACTACTTCTTCGAGAGGGTACTTAGAAGTGGAATTGTTGGGCAAAACAGGTACACATTTTAAATTGAGAAATATTGTCAGCTTACCATTAAACAATAGTTTGTATCAATTTGGACTCTCACAAAAAGAAGTATGTATAAGTTCCTTTTAGCCATGTACAGCAGCTCATGCCTATAATCCTAATGCTTTGGGAGGCTGGGGCAGGAGGATCGCTTGAGGCCAGGAGTTTGAGACCAGCTTGGGCACCATAGTGAAACCCCATCTCTACAAAAAATACAAAATTAGCTTGGCATGGTGGTGTGCACCTGTAGTCACAACTAGTTGGGAGGCTGAGGCGAGAGGATCACTTGAGACAGGAGGTCAGATCTGTAGTGAGCCATGATTGCGCCACTGCATTCCGGCCTGGGTGACAGAGCAAGACCTTGTCTCCAAAAAAAAAAAAAAAAAAAAAATCCTTTTCCCTCATGTCATCTATTTTAACCTTGCAAGTCTAACAGGTGGGAAATATTTTTATTTTCAGTTATTTTACTATTGAGATGGGATGTCTTCATTCGATTGTTGGTCATTTGTATCTTTTGTGAGTTACTTGTGTGGGCCATCTACCCATTTTCTGTCCAGTGTTAGATTTCTTTATCAAGAGTTTTGTTTCTGATATCTTGTGACATAAAGAAGCTTAAAATTTTCATATATTTTCCCTTTCTGCTTAGAAGGGCCTTCCTTACTCGCATTAAAATGCTTCTATAGGCTGGGTGCAGTGGCTCACACCTGTAATCCCAGCACTTTGGGAGGCCAAGATGGGCAGATCACCTGATTTCAGGAGTTCAAGACCAGCCTGGCCAACATGATGAAACCCCGTCTCTACTCCAGATACAAAAATTAGTTGGGCTTGGTGGCAGGTGCCTGTAATCCTTCCTACTTGGGAAGCCGAGAGGCGGGAGAATTACTTGAACCCTGGAGGCAGAGGTTGCAGTTAGCTGAGATCGCGCTACTGCACTCCAGCCTGGGTGACAGAGTGAGACTCTATCTCAAAAAACAAAAAGGCTTTTATAAAATGAGTCCTCATTATGTTGCTAATTGAATGTGTAATGATTTTAAAAACCACGTGTGGTTTAACCAGAACTTTTTTTTTTTTTTTTTGAGACAGAGTTTTCACTTTTGTTGCCCACGCTGGAGTGCAGTGGCGTGATCTCGGCTCACTGCAACCTCTGCCTCCAGGGTTCAAGTAATTCTCCTGCCTCTCAGCTTCCTGACTAGCAGGGATTACAGGCACCTGCCACCATGCCCAACTAATTTTTTTTTTTTTTTTTTTTGTATTTTCGGTAGAGACAGGGTTTAACCGTGTTGGCCAGGCTGGTCTCAAACTCCTGACCTCAGGTGATCCACCTGCCTCGGCCTCCCAAAGTGCTGGGATTACAGGTGTGAGCCACCACACCTGGCCAGAACTTTGTTTTTTAACACCAAAACAAATTTTAAATATTCTATCAATCTTCCAAAAATAAAAAAAGTTTGGGCCGGACATGGTGGCTTACGCCTGTAGTCCCAGCACTTTGGGAGGCTGAGGTGGGCGGATCATGAGGTCAGGAGTTTGAAACCAGCCTGACCAACATGGTGAAACCTCACCTATACTAAAAATACAAAAATTAGCTGGGCGTGGTGACACGCACCTGTAATCCCAGCTACTCAGGAGGCTGAGGCAGGAGAATCACTTGAACCCAGGAGGCAGAGGTTGCAGTGAGCTGAGATCACGCCATTGCACTCCAGCCTGGGTCACAGAGCGAGACTCCATATCAGAATAAAAAAAAAAAAAAGTTTGTATTTCTTATTTATATGTGTACCTTTCCCATCTTTTCTAGGTTTTCTTTATCTGGTAGCTAAGAACAGACATGTATATATTTGTTCAGTTTCTATAATAACATCCTTAGCTGCTTGTGGTTCTTTTATTATGGTAGAAATCTTGAGCCTTTTAAAATAAATGAGTTCCATAGGTCAGAGGTAAGCCTATTTTTACAATAGTCTATATATATGTATATACACTGATTTATATCAAGTGTCTTTAATGTTGTTATGTTGTTGACTGAAGATTGATGTGGTGGTAAAGCAGAAGACTGTAGTGACAAGACTGACCTGCCAGATTTGTTAGATCCTTTGAGGCTTTTGACATTTTAAGTCACTGTCCTCATAACATTCTCTGTTACAGCTGGCTTCAGACTCCTGAACGTGAATATCCTTACTTCCACTTTTTATCCTACAGATCTTTTTTAAAAAAGAAAAATCTTTGCTTGCTTATTTTCAAAATGACTGTAAACATTTAAAGGGTTAACATGGCCGAAACCTTCTTTTTGCAGTCGGTCGGGAATATTTTTAGCAGAGGGTACAAGTTTTTGTTTTTTTTTTTGTTTGTTTTTTAAGACAGAGTTTCACTCTTGTTGCCCAGGCTGGAGTGCAATGGCACGATCTTGGCTCACTGCAACCTCCGCCTCCCAGGTTGAAGTTATTCTACTGACTCAGCCTCCTGAGTAGCTGGGATTACAGGCGCCCGCCACCACGACTGGCAAATTTTTTGTATTTATAGTAGAGATGGGGTTTCACCGTGTTGGCCAGGCTGGTCTCGAACTCCTGACCTCAGGTGATCCACCTGCCTCAGCCTCCCAAAGTGCTGGGAGTACAGGCATGAGCCACCATGCCTGGCCAGGGGTACAAGTTTTTAACCTGTACGTATTTTTCTTGTCAGTCATTAAACCAGAGGGGCAGAACTATTAAAAAGAAAACTCCTAAAGCAAGGGATAATTTTCTCACGTGGTCAAGGACTGTGAGAGGTGTTACATGATTTATTTTGCTCCATTTATATGCTAGGTACAGTCACTGTTTACCTCTTCATCTACAGAGGGGTGACATAGGCAGGGACCTATTTCCTGTACATTTTAGGCTTTGCCCAGTCTTATTTGCATGACATTAAGAGTCAGGTGAGAGACAGACAGGATGTTTGGGTTTACTGCTCTCTTTGACACCCAGTCAGTGTTGCCACATCATTGCCCACAGAAATACAGTCATTGAAGAGGGGCATATCTCTGTGCTAGAATCATTGCTGTTAGGAAGATAGAAAAAGTTTGTCTTTAACTCATGGAGCTGACTTATTCTATGTCTTATTGTATGTTGTATTTTATGTATGTATGAGCAGTGATGTTTATGTCAGGATTCTCTGTTTCCTAGCCCTGACAGCATGGCTGTTTTTGTCTCTTTCTAGGCAGACTCAGTGGGATCCTCCTACTTGGGAAAGCCCAGGAGATGATGCCAGCCTTGAGCATGAAGCTGAGATGGACCTGGGAACTCCAACATATGATGAAAACCCCATGAAGGTGAGTGTGGCTTACACATGTATTTCCTGATCATTTGGGAGTCCGTCCAAGACCATCCCGCATGGTCTTGGGATTCTTTTTTCTTTATTCTGAAAAATAAGTGAGTGACTATGCATGTATCAAGGTGTAGAGATGAAGTCAGGGAGAAAGAATGGCCTTTTTACATATACACCATGGAATACTATGCAGCCATAAAAAATGATGAGTTCATGTCCTTTGTAGGGACATGGATGAAACTGGAAATCATCATTCTCAGCAAACTATCGCAAGGACAAAAAACCAAACACCGCACGTTCTCACTCATAGGTGGGAATTGAACAACGAGAACACATGGACACAGGAAGGGGAACATCACACTCTGGGGACTGTTGTGGGGTGGGGGGGAGGGGGGAGGGATAGCATTAGGAGATATACCTAATGCTAAATGACGAGTTAATGGGTGCAGTACACCAACATGGCACATGTATACATATGTAACAAACCTGCACGTTGTGCACATCTACCCTAAAACTTAAAGTATAATAATAATAAAATAAAAAAATATAAAAAATAATCCCATTACAACCCTGAATCCCTTTTCAAAAAAAAAAAAAAAAAAAAAAAAAAGAATGGCCTTTTTTAGACATTGAGAGACTCAGATGCATACTAACTACTTACTCATTTGAGGGAGATATATGGCCAAGAATTGTGATGGGTGTTCAAAACACCCATTACTATGATCGCTTCAGGGCCTCTCTTGTTCTCTTTGCCTTTTTTTTTTAAATGAGACGGAGTCTCACTCTGTTGCCCGGGCTGGAGTGCAGTGGTACAATCTCGGCTCACTGTAACCTCTGCCTCCTGGGTTCAAGCAATTCTCCTGCCTTAGCCTCCCGAGTAGCTGGGACTACAGATGTGCACTCCACGCCCGGCTAATTTTTGTATTTGTAGTAGAGACAGGGTTTCACCATGTTGGCCAGGCTGGTTTTGAACTCCTGACCACAGGTGATCTGCCTGCCTTGGCCTCCTGAAGTGCTGGGATTATAGATGTGAGCCACCACGCCCGGCCTCTCTTTGCATTCTGTTGTTAGTGCCCATAACATATGCTTTCGTGATTGGTCTGTTCAAAACCAATAGGAGGGGTGGGTTTTGTTGTTGTGTTTTTTGTTTTTTTTGGTGTGATCTTGGCTCACTGCAACCTCTGCCTCCTGGGCTTCAGCAGTTCTCATGTCTCAACCACCCAAGTAGCTGGGATTATAGGTGTGCGCCACCATGCCTGGCTAATGTTTGTATTTTTAGTAGAGATGAGGTTTTATCGTGTTGCCCAGGCTGGCCTTGAACTCCTGACCTCAAGCAATCTGGCTGCTTCAGCCTCCCAAAGTGTTGGGATTACAGGCATGAGCCACCACAGCTGACCGTATGAAGTGTCTTGAATGAAATCAGATATCATATTTTTATGTTCTAAAACCTGACTAATATTTTTTTAATTTTGAAAAGAATTAAGTACTTCAGTGGTTAAATTATTGGGAATAGGTGGAAGAAGGAAGAGGGAAGAAAAGGAGCTGGAGTGAGAAGGGATTAAAGTAGAAATGAATTCATTCTTGTTTATATTTTATTCACTTTTGGAGGAAATATTTTCCTCTTTTCACATGTGTTTGGCATTTGCAAAAAGATACACACTTACGTTCAATCCATGTGGAGTTTGCTAAATTTCAAATGAATCACATAAATCACTTAGCCACTTCACTCCAGCTGTTGTGCTGTCTTGTTTTCCTGAATCATTTAGGAATATGCCCAAGACTGCTAGGCACTTGACATTTAAATTATATGTAAGCTTAAATACAAACAAAAATCACAACTCCCATTTCCAGACTTCTGTACTGTGTTAGTTATATCTTTTGAAAAATAAACAAAGGGATTAAGATAAGATCTGGTGCAGCAATACAGCTGAGTTCTGGGGCCAAGTTTATAAAGCATGTTGGAGGCCTTACCCTTCTTAAAAGCCCAAGTTCATGGGCACCGTAACTATTAATCTTGATTCAGTCTTTTGGTCTAGTATATGCATATTAAATTAGGCCTTTCAAAGCGAATGAGGAATGGGCATGAAGTTCACTGTTGCTTATTTAATGCTCAAGGAATTGCCTTTCTTATATGAAGACCTGTGTTAGGAAATCCAGGTCATCAAACTAGCCAAGCACAAAGTAGGAGCTGAGAAGTAGGGGCCAAGTAAAAGGGCAGCTTATGTGCCATGCTACACAATTAGACGTTCATTCTCTGGCTAGCTGGTGAGAAAGGGAAACCTTTAAAGTGATTTGATCAGTAACATTTGCCTTTTACAAGGCTCTCTGCTGGAGATGGACTGGAGGGGTTGACCATGGAGCTGGCGCCTTCACAATGAGCTTATTGTAGTAGTTAGGTCTGCTCAGCACCCAAGAGCACCAGGCACCACCTGTTAAAAATGCAGAGTCTCACTCCCTGTCCCAGACCTGCTAGATCAGAATCTGAAGTGATACAAGGTCCCAAGGTAATTACACATTCAAGTCTAAATAATTGGCAGTATTGTCTGTGATCAACTGTAAGAGAAGTATGATCATAAAACCTTACTATATCCAACCACCCAGAGTGAGTATATTTGTCAGGTTATGTTTGATCTTTACTCCTCTGTTACCATAGGTGCATGTGTGCCTGGGGAGTAGGCTCTTGAAAGTATTATATCCAAAAGGCAATGCCTGAATTATAATCTACTAGCTTGGAACTTTGGATCTCTAAATACACATTTTAAATACACACAGATCTGAACTTCATCTCACTCTTTCACATTTTGGTTATTTATCAGACATTTGAGTTCCTATTCAGCACAAATGCCATGCCCAGACCTGGGGGTACAAAAACAGTATAAGGCAAGGCTATTGCTCCCAGGGGTCATAGGAAGGTAAGGTTTGAAAATGTACGGTATTATATGTTAAGTGGTAAACTGAGGGATTTATTTATTTTGTCATTTGATTTGCTTTGCTTTGTTTTTAGAGGCAGGGTCTCCCTCACTCTGTAGCCCAGGCTGGAGTACAGTGGTGCAAGCATAGCTTACCGTAACCTCGAACTCTCAGGCTCAAGTAATCCTTTCGTCTCAGCCTCCTGAGTGGCTAGGACTATAGGTACATGCCACCATGCCTGGCTAATTGTTAAAAATTGTTGTAGAGACAACAAACAAGGACTTTAGAGGCCTGCAAAAGAAAATATAGTCTATCCTAGGAAGGAAAAGAGCACTAAACTAAATCTAACACTTAATTCACAATTAATTCTGATATATTGATATGCTCATGTGTGTTGGGGGAGGTACATGTATAAAAACGAAAGGGAACGGGAGATTATAAAGAGAAAACATTCCTCCTAATACTAGCTCTTAACTGCCTCGGGGGGTTATAGAGTAGTAGTTCCAATGGAGATTCAAAGGTATCAGCTTCACTCAGTTGTTAGAGAAGATTGGAGAGGCACTTTTATTCTTTTCTGCCATTGTATGTATACATAAATAAATCCGCAAATAATAATGAGAGTGCAGAAAGAATTAAGCTGCCAAATGTATTTCCTGTTGTGAACAAATAAAGGTAGAGGTCTTCTCTCCCAAAAAGAATAATCATAGGCTAGGCACGGCAGCCTACTTTGGGAGGCTGAGGTGGCCCGATCACTTGAGGCCAGGAGTTCAAGACTAGCCTAGCCAACATGGTGAAACCCTGTGGCTCAAGCCTGTAATCCTAGCACTTTGGGAGGCCCAGGCAGGTGGATCACCTGAGGTCAGGAGTTTGAGACCAGCCTGGCCAACATGGTGAAACACTGTCTCTACTAAAAATAGAAAAATTAGCTGGGCATGGTGGCACATGCCTGAGCACATGGTAATCCCAGCTGCTTGAAAGGCTGAGGCAAGAGAATCGCTTGAACCCGGGAGACGGGGGTTGCAGTGAGCCAAGATTGCACCACTGCACTCCAACCTGGACAACAAGAGCGAGACTCTGTCTCAAAAAAAAAAAAAAAAAAAAAAAAAATCAAACCATGACAGGGCTTATAACTTTAGTTACTTGAGTGCAAGTGTTAAGATTTGGTCTTGGTTTTCAGTCAGAAATTCACATATACAATCAATCAGATTAACTTCTCTATACTCAAGAGCTGAGTCCCCCTCAGTTCTTAGGAGATACACACATTCCCCTAGGCTTCAAGCCAGCCTCCTTCTAGATTACTTCTCCTTCAAGCCTGTCCCTGCCTACACTGGCAGTCCTGCACCATGTGCTTCCTCAGCATGGTACAAATGGTTGCTTATAGCTCTGTTATGCTTTTTCATCCTGGGAGCATAGAAGAAACTCAACCAGAGAAAGTTAGGAGGACTTTGTGAGAAAGTGGCATTTGAGCTTTAAAGGATGAGGAATTTTTCAGTAAGCAAAGATAGGCTAAAAGGAAAGCTGGAGCAAAGGCAGGGAAGGAAGGGAGTGTTCGGGATATGTTTGGGGAATAGCTCTGTTTACTTGTATGGGAACATAGGCATCATAAAACTTGTAATCCAGCATGAGGTTGGAAGGGCATTGTTGGGGATAGATCTTGGGGATTTGAAAATGTAAAAGAATATGAACCTTTGTATGGTGGGAAACCTTTGAATTTTTTTTTAGTAAAATTTATCTCAAGGCTTATGTTTATAGGCCCTAAAATTCAGAAATGATACTGTAAATAAAGGAATTGACAAGTACTTGTGGAAAGCAATTCAGTCTTTAAGGATGGCTTTTTTTTTTTCATCTCTGAGACAGTCTAGTTCTGTTGCCCAGGCTGGGGTGCAGTGGTGCGATCTCGGCTCATTGCAACTTCTGCCTCCCGGGTTCAAACGATTCTCATGCCTCAGCCTACTGAGTAGCTGGGATTACAGGCACCTGCCACCACGCCTGGCTGATTTTTGTATTTGGAGTAGAGACAGGGTTTCACCATGTTGGCCAGGCTGGTCTCGAACTCCTGACCTCAGGTGATCCACTTGTCTCGGCCTCCTAAAGTGCCGGGATTATAGGTGTGAGCCACCGTGCCCAGCTTTATTATTTGTTTTTAAATTTTTATTTGTCTTTGCTTTCTTTTGGATTGATTTAGAATTTATTTCAAGTATTCTGGTTTTTTTTTGTTTTTGTTTTTCCTATTGGCTTAGCCATACCTCTTTATTTTCTTTTATTTTTTATTTTTTTGAGCCATGGTTCACTCTGTTTCCCAGGCTGGAGTGCAGTGGCACCATCAGGGTTCACTGTAGTCTCCACCTACCAGGCTCAGATGATCCTCCCGTCTTAGCCACCCAAGTAGCTAAGTTTTGTACATTTTTGTAGAGACAGGGTCTGGTGGTGTTGGTGACCAGGCTGGTCTCAAACTTCTGGTGTCAAGCAATTTTCCTGTTGTGGCCTCCCAAAGTGCTGGGATTATAGGTGTGAGCCACCACACCTGGCCTGCTTTACTTCTTGGTGGTGGTTTTAAGACAGTGGTTCTCAAAGTTTGGTGTGGGGACCTCTAGGTTCCTAAGACTCTTTCAAGGGAGCCACAAGGTCAAAGCTGTTTTAATAATAATATGAAAACATTACATGCCTCTGTCACATTTGGTACATTCACAAATATACCATGGAATTTTCCAGGGGGCACATGACATATTTGAATGCAGAAGGCAATGAGACTTCAGCTGTATTCTAAGCGAGATGTTTAAAGAGATTTCCAAAATGTAAAACTGCCACTCTTAACTGAATTGCTTTAGTTTTGGAAAACAGTTACTTTTCACAAAAAATTATATTATTGTTATATGTATTGTTATATAATAGATTTGCTAATGTTATTTTAAAATAATGCTTTATTTTTTCTCAGTTTAACTTAATTTCTAATATGAAAAATTTTGATAGCTATAACCCATACGAATAAAAGCTCTTTGCGGTCCTCAGTGTTTTAAGAATATAAAGGGATATTTATACTCTTTGTACCTACACATTTGAAAAAACAGTGTTGTAAGGTTTACAGTATGCATATTTATCTTATCACAATCTACCATTAAGTCCTATATTTACCCACATATTTACCATTTCCAGCACTCTTCATTCTCTCATGTAGATTTGAATTTCCATCTGGAATCATTTTCCTTTAGCCTAAAGAATTTCCTTTAACATTTCTAGTATTTCAGATCTACTGTTGATGCATTTTGTCAGCTTTTGTTTGTCTGAAGAAAGGTATTTATCTTACCACTTTTTAAAAAGTAGTCTTTATTTTTAAAGCAATTTTAGTTCTGTTTTGGCATAGCAAAATTGAACAGGAAGTACGGAGAGTTTCCATATACCCCCTGTCACTACACACGCACAAGCTTCCCTTTCTGTCAACATCAAAGCACAAGAGTGGTACTTTGTTACAATTGATGAATCTACTATGACACATTATTACCACCCAAAGTCCATAATTTACATTAGGGTTCATTCTTGGTATTGTACATTTGTGGGTTTTAACAAAGGTATCGTGTCATCTATATAGCATCATAGTAACGTACAGAATAGTTTCACTGCCCTAAAAATCATTTGAGCTGCTGCTTACTCATCATGCCTTCTCTCCTCATCCCTCTTCCCCAGTTCCTGGTAACCACTGATCTTTTTACAGTCTTCATAGTTTTGCTTTTTCCAGAATGTCATATAGTTAGCTACAGTAGGTAGCCTTTTCAGATCGGCTTCATTCACTTAGCAATATGCATTGAGGCTTCCACCATGTCTTTTCATGGCCTGATAGCTCATTTCGTTTTAGCACTGAATGTCTGAGTGCGCCGCAGTTTGTTTATCATTCACTTACTGAAGGACATCTTGGTTGCTTCCAACTTTTGGCAATTATAAATAAAGCTACTAAAAACATCCATGTACAGGTTTATTATGACAGATACTCTCACTGGATATGGAATTCTAAATTTATATTTTCTTCCTTTCAACACTTAAAAGATGTTTCCATTTTTTAATAATAGTTTCTAATAAAAATATAATTATCTTTTTCCCCCATATGTCTTGATTTTGCCTTTTATAAACAGTTTTTAGCGGTTTGTGGTATACCTTGGTTTTGTTTTCTTTGTGTTTAATCTGCTTGTGATTCTTGTACATTTTAGATCCATGATTGGTAGTTTTCATCAAATATGGAAATTTTTTCAAATATATCTTTTTATACCATTGTCCCTTTTCCTGGGACTCCAATTACATACATGTTATTAAACCGCTTGATACTGTCTCACAGAGCACCACATCTCTGTCAAATTTTTTTCAGCTCTTTTCTCCCTGTGCTTCAGTTTGCGTGGTTTCTGTTGGCCTCTATTTAAAGTTCACTGATTTACCTTCTGCTGTATTGAATTAGCTAAGCTCATCCATTGATTCATTTTAAAATTTCAGTTATATTTTTCTGCTCTCAAATTTTAATTTGCATATTTTTTAATAGTTTTAATTTCTTTTTTATTTTTAACAGTGCTGATAAATACCTTTCACTTCATTGTATTTTTCATATTTTATTTTATTTTATTTTTTTTCAAGACAGGGTCTCACTCTGTTGCCCAGGCTGGAGTTCGGTGGTGCGATCTCGGCTCACTGCAACCTCCGCTTCCCAGGTTTAAGTGATTCTCCTGCCTTAGCCTCCCAAGTAGCTGGGATTACAGGTGCCTGCTACCACGCCCAGCTAATTTTTGTATTTTTATGGGGTTTTGCCCTGTTGGCCAGGCTGGTCTCAAACTCCTGACCTCAAGTGATCTGCCCATCTGGGCTTCCCAAAGTGCTGGGATTACAGGTGTGAGTCGTCGTGCCCAGCCATTTTTACTTCATTTAAATGTCCGCTTTTTGTAGTCAAGTCCCAGAATAAAATGCTATTTTTAGGAATATGTTTAACTGAAAAACTGCATTTAAGTGTTGGCAGTTAAGCAAACTAACTTTGCATGATAAAGCCCCTATCAAGTATCTCATACTTAAGCAAATACCCCCAAATCATAGTTTGTAGCTTTATTGTAGCTTTTTTCAAAATACATTTTATACCATGTGTTCCCCAGGAAATCCCTGATATCTTCCTGTCAGGTCAAAGAAACAAGAAACACAATAGGACAGTGATTATATTTTTAAGTATTAAGGGGGTTAGAGTCCCAGGTATTCTATATGCAGACCACTATACTTATATTTGTGTGTTTTTTATTTTGTTTTTTTTTTTTGCTTTTTATTTGTGTGTTTTAATAAGTTTCTGATCCATAGGCTTACATTTTTATAGAAGCTACAGTTTGAGTTCCATGACCAGATAAAGACAGGGCAGCCCTGTGATCTACAAGATTGAAGGGTGGCTTGACGCAGTGGCTCACACCTGTATAATCCTAGCACTTTGGGATGCCAAAGCAGGTGGATCCCTCAAGCCCAGGAGTTTGAGACCAGACTGAGCAACATGGCAAAACCATTAAAAAATGCAAAAAAAAAAATTAGGCATGTTGGTGCACATGTGTAGTCCCAGCTACTTGGAGGGCTTAGGTGGGAGGATCACCTAAGCCCCAGAGGTCGAGGCTGCAGTGAGCCAAGATCATGCCACTGCACTCCAGCCTGGTGACAGAGTGAGACCTCGTCTCAAAAAAAAAAAAAAAATTAAAAGTTTGGGGGTGTTTGATAGTTCAGGGTTAGGACCATTTGTTGGTGACATTGAGATGGTCGAGCTAGTCTACAACAAATCTATGTGAGGGGAACTTGGAAGTGTTGGCTGTCTTCATGGCCTCAAAGGCCTCTGCCCTGTGCACTACAGTGTAGCCTACTCCTGCCCTGTGGTCAGGTAGGGCATGCTCAGCCAGTAGTGGTTCTCCAGATGACCAATCTACTGCCACCAGGAATGCTACTGTGGTTGGGGAGGACAGTCAGGAACATGATGCCACCTGTGCTTCTCAGGAGTCTGTCCCTTTGGCCCAGTAGTTTTAATTTCTTCACTGTGTTCATGTTTTCTTTCATAACTGTGAGCATTTATAATAGCTTTTTAATAGTTGCCTGCTATTTTCAGTTGAACACTGGACATTGTGACCATTACATTGTTGAGTTTCAGAATTTTGTTACTTTCCATTAAGAATGTTGAGCTTTGTTCTGATAGCCAGTCAAGTTACTTGTGGATCACCTTGATTTTTTAGAGGCTGTTCTTAATCTTTGTCGGGTTGAGTCCAGAGTAATTTTTTCTCTAGGGTATCTCCTAAGGCATCACCTGTCTGGGATCTCCACTGAATGCCACAGGTTATCTAATGGATATCTCTTCACTTTAGCTGATGGAAGCTCACATGTTTCCCAGCCTTTTGTGAGCTCTGAGAATTGTTAGCTTATAGTTTATCTCAGATACTCTAAATTCCAATCCTTGTCTCCTTAGCTCACTGAGAACTCCATGCTGTGCGTGGGTTTTCCTCTCTGCCCCAGAGTCTGGTAAATTTCTCCACGCAGAAAAGCCAAGGTAATCATAGGGCTTACCTCATTTTGTCCCTTGTCTCAGGATCATAGTTTAGTGCTGCTTAATGTCCAGTGTGTGCAAACTGCCTTTTTCATGTATTTTGTCTAGTTTTCCAGTTTTTAACTCTGAGAGGGCTAATTCATTTAACAGTTAATCTGTCATGACCAGAAGCACAAGTCTGGACAAGCTTTTTAAAAACAAAACAAAACAAAAAAACCAGCATCCTGGCTAACACAGTGAAACCCCAATTCTACTAAAAAAAATACAAAAAATTAGTCAGGTGTGCGGGGGGGCGCCTGTAGTCCTAGCTACTCGGGAGGCTGAGGCAGGAGAATGGCGTGAACCCGGGAGGCGGAGGTTGCAGTGAGCCGAGATCGCGCCACTGCACTCCAGCCTGGGCAACAGCGAGACTCCATCTCAAAAAAAAAAACAAAAACAAAAAAAAAAACCAGCAGCAGCAGCAACTTTATTGAGGTATAATAAACCTAGTATAAAATCTAGTCGCTTTAGATTTACAATTTAATAGCTTTTAGTAATTTACCAAATTATGCAGCCATTACCATAATCTGGTTTTAGAACATTTTCCTCCTCCCAATAAGACCTCTCATACCCATTTGCAGTGACTTCCTAGCCCAGGCACTAATCCATTTTTTTTTAAATTTTATTATTATTATACTTTAAGTTTTAGGGTACATGTGCACAATGTGCAGGTTTGTTACATATGTATACACGTGCCATGTTGGTGTGCTGCACCCATTAACTTGTCATTTAGCATTAGGTATATCTCCTAATGCTATCCCTCCCACTTCAACCCACCCCACAACAGTCCCTGGTGTGTGATGTTCCCCTTCCTGTGTCCATGTGTTCTCTTTTTTTTTTTTTTTTTTTTTTTTTGAGATGGAGTCTCGCTCTGTCGCCCAGGCTGGAGTGCAGTGGTGCGATCTCAGCTTACTGCAAGCTCCGCCTCTCGGGTCATGCCATTCTCCTGCCTCAGCCTCCTGAGTAGCTGGGACTACAGGCGCCCGCCACCACGCATGGCTAATTTTTTAAATATTTTTTAGTAGAGATGGGGTTTCACCGTGTTAGCCAGAATGATCTCGATCTCCTGACCTTGTGATCTGCCCACCTCAGCTTCCCAAAGTGCTGGGATTACAGGCATGAGCCAATCCATTTTCTTTCTTGATAGATCTGCCTCTTGTGGGCATTTTATGTAAATGAAATAATACAATATATGGCCTTTTGTGATTGGCTTATTTTATTTATTTATTTTATATATATATACTTTAAGTTCTGGGGTACATGTGCAGAACGTGCAGTTTTGTTATATAGGTATACACGTGCCATGGTGGTTTGCTGCACCCATCAACCCATCACCTACATGAGGTTTTTCTCATAATGCCATCCCTCCCCTAGTCCCCTACCCCCTGACAGGCCCCAGTGTGTGATGTTCCCCTTCCTGTATCCATGTGTTCTCATTGTTCAACTCCCACTTATGAGTAAGAACGTGTGGTGTTTGGTTTTGTGTTCTCTTGTGTTATTTTGCTGAGAATGATGGTCTCCAGCTTTATCCATGTCCCTGCAAAAGACATGAACTCATCCTTTTTTATGGCTGCATAGTGTTCCATGGTGTATATATGCCACCTTTTCTTTATCCAGTCTATAGTTGATGGACATTTGGGTTGGTTCCAAGTCTTTGCTATTTTGAAGAGTGCTGCAATAAAAATATGTGTGCATGTGTCTTTACAGTAGAATGATTTATAATCCTTGTGGTATATACCCAGTAATGGGATTGCTGGGTCAAATGGTATTTCTGGTTCTAGATCCTTGAGGAATTGCCGCACTGTCTTCCACAATGGTTGAACTAATTTACACTCCCACCAACAATGTAAAAGCATTCCTATTTTCCACAACCTCTCCGGTGTCTGTTGTTTCCCAACTTTTTAGTGATTGCCATTCTAACTGGCGTGAGATGGTATCTCATTGTGGTTTTTATTTGCATTTCTCTAATGACCAGTGATGATGATCATTTTTTCATATGTTTGTTGGCTGCATAAATATCTTTTTTTGAGAAGTGTCTGTTCATATCCATGCCCACGTTTTGATGGAGTTGTTTGTTTTTTTCTTGTAAATTTGTTTAAGTTCTTTGTAGATTCTGGATATTAGCCCTTTGTCAGATGGAAAGATTGCAAAAATTTTCTCCCATTCTGTAGGTTGCCTGTTCACTCTGATAGTAGTTTCTTTTGCTGTGCAGAAGCTCTTTAGTTTAATTAGATCCCATTTGTCAATTTTGGCTTTTGTTGCCATTGCTTTTGGTGTTTTAGACATGAAGTCTTTGCCCATGCCTATGTCCTGAATGGTATTGCCTAGGTTTTCTTCTAGGCTTTTTATGGTTTTAGGTCTTATGTTTAAGTTTATAAAGCAAGAATACAGTGGGGTAATTGCTATAGTAGAAGAAAGTATGAAATGCTTTGGGAACAGAGAGATACATGGTTTGAGATGTATAGGAGTACAGTTTCACCTATAGGTAACCAGGACTGAGTATGCTAGGTAGATAAGGTGATTTTTTGCAAAGGCTTAAGAAAGAACAAGCCAGTATATATAGGAGACTGAAAAATAATTTGGTTTGGTGAGAGTTTGGATGCATATAGGGAAGTTAGCAAGACAAAGATATGGAAAAGTAGGTTAGATTTAAATTGTCTGAAGTCTTAGTGCTTTGCTAGTATGGTTAATGTAATGTTGTATAATAGGTACTTGGGAGTCAATAAATGGTTTTAATGCAAGGGAGTCAGACAGTCAAATGTGTGTCCTTCTAGTGAAATGGGCTCATTAATAAAGGTGAGATCAGTAATAGTGAAATCAAATTGGAGAGTGTTAATAGTTAGGCAAAGTTAGGAACTACGACTGGAGATGCTGGGGAATCTTGCCAAGACTGAAAAGCAGGATTGAGGGTTTAGCAAACAAGTGAGTAAGGGAGTCATGGATGGCCTGCACCCTCATTCTTAGCTTGGGTGGATAAGATCCCATCATTCAGCCTAGGGAATGAAAGAAAGAGGAGGAGGAGGTGTGGAGATTAAGTTCATTGTGGAGTTTGAGCTCCCTGCAGTGGCTGCTAGGCAGGCAAATCTGGGTTTGAGTCATCAGTAAATTGGTGCTTGTTGGAGACAGAGCTGTATGGAGTGACATAGGGAAGGCATATAATGGTCAGATAATTCTTTGAAGAGTGCTGTCTGGTAGTAAAAGCTTTTGATGATGAGACTAAACATTGTGAGACTGTTCCTTTTCTCTTTTCCATCCATTGTTGTTCCCTTCATTGTCTTGTACTCACCATCAAGATAAGTGTAAGTGGTGGTAAGTGTAAAGTGTAAAGTCAGGTCTTCCCTTTGAGCACCTCTGACCTGAATTATTACTACTTGCACAATTGAGGCAGCAGTTTATTTACTGCTGCCTCCTGGCTTTTAATTAACAGTCATAAGGTATAATAGATCTCCTCTAACTATGTTATGTTAAAATAGTAGTTTTAGAGTATTTGTTGCATTGAGGGAGTTGCAGAGAGGTGGCATCAAGAGCCAATGTATTTTTCAAACGGGGTCTTGCTCTGTCGCCCAGGCTGGAGTGCAGTGGTGTGATCTGGTCTCACTGCAACCTTTGCCTCCCAGGTTCAAGTGGTTCTTGTGCCTCAGCCTCCGAATTAGCTGGGATTACAGGCATGCACCACCAGGCCCAGCTAATTTGTTTGTTTGTTTGTTTATTTGTTTATTTGAGACGGAGTCTCACTCTGTCGCCCAGGCTGGAGTGCAATGGTGTGATCTTGGCTCACTGCACCCTCTGCCTCCCAGGTTATAGCAATTCTCCTGCCTCAGCCTCCCAAGTAGCTGGGATTACAGGCGCCTGCCACCACGCCTGGCTAATTTTTCGTATTTTTAGTAGAGACAGTGTTTCACCTCGTTAGCCAGGCTGGTCTCGATCTCCTGACCTCGTGATCCACCCGCCTCAGCCTCCCAAAGTGCTGGGATTACAGGCGTGAGTCACCACGCCTGGCCTTTTTGTATTTTTAATAGAGATGGGGTTTTGCTTTTTTGGCCAGGCTGATCTCAAACTCCTGGCCTC
Source organism: Homo sapiens (assembly GCF_000001405.40). Taxonomy (NCBI): domain Eukaryota; kingdom Metazoa; phylum Chordata; class Mammalia; order Primates; family Hominidae; genus Homo; species Homo sapiens. The sequence goes on along the minus strand of NC_000003.12, from coordinate 47,024,123 downwards.
AAGTGATCTGCTCGCCTCGGCCTCCCAAAGTGCTGGGATTATAGGCCTGAGCCACCACATCCAGGCTATATAAAATTTGTTTAAGAAATAAATAATGTTGAAAATTTCCCATCTTGAGAGAGGGAAATAGGCATACGGATTCATGAAGCCTAAAGGATCCCAAGTAAAATCAACCAAAAGAAGAATACCTTGAGACACATTACAGTTGTCACTCTGTATCCATAGGGGATTGATTTCAAGACACCCTATCATGGATGCCAAAGTCTAAAGATGCTCAAGTCCCTTATATACAAGGGCGTAGTGTTTGTATGTCACCTACGCACATACTCCCATATGCTGTAAATCACCTCTGTGTTGCGTATAATACCCAATACAATGTAAATGCTATATAAATAGTGGTTATACTGCATTGGGGTTTTTTAAAATTGGTTCTTATTTGTATTATTTTTATTGTATTTTTTTTCAATATTTTCTATCCATGGCTGGCCTACAGATGCAGAACACCAGCTGTACTAAGTTTTTATTATTTTCAATGATCTTAACCTTTTAAAAATTGACATGTACAGGTTCATGTGCTGCAGAGCTTAGGTTGAATTGTGTGGATAGTGTTTATGATGGCTCAGCTTCTCCTCCTGCTTCTGGATTCATGCTGCCACAAAAGATGTAGTTCCTCACTGAATGATTTACATTTTATGTTCTAAACAGTATTTTTTTTTTCTTTTTTGAGACAGAGTCTCGCTCTGTCACCCAGGCTGCAGTGCAGTGGCACGATCTCAGCTCACTGCAGACTCCACCTCCCGGGTTCAAGCAGTTCTCCTGCCTCAGCCTCCCGAGTAGCTGGGATTACAGGTGCACGCCGCCGCGCCTGACTAATTTTTGTATTTTTTAGTAGAGACGGGGTTTCACCATCTTGGCCAGGCTGGTCTCGAACTCCTGACCTCATGATCCACCCGCCTCAGCCTCCCAAAGTGCTAGGATTACAGGCATGAGCCACCGTGCCCAGCCCTCTAATCAGTATTTAATTAAATACAGGGAGAGAGAAGTATTAGCTGGGTATGTCCTGCTCTGCCTTTGTCAGGACTCATTTCTGTAACTCAAGCCATACCCTCTTGGTTCCAAGTCACATGGGCTTTGTGACATAGTCATGTCAATATTTATAATAAAGGGTGATTCTGTTGTGTTACACAGCCTGTGTATGGTTACCAGAACTGCCCAATAAGCTTAAGGCCATTGCCAACTAATCCAGAAGGTCTCAAGCTTCACCTTGGGTAATATAAAGGTACTCAGGCCTGCCTTGTCATAATCAGAACAGATTTCCTAGGAATCCAAATGTGCCACAGGTGAAGGCTGACAGCAGGGTCAGCTTCTAAAGGCAGTAAGCTCTGGCTTTCTGCCAGGCCCTTTGCCTGCTCATTTCATTGTGTACTCTTAACTGTCCACGGCCTCACATAGATTTCCACCAGAATCTTTAATTGACTGATACTCTATATAAGCCAACACAGAGAAAAGGCAAACTGATTATTGTTTATTGCTGAGGATCTGGAAGCACTCGCTTTTTTATGTATCAGAGCCCCTACCCTGTTCTCTGGTGGTTTCCTTAAAAGTGCTTTTTTTCTTTTTGGAGACAGCATTTCACTCTGTTGCCCAGGCTGGAGTGCAGTAGCATGATCACAGCTCACTGCAGCCTCAACCTCCTAGGCTCGCGCAACTCTCCAACCTCAACCTCCCAAGTAACTGGGACCACAGGCATAGCCACCATGCCCAGCTAATTTTTCAGTTTTTTTATAGAGATGCTGGTCTCGAATTCCTGGGCTCAAACAATCTCCCCATCTTGGCCTCCCAAAGTGCTGGGATTACAGGCATGAGTCACTGAACCCCACGTGCTAAATTTGTGTGTGTGTGTGTGTGTGTGTGTGTGTGTGTGTGTGTGACAGATTGTTGCTCTGTCTCCCAGGCTGGAGTGCAATGGCATGATCTCAGCTCACTGCAACCTCCACCTCTCCCGGGTTCAAACGATTCTCCTGCCTCAGCCTCCCAAGTAGCTGGGACTACAGGCACAAGCGATTCTCCTGCCTCAGCCTCCCAAGTAGCTGGGACTACAGGCACGCGCCACCACGCCCAGCTAATTTTTGTATTTTTAGTAGAGACGAGGTTTCACCATGTTGGCCAGGATGGTCTTGATCTCTTGACCTCGTGATCCGCCCTCCTCCGCCTCCCAAAGTGCTAGGATTACAGGCGTGAGCCACCACACCCAGCCTTACCTGCTAAATTTTTAAATGGGACTTTTTTGGAGTGGGGGGTCCTAAGGTTGTTCATGTCAATAACAAGTGCTGTCCTCAACTCAGACTCTGGTTACTTTGCCTGGCATTAGATTTGAGTAAATGTTAGCCAGTTTCTGAAATTATTTCCCATGCCATTTGCAAATCACAGACCATGAAGAGAGGGTTTCATGAATTTCAGTACTCTCAAGAGTATTCCATTTTGGTTCATGATTTCCATGATGTAAGTCTGGGGACCCCTCATTTTATCATTTCCTTTCTCGATCCCAATTGCTCAGCACTCAGGAGGACCAAGAAAGCTCCTAGACAGAGCTCAGTGGATTGTATTCTATAATTGTGTTTTTAAAGGCCACCCCCCACCAATCCCCCGCCAACCTCATCAAGTCAGGGATTAAATTATAAATCTATTAAAAGTGCTTTGGGTTCATTTAGCTTTGTGAGTGCATACCCTATCCAGAGTGAAACAGGACATTTCTATTTACATAGTACCCTCGCTGAGAGCATGGCCTCTTCTATAGGACCCAGATCTTTGAGATACCCAGACCTGAAGGGGCTTTCTGTACTCATTTCTGTTGCTGCTGACTTCTGAGAGCTACAAGAGAGTAGCTGGGGATGTGTTGAAGTTTTCTTGACTTACTCAAATAATTCTTGATCCCTTGCTACCTAAGGTCTTACTGTGGAGCATACTCATACCATCTACAACTGGGGGAAAAAAAATAACAAAATCCCAAAGCAAAACACTTGAAAATAGACTTAACTTATATTATTAGCATTATTTTTGCTTAGTTTTGTTTTCTTAAAAAACAAATTGGATCTTTATATTCTTTTTACTCTACCCCCTAATCTCCCCATACAGCTACATGAAGAAATTGGAAAAATAGAAAATACGTAAAGCTTTTATGACACAGCAGAGAAAGTTGATTTGTAACAGCCTAAAGCCAAGGGAGTGCCACCTTTCTCTGGAGCTAGTCCAGCTGCTTTAGAACCAGAGCCTTCATACTGTTTATGGAAATGGAAGAAGCAGAACCAGGAGATGGGTGGGGAGCAGGAAAATTATTCTACCCTGTGCCCCTAACAAAAAAGTGTGAAGTACCTATAATATCAACTCCAGCTTCTAGATCCATTATGAAGTAACTTATATTTGGAGGGGAATGCTCATAATTATTATTTTCCGTGGAAAAGCACATTTACTGGGAAGGGGCCTGATGGCTAGTGGTGGGCAAAGGTATGGGGAGATGGCCTGCATGACAGGTGCTCTGAATACCAAAGCTTCCAACTCATCGCCTCCTGGTGCAGTACCTAGTTAGAGGGAACTTGGAAGCCTCCCTCTAGCAGTGCTGGAAGGGAATGTTCCTGGGTTTGTCATTATCTTGCCAGCTGGGGACATAGAGTATCTTCTGTGTCATCATCTACTTATCTGTTCACTGGCTTTGATGACCTTCATCACCTCCCCGTCAATATCGTGATACTTCCTTAATCTTTCTGTTCCTAAACTGAAGGTACCAACCTCCAAGGAGCCTCTCTTGCATACTGAGACTGTCTTCTACAGTCTAGCCAACTCCACCTTTGGAGGAAAGGTGATGAGTATTCAAGAGTCTTCAGAACAGAGCATTTCGCCTCTGTCCTGGAATCCTAGAGTGTCAGAGGTGGGAGAGATGGAGCTTGTTTTGTGCCGGCCTTGCTTGATAGTTCAGGGAGCTGAACCCAGAACAGGGACATGAGTGACTCTGAAATGTGTGGCTATATCAAAGTTGTAGCTTTGACTTAGGGTAGAGAATTGGAACTTAACTTATAAGAAGGAGAGCCAAACCATGTAACAGGATTTGAAACATAATAGCCAAGTTGACTCCAGGCCTTGTACCTGAGTCAGGGCCTCTAAACGGATTCTAATACCAAGAATCAGGTATCCCTGCTAGGGGAAAGAAAGGAGGGTTCTGGGACAGTAGGGCATCACTAAACTGACTTCTCATGCCAGCACCACTGTGTTTTCTCCTCCATTTTTAGGCCTCGAAAAAGCCCAAGACAGCAGAAGCAGACACCTCCAGTGAACTAGCAAAGAAAAGCAAAGAAGTATTCAGAAAAGAGGTAAGGTTTGGTGGATATAAGCACTAAGCTCCTCAGGCTTAAATCTGAACCCTTTCATTTCTTGTCCTAAGTATGTCGAATATCTCCTTTGCCCCAAGATAGGCAGGAACACAAGGTGTTCCTTGTGTGTATGTCTTGCTGAAGTGCTTCTTTTAGCACTGAAAACTCCTCAGCCATCTTTTCTTGGCTTGACAGGAGCCCCTCTCAGACCACATTTGCTTGTTTGACTGTGGGCCTTCTGTAGCATCTATGGCAAAAGAAAGCTGTCTGTAGTGGTAGGCTGCCTTGTCTTTGGGTATTCCTCTTGCTTCTGTGATTTGACTTAGTTGTTATGTGAATGACACATTGGTGAAAGAGGTGTGGCCTTTTTCAACTGGTTAAGCACTTCAGTACCCATTGACTCATTTTGTCCCCACAACAGCCCTTGAGGTAGGCAAGACAGATTGCCTTTCCTCTTATTCAGGTGAAAGAACTCTTAAGGTTCAGAGAAGGCAAGTTCTAGACAAAAGATTTGAACTCAGGCGTTCTGGCTCAAAGTCCAGTTCTCTTTCTGTAATATCTCATTTGGTAGCTGCCTAATTCTCCAGGGCTTGGGAGAATGCTGCTCCTTTTTATGCTACCAGAAGTGTGTCTTACCAACCATCAAGACACTAAACTTGTCTGCTTCATAGCATCTAGGTTCTAAACTCCAATCTTCATTCACTGAAGGGGCTTGTAGTGTTTTGGAAGAAACAGACCTGTAAATAAGTAGCGACAGCTGTGTGAAAAGTATGCCATATTAGGGCTGGGAGCCACAATCTGGGCAGTCAGGAAGGGCGCTTGAATCAGGGGTAGGAATTGGCCAGATGGATCAGCAGGGGATCTAACTTATATCAATAGAATGTACAGAGGCAAGAGAGAGCATCTTCCCTTCCAGGGAGTTGTAAGTGGCCTGATGGGCTATAGCACAAGATATGGGAGGGCTGTTGAAAATGAGGTGGAATGGTATTGTTCTTCTTCATATAGGAACTATGTGTCTGTGGGTTATCGGGAACCATTGCAGAATTTTAAGCAGGGGGTAATGAAATCCCTATCTGTGTTTGAGGGGATAGACTGAAGGAAGAGAGTTTGGAGGCCAGGAAACCCCAGAAAAACCTTGAGTTAAAAGGCTTATGCAGGGATAAAATTTAGTTTCTTATGGTCCCTTTGTGAACATACTGGTATTTCAGCTCATTGAACCAGCAGCTGTTTATTTAGTGCCTACCTTGTGATATAGCCTTGTTCTTTGAACACCTGAAGGCTCACTGAATTTTAGTGATGGGTAGACTTTGTTCAAAGTGCTCTCTGATGAAATGGCTATGACTGGCCTCTTTATTCTCTTTGTCCCCTATGATCTTAGCACCACAAATACCTCTGAAGGTCCTATTCCTAGAGTGTTTGGGAGCACCTGGGTAGGACAGACCATACTTAGACAGCCCAGGGAGGACATAGTAAGTGGTGGAAGGAAAAGGATTCTGCTTAGGTTTTCCTTTGCTGGCTGTCATATCATGCTTCCATCTGCTTCACATGCTGTGGTATGACCACTTAAAGAATCTAAGTACCCTTCAATGACAAAATTCCTGTGGTTCCTGGGATTGCTAAGCCTCATAGAAGCTCTGGAACACCTGCTGTGCTCTGCCTTGCCTCCAGGGCCCAGAGAACCCAGCTACTGTCTTTATGCCAAGGACACAAAATTCATTGACTGAAACCTGGGGCTGCTGAAGGACTCAGCATTGAAGTCATGCTGTTGAGTCCCTCCAGCCTCCTTTAAGGCTTGCTTAGTCCATCCAGGGGAGCTCTTTCCCTCTCAGGCTGAGCCCGTATCCTTTTCTCAGATCTTACTGGCTTACTAGTATTCCACTGTCCAAACCAGTTAACCTGAGGGAGGAAAAGGAGAAGGATTGGCTGGCTTTACTCACTACCTTTTCTAGTTATTTCCTCAGTACAACTCCTTGCCCTCTCTGGACTGTTGAGCAACGTGTTCTCTTTTCTCTGCCTGCAGATGTCCCAGTTCATCGTCCAGTGCCTGAACCCTTACCGGAAACCTGACTGCAAAGTGGGAAGAATTACCACAACTGAAGACTTTAAACATCTGGCTCGCAAGGTACTCCCCTTGCTTTTGGTAGCCCACCAGGCAATGTTCTGGGCAAACTGTGTACCTTCTAAGAAGCCCTTTTCATCATAGAAAGTATTTTTTTTTTTCTTGTCAGATGTCAGAGCTGGGGACCCAGGAACGGGGAGGGAAGGTTTGGGGAGGGATGCGTACCTTACATGACAGCAGTAGTTCTCTAAGAAATTTTCAGAGCTCAGCTTGTCCTTTCTGGTGATCATAGCACCAGCCTGCCCCAACATCTACCCCCTTATTAACTTCCTGTCTTGGTGAGAAGGGCCCTGAAGCAGCAGGCTGGATTACCACCCCTGTCCTCCCCCTCATATAATTTCTGCTCTGATTGGTGGCTGTGGTCTCTCTTCCTGTGCCCTGGACAGCTGACTCACGGTGTTATGAATAAGGAGCTGAAGTACTGTAAGAATCCTGAGGACCTGGAGTGCAATGAGAATGTGAAACACAAAACCAAGGAGTACATTAAGAAGTACATGCAGAAGTTTGGGGCTGTTTACAAACCCAAAGAGGACACTGAATTAGAGTGACTGTTGGGCCAGGGTGGGAGGATGGGTGGTCAGGTAAGACAGACTCTAGGGAGAGGAAATCCTGTGGGCCTTTCTGTCCCACCCCTGTCAGCACTGTGCTACTGATGATACATCACCCTGGGGAATTCAACCCTGCAGATGTCAACTGAAGGCCACAAAAATGAACTCCATCTACAAGTGATTACCTAGTTGTGAGCTGTTGGCATGTGGTTAGAAGCCATCAGAGGTGCAAGGGCTTAGAAAAGACCCTGGCCAGACCTGACTCCACTCTTAAACCTGGGTCTTCTCCTTGGCGGTGCTGTCAGCGCACAGACCCATGCGCATCCCCACCCACAACCCTTTACCCTGATGATCTGTATTATATTTTAATGTATATGTGAATATATTGAAAATAATTTGTTTTTTCCTGGTTTTTGTTTGGTTTTCGTTTTGCTTTTAGCCTCTACATGCTAGGATCACAGGAAGACTTTGTAAGGACAGTTTAAGTTCTCCTGCAAGGTTTAATTTGTTATCATGTAAATATTCTAAAGCAGGCTGCCTTGTGGTTTTGGCCAGCCTTGTGCTATGTTGATAAGATTGATTTACTGCTTAAAATCACTTTACTTTATCCAATTTTTACTGAACTTTTTATGTAAAAAAATAAAATCAATTAAAGAACTTGGCATGTGTGTTCCCTAAAAGTTAATCAAGCATATTTGTGTGTAATGATGTCACTGGAAGAAGGAGAGATAGTGAGTGGCCTTAGGTGTGTGAAGTCCAAGGTTAATCCCTGTGATTGGATTTTATTACAGGACTTGTTCATTCTCCACAGGTCCTACTATGACTGGGGCAGACATTTGCACATTTGCCAGGTGACTGACACTTGTAGGCTTGGGATCTTTTGGCTGTGCTCAGGCATTGGGTCAATTTGCACATGCATTCCAGAGCAAAAGAAGCAGCATCTAGGGCCTCTTTGGCACTAGGCTTCTTTATTTTGGTTAATTATCAGTCAAGAGAAAGGCAAATTTATCTTCTCCCTTGATACTTTCTCCTGGCTGGAGAGAAGCATTGAATCTTTTCTCCCCCATGGACTTGATTTTTCTGAGCCCACTGGAATGCTTTTTTTGGGGGGGGGTGGGGGAGGGGGGTGGGGAGAAAGGGTCTCGCTTTGTTGCCCGGGCTGGAACGCAGTGGTGTGATCATAGCTCATTGCATCCCTGAACTCCTGGGCCCAAGCAGTCTTCTTGCCTCAGCCTCTGGAGTAGCTAGGACTATTAGCTAATACTTTTTAAAAATTTTTGTAGAGACACAGGGTCTTGCTATGTTACCCAGGCTGGTCTTGACTTCCAGGCCTCAAGTAATGCTCCTGCTTTAGACTCCCAAAGTGTTGGACACCTGGTTTGAAATGCTCATTTGATGTTTGGGTTCCCTAGCTTCCCACTGTGCTCCCTAACACTGGGGTTGGACACTAGAGGACAGGATAGGACCCCTATAAAAGAGGTATAGTGCACAGGTTATGATGATAGTGAACATTTCCAGGAAGATGCAGGGCTTGGTGAGAGACCTCTCTCCCACTTGTTGGATCAGTTATCTAGGCAGTGAGGAAGGCTAAGGGCTTCAGGCCAGACTGGGCCCATCTTTGCAAAAAGGTTGGTCCCACCTGTTTCTCACCAGGGTTATTCTGCCTGCTGCAGCAGTGTTCTTGAGGTCAGGTCAGGTTGTGGCCTGCCAAATCTTTGGCAGGGTGAGTAGCAATTAGAGCAGTCACTGCCTGCTAGGCACTGTGCTGAGCACTTAGAGCTCAGGTTGTGGTCACAGTCCTGAGGCACAGGAATTGGCACTATAATGAGGAAAACTAAGGGTCAGAGAGGTTCAGTAACTCTTCTAATATCCTCATATTAAAGGAAGTGTTAAAAGAGGGGAAAATCCTTATTTTAAACTTAGACATGCTATTGTTTTCTCATGATACTGCAGCCTTCAAAACTGTAAAGCACTTTTTTTTTTTGAGACAGAGTTTCGCTCTTGTCCAGGCTGGAGTGCAGTCGCACGATCTTGGCTCACTGCGACCTCTGCCTCCCAGGTTCAAGCGATTCTCCTGCCTCAGCCTCCCTAGTAGCTGAGATTACAGGCATGCACCACCATGCCCGGCTAATTTTGTATTTTTAGTAGAGATGGGGTTTCTCCATGTTGGTCAGGCTGGTCTCAAACTCCTGACCTCAGGTGATCCACCCATCTCGGCCTCCCAAAGTGCTGGGATTACAGGCGTGAGCCACCACGCCTGGCCTAAAGCATATTATTATATCACATGCGCAGATGGTAATTTGCTCAACCCTCTTAACGTCTTGGAATTATGTCTGTTACAGAGAATATTTTAGTTAATATGCTTAAGCACATTGAAAGGGGGCATTTCTTTTTCAGTGGGTTTACAGTGCAGGGGTACAGCCACATGCACTGCTGCTTGCAACCAAATCAAATGCATGGTTTTGACCCAAATCTCCAGGTTATGATGTCTCCAGCAGCTGGTGCGTATCTTCCCTGCTTTCTCTCCTGATTCTTCAGGGTTATTGCCCTAAGGTCATCTGAGGAGGAAGGTGGCTATAAACTTCCGGTTCTTCCTTAGTTTAAGGGAAAGATTTACAGAGTATTAAGCAGCCCTGGTCAACTATTTCTGAGGGTAGCAGTAGCAGCAATCTGATGAGCTTGGTACTCACAGAGTAGTCAATCTTAGTTGCATCTCATTTTAGCAGAGGGACAGGATCTACCTTGGGCCCCCCTAGACCATGACTGGAACCCATGTCTTCTGAGTGAGTTTGGATGGCTGTGCTTCTGAAGCCTACTTATGCTGATAGATGCCAGGATGGTAGCCATTGTTCCTTCCTAGGCAAGGCTTGTCTTTTATAGCACCTTCTTCAAAAGGCACTTATTGTGCCAACCTACCTGCCTCCCCCTTTGGGGTGGGCATATGTATGGAGTGCATATGCATGGACTTGGCTGCACCTGCCTTGTCCTGAGCTGCCCAGGAGACCCACCTGTCCTTGGCATGTGTAGCAACCACATGAGCAGATGTGGAAGTACATTTGGAACTCCTTGTCCTGAGTTCAGGTCTTGTAAAGAGAGCGTTTTCTTTTTTCTTATCTAGAGGTGACCTGAGGCCCTTGGTAATTAACTGCCCAGGACCAGCCTGCTTCTTGCCTCCTGTCTAGAGGAACAGGCCTCCAGCCTCCCCTTGGTGCTGCTCATAGAACAAGTCAGGAAAATGATCTCAAACCCAGGGTCCCTCAGCACCAACCTGGGAGTCTTAGGTGTGGGGGAAACTACTGAATGTGTCACTTAAACTTACTGTTCTCCAGCTAAGGAAGTTGATAAAATACCAAGGTAAAATAATCAGCAAGGTAAAATAATCAGCAAGGTAAAATACCTTCCAAACATGATAAAGCCAGCAAATGGTAGTAGGCGCAGGATATGAACTCTGATCTGTGCCTCCAGAGCCCATGCATCCTATAGGATCACACTGCCTGCCATCCCAGGTGCTGCTTGGAGAGGCCCCTCCCACAGCCTAGGGACCCCCACCCCTTTTCTGGGCCTCTGCCTCATAGCCACCCACTCAACTGTCTCACAGGCCCAAGGAGCCAGATAGAGCCAGCGGAAAAGTCCGAATCACCTTTAATATGGGTTACAAAAGTAGCAAAACCAGCTGAGGCTTAATAAGAGGAGGTGGAGTAGGGATCCAAAGGGCAGAACCACTCCTCACTGCCCACTCCCCACCATATCCTGGGCCCTCTTCTGGAGGGGATGGGTGGATAAGGGGAAGTGAATGGTGGCTGGATCTTCGGTTTTCTTCCCCAGAACAGAGCAGGCTGAGCCCAGCAACCCCAGGAAGCCCACAAAGGGAAAGATATATGAGATGGGGGTAGGGGAGCACCGGAGCAGTCTCCGAGAGTGCAGGCTATGGAGACAGCACTCACACCACAGAACAGCCCTCAGCTTGGGGGCCCAGGACCTGGACCACATCTTCCTGGCCCATGGCAACCAGGGCATTCTCTAGCACCTTGTGGGTGGCACCACTGTCTTCTTGGATAGCCCAGTCCCTCAGCAGTGTGTAGGCTCACACCTGGCCTTGGGCCATGATTTCTACAGCCTCAGCTTGGTAGCCCAGATGGTCTGCCAGTCCCCGCCAGCCCTTGTCAGGTTCACGTGACACCTCTAACAGCCGCTCCACTTTCTCCTGGTGCTGCCGAGGGAGATCAAGGTGAAGTCGGCACCCAAGCTCAGGATGTGGTCCTGGGGCAGGAGACATGAGGATCACACAAGGGCTGGGTGGTGAGGCAGTTCTGGGAAAGGGGCTCACCCTGGCTGGGGGCACAGGGCTCCAGACTGCTAGGAGAGTCCAGGAAGACACTGCTATCCCCATGCATCTGGTCCTTGTTGAGACCTCCCAGCTCTGCAGTTCGAGCTTTGGCCAGCTGCTGTCTTTGTTTATGTGAGCGCCAGCTGTGGGGAGAAAGGGAGACCTACCAACCTGCCCCCACCTTCAAGACAGGGAATTGGTTGGGAGTCCAGACAGGGAAGGGGGTGCCACAGGGCAGTGCCCAGACCACCTACCACTTGAAGGCCATGTAGGCAAGCAGACCGAGGACCACAGTGGCCAGAAGGGTACAGTAGACTGGGATGATGCTGCCTGAGACCTCTTGGAGACTCCAGGAGGAAAGGGGAGGAGGTATTGGGGGCCAGGGCTCCTCCTGCCCCTACCCATACTCCTTCCCTGTCCCTCTCCTGCCTCCTCAGGATCTTACCTGTGGAAGAAAAGACAGATCAGGTCAGGAGCAAGGAACAAAGGCTAGGGTCCCTGGGTAGCCTCACCTAAACTTTGTTGCCAAAAAGATTTGAAGCCAGTAGTCCCTACTATTAGAGTCAAAAGCTTATACCACAGCATCAGGAGCTGTCTGGCCTATTTTTCCATTTTCATCTACTTCTTCCCCTTTGCTTACCACTCTGGACACCTTGTCCTTCCTAGATGCACCCTGTTCTCATAACCTTCCAGACTTCTGCTCTTGCCAATCTCCCTTCTCCATCTGACATATTGGCAAGAATCTTCTACTCTGGGAAGACTTCTTGATCTCTTCCTTTTTGGGGTCCATTTGCACCTCCTGTCTACCACGGCACTAAATCCAATTTTTTTTATCCAATTATCCAGGGCACAGGAAGAAAGACCATGGCACTGTCTACCATGGCACTTGTGTCCTGTCTCCGCCACCAAGTCTGGACTGTGAGGGCACATTGATTCATGTGGTCCCCACAAGCATCTCTGTGCAAAGGAGGCCTTGTAAATTTTTGCAAAATAAAGCTGAACTGGAAAGGAAGTGTTGTTGCTTTCTTCTGCCTGGAAGCGACTTGTCCTTCCAATCTAGTGCAGTCAGGGCACACGGGGCAGAGACTCCAGAACCTGTGGCTGGACTTGGGTGTGACCTACCCACTTGGGGTACCTCCCAGCCTGCCCAGTGCCCATGATCTGGATCAACGGATGCTTACCCACATAGGCCAGGACTTTGCTGTGGCTAGAGTTGTGAATCATGGCTCTGTTAGTGGTTAATACTCCTGGGGCTGTTTCTTGGAGAAGACGTTAGAGAGTTTTAGGCAGCGCCCAGGCAGGGGAGCTGGGAGCTGCTTCTCTCAGTCCAAAAAGGGCTGTGTGCAGGAGGAATATGGGGGAAATCTCCAGGCCTGACGTTGGCAGTCCCTTGGGGTAGTCTGTCCCCCTTTTCTCACTTCAACCTGATTCATTCTAGGGCTGGACCAGTTTCCTCCTGTGTCAGATGGGGCGGAGGTGACAGAGCTGGTCCCAGCTGGCCAAAATTAGAAGGGTCAGATACAGCTCAGGATGGAAGACAGGTTGGAAACCACCCTGTCTCAAAGACGTTGCCAAACACCTGGTCTGAGTCCAGGGATGGTAGGGAGGATAGGGGAGACGTGCCTTCTAGCTCCATCTTGGCCAGAACCAGGCTGGAGAGATGTACTGGCCAGTGGGAGGCTCACCACCAGGCTTTTAAACTAGAGTTCAGGAACCCAACATCCTAAAGCCCCAAGGCAGGAGGACTTTCTGCAGTGACCATGCTCGCACTCTTTCCTCAAGGGTCAGTGTCCAGCCCTCTCCTGATCAGGAACTGGGTGGAATGCTACCCTGGTGGGTTCAGCGAGGGAATAGGGGATATGGGCCCAGAGACTCCCTAGTTGATCCTGCTTCATCCAGAAATTCAGAGAGGGCCTGAGACTCAAAGGATAGGACCGCTCAGTCCTACCTGGATCCTATAGGGCTGAATCTGCTGGGACCCACTTCCTGAGGTTTGGGGAAGAGAAGCTCCTCGTCTAGACTAAGGAGAGCTTGCCTGGAGAAGGAATGGAGGAGACATCCGGGAAGGCCCTCCAGCTCCCCAGTATCCACCACCACATATTGGGTACCGATCTATCCCACACCATGTGCCCATGTGTATGGCTAAATCAGCAACCCAGTGCTGTGGCCAAGTGGGTGCGACCTGGTAGCCCTTGCCACATATGGGTGTGTACCTTTGTGTCACTTACATTAAGGGGCCCTGCAGGATCCTGGATAGTGGATGGGCCTGTGACCAGGACGCAGCAGCAGACAGGCCTGGCTTCCGCCCAGCCTACTCTGAGCAGCGGGACTGGAACCCCTCCCGCCTCCCACCTGTCTCCAGGCCCACGAATACGCACACACAATGCAACCACCCCGCACACCCACACTACCCCTGACTTCTCACGCACACGCCGACACCAGCACATACAACACCCGCAGGATCGCGAGTCTGGAGATGGGGGACAGAGAGGCAGCCCCCGGCTCCCTCCGCTCAGCAAGGGCTCTGCCCCCAACTCCTCATGACCAGTGGCCGCCAGGATGGATCCACTCAGCAGGGCAGGACCGAGCCCTCCGGGAAGACAACGTGGACTCTCTGGGGTGGTTCTGGCCCCCCACCCCCAACCCCGAGACCACAGCGGCGCCACAGGGCGGCCCAAGAAGTAGGCAAGACAATGAGGTGGCAGGGCCGAGCTGGAGGGGCGCGGCCTCGGGTGTTGTCGCCCCTGCCCGGCGAAGGAATGCAAACGCGCCTGCGGGGCGCCTGGCCGGGTTGCGGTTGTGGACGAATGGCGTGCGAAGGCGACCCCATGAAGAGATCGTGGGGAAACCACAAGCCGGGGCGAGATGTGGGGCAGGGGCTACACTGCCGGGTAAACTGAGGCCCCAGTTCAGCGACGGCCACGCGGAGGGGGGGCGAGTGGGCCCAGAGGGGGTCACGGGCCAGGGGAACGCGAGCCAGGCCAGACTCAGACGGCGACCCTGGGACGGTGGCCATGGCAGGCCGAGACGCTGCGCGCGAACGCACACTCGGAGACGGAGCAGCTACAAAACTAGGCCTGGTTTATTGCCGAGAAGGGAGAACCGGGGCCGCCGTTAGGAATTAAGGCCACAGGCGGCCCTCGTGCTTTGACGAAACAGCGACTTGGAAGCCGGGGAACCCCGCCCCAGACTGTGCAAAAAGTGCTGCTGCGGCCGCAGACGCCAGTGCTGGCCCTCAGGGCGGCCCCTCAGCCGGCGAGGGGCGGGACTTCCGCCCGCCAATCCCTGAGGGGGTAACATCGCCCGCCAATCCCTGAGCTGGGCAGGGTGGGCCCCGCTCACCCCCCTGGGCTGCCCACCCCGGGGTGTTCCCGCCGACTTCTGGGCGGGGCCTCCCGGGCCAGGCCTGCCGGGGGCGGGGCCCGAGCAGCCGGACTGGCCAGGTTCAGCGCGCCTCAGTAGGGTTGTATTCCGTCTCTCCCGAGGACACCTGGGAGATGCGCCGCGAGGACCGCCACAGCTTCCGCGCGAACTGGCTGCTGCGCACCTGGTGGGCGTAAGGGTTGAGTAGGATCAGCTGGGATCGCCGCGCCACGCCCCGCCCCGTTCGAGGGGCCTCCCCACCCCCGCCCCATCCTCACCTCAGAGGGCTGCCCCGCGACCACCACGATGAGCTTGCCATCCTCCAGGCCCACCAGCACGTGGCTGCGCTCCTTGGTCACGGCCACGCTGCGGATGGCCACCTTCATGGGCAAGGGAGGCGCGGCCGGGAGCAGTCTGGAAGGGAGAGGGGATATACACCAACTTGCGACTGCAAGGGGGCTTTGCGACCAGCAGATATCCCTTATCCCATATACCCTCTCTGTCCTCATTTTAAGGATGGTTAAATTGAAATTCTTATACACAAAGAAATCTCCCACAACTGTGGCTAAGCGGAGGCCCAGGGCAAGACCTCCCCATGGGAAGATGAAGGGACAGGTAACAAACCTTGAAATATGTGCCCACAAACATGTATGGTGTGTGGGTTCCTAGGGCCTTTATCCTACACCAATGACCACCACCTTCAGGGGCCATGAACCCATAAATGGGGGGCTTACGTGTTTAGTTGGAGGATGTGCAGGGCGCACTGGGCGGTGCCCAGCAACACAAAGTCCTCTGTCACCGTCAGGGCTGTAGGCTGCTCTGCCAGGGGCAGTGAAGCCCGCAACTTCCCATTGACTGAATACAGGTGCAAGGAGTAGGTGACCTGGAGGAAGCAGGGAGTGTCAGCAAGGACAGGATCCCAACTGCCCCTCCATCTTTGCTGGGCACCCCTTCCCCATACCTGGGCCCCAGGACGTTCCCACGCTGAGCTCTGTACCACAATCTGGCCTTCGGACCCCAATGCCAGGTGGAAAATAGGTCCAGGGAATGTGGCACCCAGAGGCCGTAGTGCCGCTACAAACTGTCCGCGGCGTACAGTGTGTATGATCACAGTTCCATCCTGCAGGAAGGCAACTTAGGGTCCTGGGCAGGAGTCTGGGCTCCAGGGGGATTGCCCAGGAAACTCACCCTCCCCAGGGCACATGCATACACACACCTCAGATCCAGACACAGCCATGTCAAGTTCAGTGCTGATGGCCACACAGCTCACTGCAGCCCCATGCCCATACAGGACCTGCACAGGCTTTGGTGCCAGGCCTACTGACAGACCACCCTGTGGAGGACCAGGGTTGGCTTAGGACTGTCCCCTGAGGCTCAGGAAATGAAGGCCTTGTCCAAGACTAGAGGAGGACAGGACTGGAAGGCCACTGAGGGACGGATGGGCTGCAGGTCTGGGCTACGGGGGCCCCACAGAGCTGCCCACGAGGCACACCTGATGCAGGAGCCGCCACACCATGCACGTGGTGTCCCGGGAGCCTGAGATGAGGTAGATGCCACAGGTGTCCAGTGCAAGGCAGGTTACTACATCTGCATGGGAAGGGGAGGGTACAGGCAGAACGGAGGAGTCACATCCGCCCTGGCCAGCCTCAGAACCCGGCCCCATACCTGTGTGCCTCATTCTCCCCAGCTCCAAGGCTGTTCATACCAAGGTGGCAGCTGAGCTGGCTCAACAGCTTGCCACGGGGTAGTGCAGTCACCCGCAGGCTGCCATCCCAGTGGCCACCGCTGAATAGCAGCTTTCCATCCGGGGCCACTGCCAGTGCTTGTCCACTCACACCACTGCCTGGCACCCACGGGCCACTCAGCAGTCGCTGCGTCCTGACCCAGTGAGGGGGATAGCAAGTGAGGCCAGGCCACATGGAAGAGACCCAGGCCCTCAGGGAGCCTGGCCAGACCTTTCCCCTGCAGCTGGCCTACATTCTGATTAGGGAGGGGAATAATTCCGGGTGCAGGGCATTTGTAGCCCACCCCACCCACAGCCCTCTGTCCTACTTGTGGCTGCCCATGGTGGGGTCTTTGCTGAAGCTGAAGTAGTTGCTTATGTTGCGGTCATAGGGCAACCAGCTGTGGGTGCCCAGCAGCCCACTGGCACTCACAGTCACCTGCAGGCAGGAGGGGGCAGAGGTGGGTTTCTGGCAGAGGCAAGGGGGAGTGGAGCTGAGCTGGGGCTCTGCACAATGCACTTACCAACAGGTCTGGGGAACCCTGGGTGATGAAGGAGTGGGGCTGCCGGTGGGGGACCAGGGCTAGCACCAGGGGTACACCATCACTGACAACCTGCAGGGGCAAGGGCAGGCCTAGCTATGCCTGAGTACTATCAGATTACACTATCTGCTCCCTGAAGCATCATCCCTTCCTTTACTGTCAGTCCCCAGGGGTCATAGAGTAGGTGTCACAGATGCAGAGGTTCCCTCCAAGAAACAGGCAGAGACTTTAGGAGGGCATCTCAGAAAGTGGGTGAGAAGCTGGGACAGACATGGAAGATGCTTCCAGAGTATCACACTTAGTTTCAACTTGGTCCTCTCACCCTGTTATTCCTTGTCCCCCTAGCCCAAAGGCAGGAAGAGAGGGAAACCTAAAAAAAAAGTCAGGCCTGGGGGCAACATTCAGGAATGTTCCTGTCTAGGAAGGCGATGGAAGGGGTCCAAGGACAGATCTCCCTCCTGATCTCCCTAAGGCTTTCAGAGCTTGTTGAGTCGACACTTTATCCTGGCCCTGATGAAGAAGGCACCCCTCCTGCCCCCATACTCTTCCCATGTTTAGCTCATTTTCTAAGGTGCCTTGAAATCAGTGACCTTGATTAGGATTCCCATCTGCCCCACGTGGTTGGTAAGGACAGTGGGGTTAAACCCATTTCACAGAATATAAAGTTGAGGTCTTGTCTTCCTTTCACCTCTGCGAAGAATGCCTTGAGTTCGTCCAGGTGCTGGAAGATGCTAGGTGAGTTAGTGTCCAGGCGTGCAAGGCGATGGGCTGCTTCCTCAGCTGAGAGCCGAGTTGGATGTGGCTCCTGTGGGTAAGTGGCTGGTCAGCACCATGGCATGGGCATCCCTGGCCACTATCCTCTAAGCTGGCCTTACCTTCAGCAGCTGACAGGGAGTCTGCCCAAAGTTGCTGATAATGCCCTCCAGAGCCTTCCGTTCCCGCTCATCTGTCACATGGTCCAGGTCTACAGCCCCTGGGAAGGCAGGCAGAGCAGTCAGGGCTCCCTGCGTGCCCTCTGCATCCACCCGACCTGATCTTGTCCTGGCCCTGACTGGAGTCCAGCGCACTGCCCACCCTCATAGGTGCAGTAATAGAAGACATTGAGGGCCTCCTCGGCGGCTGGCCCCCGCTGCTTGTAGCCAAAGATGAGGTCGATCCACTCGTGTAGGTGTGCAGACACATACTCCGACTCCTGAGAGTAGGGAGGCAGCAATCAGTGCAGGGACAGCTGACCCCCCATGATCTTCAGAACCCCGGCTGCCTGCCGTTTGCCTGTGGTTCCTTCCTCACCAGAGCCTGGCGGTGCTGCTGGATGAAGTCCTCAGGAGAGCTGGCCCACGGGGGTAGCACCACATCGCCTACCTTCTCGTTGGTCAGCTGGAGACAGCCCAGGTCAAAACCTGGCACAGAGGACTGGGTCAGCTGTCTCCCTGTCCATCCCGACTGCCCCCTGGCCACTCCACCATCTGCTCTCCATCCCTACACCTGCCCGCTCCAGTGTGAGCACCTCACACCTACCGTTCTGGTTCTCCAGGAAGTCAGGAAAGTAGAAGAATTCCGGGATGAGCTCCTTCACATCGGCAGGGCTCTCCAGGCGTGCCTGCCAGGCTGCCGCCACCGAGTGGAACTGCCGGTCGGAGCAGTCAAAGCTGGGGGAGGGGCACGGGGCCAAGGTGAGGTGGGGAGAATGGAGACAGGGAGGGAGATGCTGTGGCTGGAGGGAAGAAGGGAGCCAGGGGTGGGCCCAGGATGTGGGGAGGACCAGCCTCCTCCCCTTATCTGCCCCCTAGTCTGCCCACCAGCCCCTGGGCCGCACCGGCCACTTTGCAGCTGGACGTGCAGGGAGGTGAAGGGCTCCACGCGGATGAGGTAGTGCATCACGCCTGCTGCATTGGAGTAGTGGGTGCCATAGTGGAACTTGTCAATGGTCCCTGCTGGGTCCTCAAAGCTTTCATACCTGGGGCCACAGTTGGACGTGTCAGCAGAAGCCCTCCCCTCGCCTTTCCCTACCCGCTGAGCCCAGCCCTGCCCACATGCTCACTTCTCCCTCACGAGCTGGGCATGCTTGGGGTTCACCACACCGATGGGCTTAGACAGGTCCCGGAAGACGGCTGGGTTGCTGAGGTCCAGGGTTGGGGACACGTAGTCCTGCAGGACCCAGGGGAACTGGCCACCCACCCGAGCAGGGGCTGCATGAGGGCCCTGATGGCCTACCAGCCCACCCTGCCCTGCCCACACCCTCAAGAAGGCGGGCACAGAGCCTGCCCACAGGTTGGGGGAGCACCACTTAGAGGGGTCACAGGGGAGAAGGACAGAGTGTCCTGGAACAGGATTCCTTTTGAGGAATAGAGGCTAGGCAGGGAGGGGAAGGGAGTGAGGCTGGGGACCTCTGGGGGTTGGCAGGGAACAGAGGCCAGGTCTTCATTGGCACATCTACCCTTGACCAAGCTCAGAGCTTGGCCCACTGGCAGGTACCTACACTTGGGGGAACCAAGGGCTGACAGGTCAGAGGGGCAGGGGTGGAGGGGTGCAGAGTGGGACCCTCACCACAGGGTACTGAGACAGGTCATTGTAGGTCCGCCCCGCAATGGTGTTGAGTTGCATCAAGTACTCGAAGTTGGATATCTCACGCTGTACCCATTTCTGGGGACAGGGGCAGACAAGATGTGAGCCAGGTGGGCTGTCCAGCACTGCCCCGTGATTCAGGGTCCCGACTTCACATCCCTCACACCCAGGGCTCTCACCTGGGTAAGGCCTGAGGCACGCAGCATCTCCTGGGGGGAGCGGCTGCTTAGGTAGCCTTGAGAGGGGGGCCGTAGGCGCAGGAGCCACGAGTACACCTGGTTCCGTACCTGGGTATGGGGTGGGATGGGGCCAGGCTGGGGTCTGGGAGTCTGGCTAGGAGATGAGACTGGGGTCGTGCCCACCTTGCATGGGAAGTTGAGGAAGTAGTTGGCCTGATCGATAAAGAAGAGCTCAAGTGCTGAACGGCGCAGGTTGAAACGCCGCAGGTGGACCTCACGCAGCTGGGCCAGTGGGCGCCGGAAATCATAGCCGATGCCTATGGGGAGGAACAGCAGGTACGGGAGTCACTCACCCCAGCCCCACCCAGAGCTCAGCCATTCCCTGCCATCCTCCTAAACCACACCACCAGGACGCACCCTCCTCGGTTTCCACGCGCTCAGTGCTGCCATCGTAGAAGTATACATTCTGTGTGGTGACCTCCAGCAGCCCTGGGACCACGGCCACTACCGTCACCAGCTGGCACTCGGCCGACAGCACCAGCTTCTCACGCTGCTCATCCAGTTCTGCTGCCTCCATCCTAAAGACCAGCAACCCACCTCACGCTGTAGGCTCTGGGACCCCCTTCTTCACAAGCCCAAAGGGCATCCAAGTGCCATTGAGTCATGGGGTATATACTCTCATGACTCCCAGAGATGGGGAGGGGCTGCCTAGGGTCCAGAACCTACTGGTCCCAGCCCCTGTCCCCCACCTGCCACCCACTGGGCTTCTGAATATTTTGCCAGGATGCCAACCCTTGTCCCCTGCTCCCCTCACCCAGCCCCTGCCCACTCCCTGGGCCCCCTTCCTGCTCTGGTTTGTGTTTCTCAGTGCTGTCCTCAGGTGCCTGGCTGTTAAAAGAGCAACTCTCAGCCCTGTTAGGAGACTCTCCCACTCACCATCTGGCTTTGGACAGTCCCTTCAGGGGGACGTAGTCGGGCAGCAGAAGAGGACACACTCAGGGAGTTGATCCCACAGAGGCATGCACACACTGGAGCAGACCCCTTGCCCACCACACCAGTCCAATCTCTCCAGGGCCCCACTCACGGGGTCTCCAGCTCAGCCAGCTCGTCCTCGCCGAGCTGGTCCTCCTGCAGCAACTCGGGTGGGGTGCTCACTTTGGCCTCTTTGGTCACTGCCAGAGGCAGTGAGGCCTCCTCGGTGGGTGTCAGGGGAACCTCACCTGCAAGGGGCCAAGGGTACTCAGCAGAAGCAAGGCAGGACAGGAGACGGGACAATCGAGTTGGGTGGACCCATCTCAGCACACTCCCTCACCCAGATTGTCTCGGAGAGCGCTGGCTTCCAGGTGAGGGTCGAAGTGATGGTTGGGCACCAGCTTCAGACGCATGCGTGAATATGTCTCGGCGCTGGACAGTTTCCAGCGGGGGATGGGAGTGTCCCTGCAGAATGTCCCCCAGGTCATGGGTCGGTAGAAGGCTGTAGACACCCCCATCCCTCCCTGGCCTCACCCCAAAGGCAGTCTGGGGCTCCAGGTGGCTCCCTCCCTCCCAAGCCCCACCCCTCCACAGCGACCCTGCCCCAAGCCCGGCCCACCTCAGCGCCCAGGCCCCACATGGGCTGGCGAGCTGGCGCCACAGCGCCCCCCAGTGCAGCAGGGCCATGGAGTGCTGCGTTGCCTGCTGCTTCAGCACTGCCGTGTAGCGTAGCCCCTCCAGGCGCGCCCGCCTCTGCGCAGGTTCCAGCACCAGCTCCTGGGGTGGGGGTAATAGGTCAGTCCCCTGGCTGCTGCCTGCCCTACCCGTTTCTCCACATTGTCAGTCATCTCCTGGGTGCATGTGTGGAGCAGTTTCCCATCCCTTACCCCGGGTGGCACACCTGGAAGGCCCGACGACTCTGGGCGCGCTCCCACTGGCGCCGCTGCCCACTGCTCATAAGCATGTCATAGCAGGCATTCCAGAAACCTGACATAAGGTCGTGGCTCTTAGCATACGTGTCCATTTCGAACTGGGACATGGTTGGCTGTACCTGGAGGATTGGGCAGAGGAGAACAGTGCTCGATGTGGGCCCCAGCCCCCACTCCTCTTCCTGGGCCCCAACCTCCAGGCACCTGTTTGTCGATGAAGTGGCGCCATTCGGGTGTGGCACAAAAAGCCTGGAAGTCTTCAAAGAAGGTGGGGCTGCCATTGGTGGGTGGCAGGGAGGGCAGTCCCCACTGCAGCCCCAGCGGCTCATAGGCACGGTCTAGCAGCGTGCGCACCAGTGGCACCAGCCAGGAGCAGCGCTCTGCAGCTGCTGCAGCTGCTGCAGCTGCAAGTGGGGACCCTGCCTCATCAGTGGCTGACTCCAAGGAAGAGGTGTTCAGCACCCGCCCCAGTGCAGCCTCCAGCTTGGAGAGCACATAGCAGGCCTCCTCGCGGCGGGCTGGCACTGCAGTCTGTAGCAGCATGTGCAATCTCACGTAGGCCTGGGCATGCAGCTGTGGGCGCAAGAGAGATGAGTGGCACCCAGCCACTCTTGGAGCTCCCGACATCTCACACGCCCCCTGCCCCCATGCTCACCCTGTGCTCACCTGTGGGTCTTCCAGCAGGATGTAGCCAAGTACAAGCCGTAGGCCAATCTGCGCCATCTCACGGAGATCAGCTGTGCCGTTGGCCAGGTGGGGCCAGGCTCCCAGGCGATCAAGTAGGCTGCATACACCTTCAAAGAGCTGCCACAGAAAACAGGTTCCCAACAGACATCACCAGGGGAGGCCAGGAGTCCATGGAAAGGGAGCAAAGTAAAGTTTGCGCTGGGGGCCAGGTAGGGTTTGTGCACACAGGCAAGTCCACACTCACAGGCATTCATGCTGATGCACCCACACCTGCGCACGTGTACCCATCCACCTCCCAGACCAGATCCCTGCAGGCTTGCATGAACATGAGTGTTCATGTGGCTCACGCCTCTCTGAGGGGTCGCACCTTCTCACTCCACAGTTCCTGGTTACCATGGCCTTCAGCACACAGGAAGTCCTGCAGCAGACGCAGCAGCCAAAGCGCTTGCTGGGTGAGGCTGGCCAGGACCCCCACGGGGGCCTCTTTGATGTCGGTCAGGGCTGACTCCAGCATCATCTCCAGGAGGCTGGCGGGTGAGTGGGGAACTCAAGGGTCTACCTGACTATCTTCTCTCCTTCCCCCGAGGCTTCCTGAAGCCCCTCCCCCTCCAGACTTTCCCTCTCACCTGCGCTTGATGCAGTCTGGTGGGCGCACAAGTGTGGCTGAGGCCCCCAGCTGGGTGAGCACTGAGAAAACCTGGCCACGCTCCCGCCAGGCAGCCTCATCGCTGCCTTCCACGCCACGCCACGTCACCGAGAACAGCACGTTGGTGAGCAGATTGCACAACTCTTCCTCAGAGGTTTGCTGTGGGCACAGGTGGGTGGTGTGGGCGTGGGTTGTGGGCGGCTAAGGGAGGGAATCAGGCTGACGCCCACCCATCCCCACTCAGCACCCCTCCTGGGGTAGCCACCCAGGAGTCAGAGCATTTGGCTAACAGTGAGCCTGGCACTAAGGGCCTGGAAGAATGGTATAGGGGTCTCAACTACTACCTGAGTTCCAGGCAGAATCCTGGGGTCTTGCCAGACTCCCAAGAGGAGATGAGGCAGTTCACATAGAACAAGCAGAGGCCCATCCCCAAACCCAGAAGCCCAGGGCAGGGCCTTTGGAGTTTGCTGCCCTTGGACCCTGTGAGGTGTCTGCCCTACAGGCTCTCTTGAGGGCCCTTCTGAAGCCTGGCTGGTGTCACCCACTGTGGCTCATCATGACTCACCCTGTTCCAGGAGCCCTCTGGGAACACAACTGCAGATGAGAGCTATGAGGGGACAGCAATAGGCCTGACCAGTGGCTGCAACCCTGGTCAGACAGGGCCACACCTTTGGAGAGGCTACACTGCCAGCCCTGTGTACCAGAAGTGTCCTCCCTTGGGTACCATGCAGTGGCAGAGGGTGGGCCCACCTCACCTGTGGGTTGCTGGTGTTCGAGGTATCATCCCCGCTAATGGTGGGCTCCGGGAGGCTGCCGTCCTCCAGCACATTGGAGAGACTGGAGCTGTGGCGGCCAGGAGCAGCAGGAAAGGGCCGCGGCCCATCCAGTGGCGAAGGAGTGCCGGGCTGGCTGGCTGGAGTAAGAGTCCCACTGCTGCCGCCACCACCAGCAGTGTTGCCTGATCCTACACTAGACCGTTCCAGGCCCAGGTCAAAGGGCGTGCAGAATGGGGAGAGAGCATGGTAAAAGCCATCAGGGTCAGGGCAGGGGGCCTCTGAGGGCAGGAAGACATCTGAAGGCTCAGCAGGTGACTCAGTGGGTGGCTTGGGTGGGGCTGGCTTGGGGGAGGTAGGTGACTCTGGGGAAGACGGAGGGGGGCTGCCGGCTGTGGCAGCCTCCAGGACATATAGCCGGGTCAGCACATCTTGCCAGCCAGCCTGTCGGGCCAGAAGCCGCACTACATCTGGCTGTCCGTAGATGAGGTGGAAAAGCTGCAGGCGAGAGCACAGCAAGTGAGGACGCATCCAACTGCCTGCTCCAGACCCTCATCCAGGGCCTTTGCAGAGGAGGGCTCCAGAGACCCCTCATGAGACAGGCAAGGTGGAAGGCCAGAGGGTAGAAGCCACCCTCCCCCTCCCCCAAAGCTTTTACCTCTCATGCTCACCTGGCGACAGATGTCTAGGCGAACGCTGAGGTCAGCCTGGAGGGACAGCTGTACCACAGCCAGCAGATCTGAGAGGTTCAGGCAATCTGGGGGGATGGGTTGGGGGGACCTGAGGGACTGACCAGACTAGAAAGGGCAGGGCCCAGCCCTGGCCCCTATGCCACTATCTTCCTTCTTCCGGCCTGCCTGCCCTGTTTTTCTGACATGTCACCCCCTCCACTTGGCCTTAACCAGGTTGTACCTGCCCCCAGGAACAGCTTGTAGAGGCCCTGGCAGAGCTGGGGGGAAACAGTCCCCTCAGGCAAGCAGGCAACCAGACCCTGGAGACCACACTCCCGCAGCCGGAGGCGCTGGCGGCTCCGCTCAGGTAGCCGCTCATTCTGCTGCAGTCTGCGCAGGATCTGTGTGGGGGTCATCGGAGGACTGTCATCATGTGGAAGGAGTTACTGTAGGAGGGGAAGTCACCGTGCAGGTGTGTGGCTCAAGAGGCCCTTGAAGGCAGCTTCATCCGCTGGCCCAAGGCCTGCTGTACCTCCCTGAACCCCAGGCAGGGGCCCCAGTGAATGGGATGCCAGGGGAGGGGGTGGGCTGGGTGTACCTTGCAGACTCGATCGGGCAGCAGGGGCAGTGACCCTGGCCGCACTAGCAGGGCCAGTAGCACTTCGAGGTTCCCTGGCTCCAACAGAAAGACAGCCAAGGACTCCTGCACCAGGGAACCGTGCAGCAGGGCCAGCAGCAGGTCCAGCGCACCCACCGCCTGGGGATGCAGGGTCTCACACTGTGTCGGGCCCCCACTCCCCTCACCCAAGCCTCCCGCTCCCCAACCTCCAGCCTACCTGACCGTCATCGCCTGTGGCCGCCAAAAAGCTCAGCATGGTCTGCGTGACCTGCACGTCATCTGCTGAGAGACTCCGCACCAGGAACTCCCTCGCCAGGCCCAGGAGGGAGGTCTGCACGGTGCGTAGGTCGTCAGCAGCCAGGGGGCGCTCCCGCTGCGGGCTGGCAGGTCAGTAGGCACACCCAGCCAGGTCCCAAAGAAAGGCGGGGAGAGAGGGTGGGCAGGTGAGTCAGGGAAGCGCACCGCCCAGTCCCCAAGGCCGGAGGCCACTGTGTCAGCCCCCCATGGCCCATCTGGCCCCACTGGCCTCACCTGTAGTGGGTGCGCAGAGCATCCAAGATAAACTGGACGCCGTACTTCTTCCGCAGCTTCTGTCTGTGCTCCCGAACTATGCTGGACATGTACTGGATGTGACCTGAGCGGGAATGAGCAGAGGGCTCAGGCCACTAGGCTGAGCTGGGCCCTTCAGATCCTCCAGGCCAGGGCCATGTGCCTGTCAGACTTCCAGGGCAGGGTCATAGTCCCCTCAGCCGCCCCATGGCATTCTGGATTCCTAACAGGTGAGTCCCTCAGATCCCCCAGAGCAGAGTTCTAACTTCTCAGTGCTCAGCTGCCCTATGGCCGGCCCCTTGCTCAGGTCCTCACACCTACCGAGGCGCACGGCGAAGTCACTGAGGGTCCAGAGGTGAAAGTTGAAGAGCAAATGCTGGTAGAGTAGGTACAGGAGGGGCCCGCTGCCCTCAGCTGCCACCTGCTCCATCAGCAGCTGGGCGGACATGAGCACGTTCATGTCCATGGCCCAGCTTGGGACCTGGGATAAGACAGGAGCTGGAGTGAGGGCTCAGGCTCTGCCTGTCTGCTGTCTGAGCTTTTCAGCTGCCACTCTTCCCTGCACAGCCATGACGGCCACAAACATGGCCACCAGCCTGCTCAGAACCCTTTGGGGGCTTCCTGCCGCCTCTGACACGCAAGCCTCCTGCCTGCTGTGCGGGTCCCTGCCCCGACCTGTGCTGGGCCTTTCCCCAGATCCTCCAGACCCAACCCTGCTCGGCCTTTCAGGCCCCACTCAAGTGGCAACTCTCCCAGGAGGTTCTTCATGACTGACAGGGTTCCCCACTCAGTCCCCTCGGTCAGACAGGCTGACCATACCCCTAACCCCCATGCCTGTCCCACCGGGCCCCACCTTTCGCAGGAGGGCCCCGATGATGGCAGGCCCCTGGCACTGCACCAGGCTCTCTTGGTTCACCATGTGACCCTGAAGGAAGTTCCGCAGCATCAGCAGAAAAGCAGCCACTGCGTTCCTCTCCATCCGTTCCTCTGCCAGCCATCAGGAAGGGGACAGATGTGTGTCAAGGGCCTGCCAGTGGCCAGGAGACCTTGGGCATTCCACCCCCCTACCATGCCAAGATTCCCTCTCCACAACATAGGCACCAGGAACACTTACCTGAAGATTTACCCAATGGGAGAACCAGGCCCTGGGTGTTGTGACCAGAGGTCAGTTCAGGACCCACGAGGTCATGCGTTTCAGCTGGACCTGCTTCAGCCTCTTTGGGCTGTGCAGCTACTCGCTCCAGCAGGGGCAGCAGGGCACCCATACCCCCAACGCAGTTCACCACATCCTGGGGGAAGGAGGATGGCAGTGAGGGGGACCTTCCAGCCAGTTTCCTGCCCTACTCCACCCCAGCAGACCACCCAGAAAGGAAGTTTTGCTCTCTTGAGCTGGACTGTCCAAATCCTCCCCAGGCACAGCGCTGCTCCCCAGCTGACTCCGAACACACATGTGCCCCATATTCATGCCTCCTGCACACACCACCCACACGTGCTCACAGACCTTCACATCCCAGGTCTCCACTCTGTGGCCCGTCAGGCGCCCATCAAGCCCATGACTGGGGGACAGGTCCAGGCAGATGTTGTTCTTACAAGCCTAGGGATAGGGGAATGGGCAGGCAGCCAGGGTCAGAGGGAGGAGGGGGTGGCAGGCAGAGTGTGGGAGCCGGGGAAGTAGCACAGTCGAGCCAACCACTCCCCTGGGGCCCCCAAATACCTGAGGTGAGTAATGGAGGAGCAGCCTGGTGCTGAGCTCATGCAGCTCCCCCTCAGGCTTGAAGGGTGCCGTCTCATTGGGCCCTGGGAGGTGGGCAGGGGGCTTCAGACCTTGCTAGGCCTCTGGCCAAACCCCATCCAGAGACTGCCTGACCACAGGAGAGACCCCCAGAGATGCCTTCTCCCCCCGGACCCCTAGCTTCTGGCCTGGGGCTGTGGCAGAGATGGAGAATGCTGCATACCCAGGGTGCACAGGGTCCTCAGAGCCGTCGCCTGCAGGGCTTCGTGAAAGATGGCCACAGCCCCCAGCTCACCCTCCAGGGATGTGGGGCTGCCCCACCGAGTGTCCTGGGTGCCTGCGAGGGTAGAGTCGATGCTGCCCTCCTGCAGGGGGGCCACCAGCCCGGACCCCCAGCCAAGCCCTGTGGAGGCTGGGACTGACTGGGAGCGGGTGAGGGCGGGGTGAGTGTAGGCCAGGGTGGCGGGGACTGGTGGTGTGGGCAGCCCTGTGGTGGTGGTCGTTGTGCGGTATCCAGCGGAGCCGATACAGCAGGAGGAGAAAGGCTGTGGGGCCGGGGTTGGGGGAGCGGTCAGGTCACAGCAGAACCTGGGGCTCCGCCTACAACCAGTTCCTCACAGTGACCCCCATGGCTGCATGGACCCCAGTGGCTAAAGTCAGGCCTGTGGGGCAGCACGGGACACAAGGGCTCCAGGCTACACCTGCCCACTGTGTTCCAAGTCCTCCCATCTACCCAAGGCCTCCCCAAACCTTGCTTGGCACACCTCACTGAGGGAGGGGCAGCGAAGGGGTGCTGTCTTGACCAGATGGCCGTCTTTGTAGACATGGACCAGGTTCTGGCTGAAGGGCCGGCGCCCAGGCACATGGACGATAGCCACGCAGTGCTAGAACAGAAGCCTCACATTAGGCCATACTTGGGACTCAGCACCCCTCTCTCTACTGGGCCACATGAGAAGGATGGGGTCTCACCCAGGCAGAGTCGGCAAAGGACACTTCGGGCAAACTCATGGTCAAATACTCCTTCCGTGTGCACACAGCCACCACCAGGGTCCCGGCCGCCGTGAAGAAGGCCTCAAACCCTGAGCCGCTGCTGGTAAAGAAGCTGGGGGCAGGCAAGCCAGTTATGTCTGCTTGTTCCTGCTCACCCTGGCAGGAGGTCCCTGGCCCCTGGCAGTCACCCACCTGTACAGCTGCTTTCGCTGGAGTGGTCGGGTGGGGGCAGGGGTAGGTGCTGTATCCATAGGGTGCAGACAGAGCCAGGCATGAAAGGTGAAGCCAGGCCCTGGCCATCGCTGTACAGGGGGTACCATGATGCCCGCCATGCTGGGCGTGAGGTCAAAGTAGCGCAGAGCACGTGCAGGACCCTGGTGCCTGGCCATGCCTGATAATGTGCGGATGACAGCACCTGCGTGTCGGGCCTTTCCAGCCTCAGCTCCGCCTGGTTCCGAGTCCAATCCTGGCCGGGGGCGCAGCAGGTGACGCAGCTCCATGGGCCTTATTGATACACGGCCCAGTGCTTGTAGCAGTGCCAGCAGCTGCTCTTGGCAGCGGGCCTCCAGGGCTAGCCCTGTGCTGAGTGTCTCCAACAGGCAGCCCACCAGGCCTGCCTGCACACAGGTGGCACGGCTGGCAGGGCAGCTGTCACAGAGCCACCTGAGGCGTTGCGCTAGGAAGAGCCGCAGCTCAGCGGTGGGCAATGACGGCAGCCACTGCGCCAGCACCAGTACCGGCTGCTCGTTGCGGATTGGTGGAGGTGGGCACATGCTGTGGTCACCCTCCACAGCCTGTGGGTGGAGAGAATGACAGTCCCTGGTCAGCTGTGGCACCCTGTCAACAGTGGGACTTTCTGGCTCCATTTACTTGCCTACGGCAGCAGTCAGCAACATGATCTACTCCATCCTGCCCACAGGTTGTGTGTGAGGCTCAGGAAAGTCAGAGGGGCACAGATGACAGTCACTACTACTAAGAGTCCTTCAGCATTGTTAATCCCTCAACCTTAGTTTTCAGCCTGGGTTGGCCTAACCCCTAACTGCATGTTCCTAAGATAATCCTGGGGCTTGCTCACATGCAGTTGCTTCCAGGACCCCTACAGGGCCAGAATCCTCATTCCAGTGACACTAACAGACATGGCCAGGCTACAGGTAACAGTATGTACTGGCCGCAGTCAATACGGTCCCCCAGGGTGGAGAGCTCACCATCTGTGGTAACCCTGACTCAGTTCTGGTTGCCTTTGGGACCCTGGTCCCAAGCCCCTTCCCTCACCATGTTGAGCAGCTCTTGCAACAGCCGATGGGTGGGGGGACCATGGCTCTGCAGAACCTCCTGCAGGTGAGGGTAGCCGATGCGCTCCTTAAACACCTCCTGTGTAAGGTAGTATGGGGAAGAAGTGAACACATACATGGGCCGGAGGGCAAACTCAGACCCCCTGGAAACTCTGGAGGGGCATCATGTTTTGGGGTTCCCTTGCGTAGCTCTGCCTCTGGGTGACAGTGCTGGTGGGCAGTGGGCTGCAGAGGGATGGGGGGGACGTGAGTACATCTCAGAAGGCTGTAGATGGAGGTGGGCCTACAAGTGTCCATTCCCCATCCAGCCCTGACAGAGAAGATGCAGCTCCCAGGACAGACTGGCGACCACACCTGCCCAGTGAGCTTTAGGGCAGGGCAGTCACCTCCCAGCTCGCCTGCTTTGCTCCAGGGAGCAGGATGCTTATGGCCACCGGCCAGGCCTGTTCTGGGGATATGGTCAGTTGAACTCCACCCCGCACCCCTACTAAAGCTGCAGTGCAGCAGCCTCACCTTGGCCGAGGGGGAGTCACTCATGATGCAGGTCAGCACTCTGACTACATGGACTGCAATGGCGTCTGTGTCTTGGTCCAGGACCTTGGGGTGGGGAGGGGCCATCAGGAGAGGCAGGGGCCAGGGTGTCACAGCTGGCAGCCCCCTGCAGTAAAAAAGGTGCAGAGCCAAGCACCCCAAGGCATGTGGCATGTGCTGGATCAGCAACTCTGTCAGAGCACCAGGCCTTCTACTCCTTGCCCCAACTGCTGTGACCCTATCATGACCTAGGGCCCTCTCTGAGCAGCTCAGCAAGACCCACTCTAACAAAGGCTGGGAAGGGCCTCACTGGGACAGATTAATGGTGGACACTCTGACTGCACCCTCCAGTCCCCCTTTCTCTAGTGGAGTTAGGGCCCTACCCCCAACCTGTCTCCCTAAAGCTAGACACATGAGTACAGACAGGCCAGCAAGTGCCCCATCACCCACAGTGATTGACAGGGGTCAGAGATTTAGGGACAATCAATCACAGGATGTTAGAACCAGAAGAACCTTCGAGACCTTTAAGTCCCACCTTGCCCCTTCCCCCTAGATCCAGGTGGGGGCACTGAGGCTCAGCCTGGCTGAACCTGACAGCCAGAGGCATGCTGCTGCCTCTCCTGCCCCACCCTGAGGGGGTCAGGGGTTGGGAGGGCTTGGAGAGTTTCTCAGCAGGGACTAGGTCATATTCGGCTCCATGGGGCCTTTGGTCCCAGCTTTGCCTGACTCCCCAAGTGACCTAAGGCATCAGTCCTCCCCCTCCAGGCCTCAGTGTCCTCATCTGTAAAAACAGAGGGGAGTCACTTTGCCCTGCCTGCTTTGCAGATGAATAGACGTGTAAGCTCTAAGAAAATGACCACATGCGGTGAACACATAGGGTTACCTCATGAAGACAGAGCCAGGGTAGGGGCTATGGAGGTTGGGGCCCACAGGTTGAGCCCCCAGAAAGGGTGCCCGCTGTGAAGCTGCCAGCTGACACCCTGCAGCCTCCTACAGCCCACATGCAAGGTGAATCAGGGATCACATCATCAGGGGCTGGGGGACACCCAGTGACCCGCTGAGGGTGGGTGCAAGAATCTACAGAAAGAAATGGCACCATGAGGGAGACCCCTTTCTCTGTGACTATAGCCAAATCCTTGAGTGTCTGGGCTTCTGTCTCCCCTTCTGAGAAATGAGGTAGGTGGCTGAGTTTCGAAGGTTCCATCCAGCTTGGCACAGCCAGACCCCCAACACCCAATCAAACACCAGGCAGGGGATAGACCACCTTCTGTCCTGTTCCCTAGGATGGGGACTTGGAAGGCAGGCGAGACAGCATGGAGGACCCACACCCATTTCTAGACCACACCAGGCCTTACACACATCTGCTCATTTCCCCAGCTATAGTGCAGGAAAAGCTCAAAGAGGGAGTCCCAGGGGGTGTCTGAGCTGGTCAGCCCCAGGATGGTACCTTTTGGACATCGGGCTCAGTCAGTAACCGGGTAGCCAGGTCACTGTCCCCCTCGGGGGGCGCCCGGGACTGCAGGTACAGCTGTGGGGAAGTGGGGAGGCACAGGGTGGAGGAGGCAAAGAAGAGAGGAGGAAGATGGGAGAGGGTGGGGTTAGAGCAGGACCAGGGGCAGCTGCCAGGTGCCCTGCCCGGCACTAGGGAAGAGTAGGGTGCTGAGCCCCCTGTGCCCTGCTCAGATGGGCAGTCGGGGGGATGAGCGGGTGGGAGCAGGCACTGCATCTGAAAGCAGTGGTGCCCTCCTCTAGCCCCTGTACTTGGGGCCACGGAAAGGGAAACAAGGCACCAGAGCAGCTCCCTTCCTTCCATAACAAGCCCCGCTTCCATGGGGCACAAAGATGTCCTAAGCCTCAAGCCCAGTCCTATAGAGGCCCCAAGGGATGGGCCCTTGTCCATGCCCCACACCCTCCCACTGAACTGCAAGCCATCCCACCAGCTGCAAAACACTGACTCTGTCCAGCCCATGTTTGCTCAGCAGCAGCCTGGCACCTATGCGTGGCTCCCCTAGCCTCTGGCTTCCAGACCCTCACCCCCAGGCTGGGCCCTACCCACCTTGCTGTTCTGAATGAGCCGAGTGAGGTGTTCAAAGCAATTGTTGCTGAGGAAGGTGGCTTGCAGCACTGGCCGGTCTTCACATGCCAGCATCATGGGGATGGCGTCTGTGGAAGGGTCAAGGGTCAGGCCCTGCCCAGACCCCTCTAGGCAGCCTTAAGCCTTCCTTCCTATGCTGCCCTATCCAGACCTTCCATCATCACTTAGGCTTTTCCCTCATGGTGCCCCTTCCCCAAGAGCCTGGGAGCCCATACCCACCGAGCATGCTGACCCGGAGGGTGACAAGGGCCTCTTCGGGGCCTGAGCTCAGACCAGCTGGCCAGTCAGCATTAAGGACATGGAAGTAGCTCTCAAGCAGGGCACGAAGCTCTGGGCCACGAGGAGGTGCGCGGCTGGCATGCAAGACATGGACTGCACCTACCAGTGCCTCTAGAGCCAGTGGCACTAGGCACGGGTCCGGGGCTGGCCCACGGCTCCAGCCCCGCACCACACTCAGCAGGCCCTTCACAGAGCCATCACTTACAGCCATCTGCCCGTTCTCCTGCAGGTGTGGACAGAGATGGGCAGTGGGCAAGGGGCTCACCCAGCAGAGAGATACTGAAAGAGCTGCTCTCTAGTCCACAGGCTCACCTCCCAGCCTACCTTTCCTCCAGCGAGGACGGCGCAGAAGAGGTGGATGAGACGTAACAGCAGTATGGGAGGCAAGTGGTCTGCATTCTGTAGGCTCTCTGGGTAGGGGGGTGTGGGCAGGGTAATGTCACCAAGGTTGCAGGGCTATGGACCCAGGGGGCTGCACAAGAGGTGAGTGCCCTGGGGTGGAGGGGAGAGGGAGCTGGGCCAAGTAAAAGATCCAGTGTGAGGGATAAGAGCTGGCTCTGCCCTGGGGGGCATCTAAGGAGTTATGGCTGTATAGTAGAGGGCCTGAAAGGGACAACCCTTCTTTGGGGGACTTAAGGGTGACAAAGACCAGCCCTGAGAGTCTAGCCAGCTTCCCAGATCCTTAAGCCCCAAAGTGAGGGCCCCAGCATGAGCACATACCCTTCCACTTCCCCATGATGACCAGGGCTTAGTTTCTCAGATGCAAATCTCTTGCTGCCTCTGCCCTGTGACGGTTGGTGCTTCCCATGCCGTGCTCTGGGGACTCTGCTGTATCTACTATACTGATGCCACCTCCCCCCACGCCCATGCCTTTGCCTGGGACTTCTAGGGGCTTTCACAACCTAATACGTAGGAGGCCCACCTGGCCCTGCGCCAGCAAAACTGGACAGGATGCCAGGCCAGGGACTGAAACTCAGAGGGCAGAAGGGACTAGCCCCGGGTCACATGCCTGGCAGAGGAGGAAGAGTAGGGCTGGGGCTTGATTCCGGCTGGATGGGTGGGAGGCCTCCTTGGGGATGGGGCTTTTGAGGGGAGACCTGAGAATGCAGTTGGAGGGGAGAAGGCACAGCATGGGCTAAGACCCTGAGGTGGGGTCAGTGGTAGCAGTCTGGGAATGAGAGGACAGAAGCCAGGCTGAGCAGCAGGGCAAGTGGAGAGAAAGGCTGTGGGAGGAGTAGGATTTCATCTTGAGGACGTCAGGTTGACATCAAGGGATATGATGGGAGGAGAAATGAAATCCAGTTTGTTTTAATAACAGCACCCAGGCTATGGGAAAATAAAGTCGAGGAGCTCCCTAGGGGTGCCTCCCCTCCTGGAGTTGCTGCCCCAACTCTAGATCCAGGCCCACAGCTCCATGGGGGCATCACTGAGACATTTAATATCCCAATAGGTCACCACCTTTTCACAGCCCTGCCCACCTCTGTCCAGGCCATATCCCACCCTGAGCCTATCTAAAGTCCTGGCCAGTCTCCCTCCAATGAGAGGAGAGAGGGGACCCAGGGGTGGAGGGTCACCAGGGAGAACAGGTTCACAGGACCACCTGTGAACAGGCAGCCACAGCTGTCCTGGGCACCAGATCCTCCAGCAGCCAGGGAACAGGAGGTGGAGATACCTCCTGTGTCTCCGGGATGGGTGGAGATGCGTGGAGGCTATGGGGACAAAGGGATTGGACCAGAGAGTTTTAAGATCACAGTAGGGTACAAGTGGCTAGAAGGATCCAGGAGATGGCGGGGAAAGAGGATGAGAAATCTGGGTAGGCAGGTTGACCCCACCCCTCCACCTGATGGGAGGCCCTCGCTCCAGCCCAAGATGTCTTCTCTTGTCTCTGTCCCTAAACTCTTGCTTGGTCTTTGGTTCTCCCAGTCCTGCATGCAGCCACCACCAAGTGGTTCCTGTGTATGGCAGGATCAAGGAACGACAGGAAGGGGCCTAGGTTTGGGGGTGGAGCCAAGTGGGGGCAGGGGCGGGGCCTGACCTTGGAAGAAGGCGCTGAATTCCTGGGGCAAAGCAGCAGGAGGGAACTTGTATTTGCTCTTCTCCTTGGAGCTGATGACTTCCCTGGGGGCAGTGAGGCCAAGTACATCAGCCCGGCTCTCACCACTCCTGGCCGTCACCCCTCCTTGGGCCCAGCGCGGCCATCCTCTCCCCACCCTCCTCTGGGTTCCCTTCCTGTGGGCTGGGTCTCACCCACTGCGCTGGCGCCGCCAGGTTTGGTAAGGGTCAAAGAGGCCCTCGCAGAGAAGCAGAGCATGTAGGGCCACATTCTCCAACTGCGTGCCTCGGCCCTGGGGTGGTGGGCATCCTTTCAGCTGTAGGTGTGGGGAGAGAGGGTTAGCCCCGCCATGGCTACCGCCTGCCTCCCTGCATACACCCTCTGCCCCCCAAGGTAGAGGCCACTTCACCTCCGCCACCAACTTGGTCAACAGTGCCAGCACTCGGGGCACTAGCACTTGGCCCCGGCCTGCCTCTATGTTCTCCAGGTTCCTGGGGGAGTCAATGATGAGAGAGGTCACAATAATACACCATGCCCCTCCTTGTCCCCTCTCCCTCTGGCCCACAGTTCTAGGCCCCTGCTTGTAGAGTGGACAACAGAGACACCTGCAGAGAATGATGAAGAGCTTGAGCAGCAGGAGGGCTTGCTCCAGGTCAGCCTGGTGCAGCTGTTCGGCCAGCACATGCAGCTCATCCAGTGGTAGCAGCGGGACCTCTGCACCTGCCTCCTCTGGCCTGCAAGGAAAGGGGAGACACGGGTGCTGAGGACCCCTCAATCTCCCTGCTCTGTCCCTGCCCTCAGTGCAGATCCAGCCTCACCTTCGTGGCTCCAGAGAGGACAGTGAGATGCTCTTCTTGAAGGCACCTACAAAGGCCTTCAGCCACTGCTGCAGGTAACCCAGGTCCTTCTGTAGGCAGAACAGGGGAACAGTGGTGGGGGGCAGGAGGGATGCAGTAAACAGGGCAGGGACAAGGG
The DNA here is from genome assembly GCF_000001405.40 of Homo sapiens. Classification (NCBI taxonomy): domain Eukaryota; kingdom Metazoa; phylum Chordata; class Mammalia; order Primates; family Hominidae; genus Homo; species Homo sapiens. The sequence continues at coordinate 46,988,600 of NC_000003.12, read as the reverse complement.
GATGTAGACAGAGGCGAAGAATGAATGGAGGTGGACAGAGGGCATGGACAAGGGGTTAAAGGCAGAGTGGAGGGTGTGGAGAAGGGGAGTGGGGGACGGGGGAGGGAGGGCAGGACATTGGAAGGTCAGCATCAGAGAGTTAGGTACATACTGACCACTTTTCCAGGCACCCCACTGCTTCTCTCAGCCTCCCAGTTTCTGCTCCCACCTCCCTAATGCCTGCAGTCCTAGGCAGGTCTGACACAGCCAGGGGAGGGGCGTAAGTGGGGTGTGGCTGTGGCCCACACTGGTGCTAGGGCTGGAGAAGGTGTCCCACACAGCAGCCACCCCCTACCAAGAGCCTTGGGCTGGGTCCTCATCTGCCATCTTCACCCAGCCCAGCAGCCACCACCTTCAGTAGCCTTCTTTAACTGTGGATCCCAGGACACACGTGTACCATTAGACAGGCAGACCCAGACATGCGCACATCCTCATGTGCGGCCCTGCCTTGCCCCGGGAACCTCCACCCACCCTTGCTGGTTACCTGGACCCCAGGCCCCAGAGCTGGTTCCATGGGCAAGAGGGGCAGTGGCTAAGCCCAGGTCTAGGCGCTGCCAGGAAAACTTTGGTGTGAACGGGAAATGTCTCCTCCCGCCCCGGGGCTGGGGCAGGAAGCGCAGAGTCACGGTGGGGGAGGGGGACCGCTTCCTCCCGGCAGACCGCAGGGATGTGGGGGGGCCGGGGCACCCTGGGCCCCAGTGAGAGAGGCTGCAAGCGACCTGGCCTGCACAGAGGGTGGGACCTGTTACAGAGGGGTGGAGTCACCTGTCCTGGGTGGGGCTTGTGGGCCAAGACTAGTTTTACAAGCATGAGGTTGGCGCCTGGAAGAGCTCTTATCCAGGTGAGGGTTCTGATCCTGCTGCTGCAGTACCCTTCACTTAAGGCACCCACAGCTCCCTGACCTGCGCGCAAGGCCTCAGGCCACAGGGGTCGATGTAGAAGACTCAGCCATACCTTTGTCCCGCCCCGCCGCCCGCCATGTCCTGGCCACCTCATCTGAACTCTGCAGTTCTCTTCGCTCAGGAACACAGCTGATAAATCCTAGCCTAGCCCGTATCTGCTCTAATCTCTAAGCCCCTCCCAGGGGCCAGGGGTGGGTTGTGGCTTATACAGGAGCTCCTCCAGGCTGGCCCCATATGGAGCTCCTAACCAGCTGAGTCCAAAAGGCAGCCTTCTTTCCTAGAGTCAGAGAGGTGGACAGGGGGAGCTAGAGTGGAAAAGGATGAAGAGGCAAGGGACACATCACAGTCAGCACTCAGCAGGCCTCAGGCTGCTCCCCAGGGGCCATGGGCCTCATACCCAAGGACCTCCAGAACTATCTTTGGATGGATGGCTAATTTTTGCAGCCTATGGGCCCAGACCACGGGCAAGGCCTGAATGGCCCCAGGGCAAGAGGCCTGACTGCAGCAGACCTGAGCCAGATCCCCAAAAAACCTAGGCAGAGCAGCCGTCCACCCTGTGATTGGGGAACTCCCTGGTACAGTTTAGTGCAGATCTGAAGCCCAGACAACTCAGAGAGGTGCCAGGGCCACCATGGTGCAGACCCACACAACCATGACATTTTGTCTGTCAGTTACATTTATTGACCTCTCCACCCTCTCCTGCTGGCAGCCTCCTCCCGAACAATCAGCAAGGAGCCCAAAATACCCAGATCCTGAGACAGCAGAGGTGGCCAGGGGCCCTGGACCATTTCTTCTGAACCTCTCCCATTGCAGATGGGGAAACAGGAGGCCCCACAGGGGATGCCTTATCTACTACTTTGTCTTCAGTGTACCTTTGAGGATGCTAAAAGCCAGACCTTAGTTCTAGGCCAGGACCACTCATGATTGCTAGCAAGCCAGCCCATGAGGACCATGCGGGCCCCGATCCTTGCCTCAGTGGCCCCACAGAGACCCCTAGCTGCCTTCAAAAATGTCCCAATACTGTCTTCCTCTCTTCTGCCCCTCAGTCAAGCTAGTCACTCAAAATGTGAGTCTTCCTGCCAGCTGCAGCTCTACTGAGCACCTGAAAGCCCAAATTTGACCGTGTCTAACCCCTCCCCATAAAGGCTCAACTGCTGAGCAGCATTCCAGGCTGCTGGTCCAACCAGAACCTGCTTCTCCAGCTTCCACCTCTCCCCCTCTGTGGTTCACATCCTCCTATCCAGGCCTTTTCCCACCCTATGCCCCACTGCCTTGTGTGACTTGGGCTTTTGGTACTTGAGCAGGAACCTCCCACCCTCCTGGTGGCCATCACCTTGATCAGCCTTCCCAGCACAGGGGTGGGTCCCTCAATCTCTACATACTCCTAGAGTATGTAGATAGTACTTTCTGTCCCTAGAACCACACCCTTGGCCTGTCCAGTCCTGTAAACTTTCAGCAGATTGGGCTGAGCTGGGTTCAGGGCTGGGACAATCAAGACAGCCTTCAGGGGCTCTGAAAGGGGATGACGAGGTCTCCAAAGCACAGTATTAGGCAGGGGTGGGGTGGCTGCCTGTCCTGCCTCCCTGGGTCTCACTGTTTCTCCCTGGAAGACCTCAGGCCAACTCTGACCTAGGCCCCATGGCTTGAGACTGCAATGTGTCGGGGTACGGGAGTCCCTCAGGGAGCCAGGGTCAGAGGGCAGAGAATGGCAGGGGACGAGAGCATGGTGGCAGTGCTGCATGTGAGGGTCCAGGGCCTGGGAGGAGTGGCCATGATGCTCAGGCTTCCCATGCCCCTCTCAGAGCTTCTGCCTTGGTCGGTTGTGCCAGCTCTGAGCAGGAACACGGGTCAGGGACAGTCCAGCCCCTTGCCCCAACCTAACTGGGTCAGGGCCCCAACCCTGTCCCCCACTGAAGGCAGGTCGGGAGCAGCCACACCTGCCAAGCCCTCTCCAGGGTCCATAGGTAAGTGATGCCCAGGTCCTGCAGCAGGGGAGAAGGTTGTGGGAATGTGGAAGGCCGGTGTCCCTGGGAAGAGGGGGTCTCATGTGCACCACCACAGAGACCCCAACTTATGCCCAACTAGCTGTGAGGGCACTTGAGAGTGCTGGGGGTGAGGGGCTCCCGAGGGCTGCTTAGGCTCAAACAGTCCCTGGGTGGGCATGGAACTGCCACTCCTCTGGAATTCTGAAGTAACCTGGAGGGCTGAGGGCTGGTGGTTGTGACATTGGTGGGGAGTACAGGGAGTACACCTTGTTTGCCAAGCTGACAGGGATCATTGAGCTGCCTGACACCATGCTGCTCCCAGACCCTGCCTGACGTACCCCAAGGCCATTGCACAATGGGCCTCGAGTAGACATCTGTCACCATCACGGCTTGATCAGCCAGTCACATGCCCTATCACAAGCTCACATCTGAGGCCCTGTAGGGTGGTGCCCACCTCACCTGCAGCCTCCATACCCCAAACCCGCTGGATGCCTGGGCCCAAGGGCGTGAATCACTGTCTCTACCCCCACAGGTCTGCCTGTGCTTTGCTCTTGTTTGCTCTGCTGGAATGCCCCCATCAGGGGCATCAGCACCCTTTGTAAGACCCATTCCTGTCTGGTGCCTCTCACCAACCGAATCAGGTGAGGGCATGGGTTCCGGAGTCCAGTCCCCGTTCTAACTCTCAGTAGCTTGTTACTTAACATTAACCTCTTTAAAACCATCCCTTTGCTTCTTGGGTAAAAGTTCTCCAGCCACACCTACCCAACTCGAGGTCAGGGTAAGGTGAGTGGAGTTCCAGATCCAGGGGCTCTGGCCTGCCCGAGCTCCCTGAATTCCAGGCAACAACCCCCAGCCCCCTCTGTGAGTGACAGTAAGAGGCATTAATGGACCCCAGGGAAGAGCTAGGAGCAGGAAGGGAGAGAAGAGCACAGCTCAAGAGTGGGTGACTCCTCTCAGTCAGAGCTGCCTGGGCGGTAGTGAGCACTCCATCTTCAGGGACAGACAAGCAGAAGTGGGACAGGGTGGTGTTTATGTGGAATAGCCTATCCCAGGCCTAGGGGGTCCCCCCATTCAGTATCAGGACGGGGAGGACAATGTCAAGCTAAACGTGACTTCTGGCTACATCACCAGGACTGGAGGTCAGGCTTGGAGGATGTTAGGCCATGGGATGAAGCAGGAAGATGGGACTTTGCTGGGGCAGGGACAACTGAGGATAGTGGTTTGAGTGCCTGGGTGGCTGGGCCAGTCTCTCCCACTTACCTGGAGAGGGGGTGCTGAAAGGGTGGACCTTCTGATCTCCATGACACCCACCCTGCCCCAGGGCCTGACCATCCCCTTGTACTATTGTTTTTTTTGTTTTTTTTTGAGACGGAGTCTCGCTCTGTCGCCGGCCCAGGCTGGAGTGCAGTGGCGCGATCTCAACTCACTGCAAGCTCCGCCTCCCAGGTTCACACCATTCTCCTGCCTCAGCCTCCTGAGTAGCTGGGACTACAGGCACTCGCCATCACGCCTGGCTAATTTTTTTTTTTTTTTTTTTTAGTAGAGATGGGGTTTCACTGTGTTAGCCAGGATGGTCTTGATCTCCTGACCTCGTGATCTGCCCGCCTCAGCCTCCCAAAGTGCTGGGATTACAGGCGTGAAACACCGCGCCTGGACACTATTTTTTTTTAAGCAAGGAAAGCATAGATTTATTGAAATGAAAGTACACTCCACAGAATGGAAGTAGGTTCAAGCAAGCGGCTCAAGAGCTGACCAATCCCTTTTACTATCACTAAGGAAAATGGGAATTTCCTTCTAGGGTCCCCATAGACCCCATGGTAACTGACCCTGTTTCTACGGGGACCCCACACTTCCCCATCAGCTCCCCAGTTGTCATAACAACTCCAGGAATCACCAGTGCCCACCCAAGCCTGGGCTGTGTGCTCATCTCCCTATCACTACAGGCCCTTCTCCTTCAGGTGCCTTGGTAATAGAGGCAGGGGACCAAGCACCAAAGAAGTGACTCCACCTTCCCTTTACCCATTTCAGGAAGGTAAACTGAAGCCCAAAAAGGATATGACCAGATAAAGCCAGGTGCGGTGGCTCACGCTTGTAATCCCAGCACTTTGGGAGGCTGAGGCGGGCAGATCACAAGGTCAGGAGTTTGAGAGCAGCCTAGCCAACATAGTGAAACCCCGTCTCTACTAAAAATACAAAAATTAGCCGGGTGTGGTGGCACACGCCTGTAGTCTGAGCTACTCGGGAGGCTGAGGTAGGAGAACTGCTTGAACCCGGGAGGCAGAGGTTGCAGTGAACTGAGACCATGCCATTGCACTCCAGCCTGGGTGACAGAGTGAGACTCTGTCTAAAAAAAAAAAAAAAAAGGAATATGACCAGGTAAAGTACCGGGGGAGTGGAGGGCCTGACCAGGTTTCTGAGAGGCAGTAGAGATCATCAGTTAGGGAGAGGGAACTCTCAGGGAAGTGTAGGCAGGACGAGGTTGCCTCCAGCCTGACCTAACCTCCCTGAACCCTTCTGAGGCCTCAGTGGCATAGCTGGACAGGTCAGCTTCTGCTCCCTCCTGTCACCTGAGGGTTTGTTCTGCCCTGAACTTTGTGACCCTGAGTGCCCTTCCACATTCAGTGCCCCCTCACTCTGTGACCCCATTCACTGGAGGGGTTGCTGAACATCACTGCTGCTCCGGCCTGAACAGGGGCCACTCATCTGCATGCTATGTGGCATTAACTTTTATGGGCTGCCCAACCGCCAGCCTGTCAGGTGCTGTCCCCAGTCCCCCAAGACTCTCCTGCCCTTCCTATGCCTACCCTGGGGGAGCTCTGGTGGGCTCTGAGTCCTCTAGATGAGCCCCCACCTGTCCACCAGGCCTGCTTGACTAGCTCTGCCCTGCCCCAACTCCTGACAATTTGCTTCTTGTCCCACTGCTCCTGCTGTTTCTTCCTCTCAGCCTTCAAAGCCCAAACTCAGCCTCCTCTGGGGTGACTTCCTGACTGGTCACTGCCATGGGACCCACCTCCTCTATCCAGTCATTCAGCTAATACCCAAGGAGCACCTACTGCATGTGAGGTCTGACAATCGTAGTAGGACCCTGCCTTGGTTTCCCCACCAGGGCCCTAAGGAGCTCCAACTGAGTGAAGTCCTGGGATGCTCTGACCCTTCCCTCTTCCCTCAGCAGCCACCCACAGCCCCCTCCCTCACTATGAGGCCCCCAGTTGAGCCGGGCCCCCAGGGGGAGGGGGTGGGTGGGTCTAAACCTGGGGTCTTTAAGGAAGAGGAAGGGCAGGAAGGAGTTACTCCCCCCTCTCCATCCCCACCCAGACCCACAACTGGGGAAACAGGTTTGCCAGCTGATGTCAGCTCTCACTGCTGAAGGGAGGGGTGCAGGTGTTGCTGGCTGGGTGGCTGGCCAACTAAAGGGTCTCTAAACACCCACTTTCAGCTCTGCCCCTTACCTTGCACTCCCCCTCCCCAAGCACACACACAATAGGTCCCTAACAGGACTCAAAGTTGCATAGCCTACTCCTCCCTGGATTGGGGGTTCCAGGATCAGGGTCAGGAGCAGGCGGGCAGGAAGGCGAGCTGGGAGGCTGGCCCTAGCTTCCTCTTCCCAGGCAGCCTGGCCCCGCCTGGCTTGGGGGTTTGCTGTTACATCCTGGATTTGTTTGCCTGGCCCCAGGCTGCCCACTGTCTGCTCAGGCTTCCAAAGCTACAACCTGCCAGCCTATGCTCCATACCTGCCCTGCGAGGTGAGGAGCTCCGGGAGGGGGAGGCTCAGCACAGATATGAGCCATAACCACCTCCTGAGGGGATGGGGGGTGGCCATGTACAGAGCTCAGCTAGATGGGGCATCAGGAGGCAACCATGCTGGAGTTACTGTCCTGGGAGATACCAAGACACTCCCAGCAGCCTGCCACCCAGGCTGAAGACCTATCATTAACATCCCTCACACTCACCAGCTGGTTTAAGCCCCCTTTACCTGCCCATGCACCTAGAGCCTGCCCATAGCTATGGGGCAGTCCGAGGAAGGAGGACTAGGGTAGGCTTCTCTTCAAACCCTCTGCTCCTTCACAACCACTGGGGATGCAGGCAGAGAAGCTGGGGCGAGGGGACCCAATGGGGCCAGGAAAACAGGAGCCTTCTCTGGTCTGGACCAGCTATAATGGCTACCTCTCCACAGAGTCCAGGAAGCCCCTGAGGTCAGGGCTGTGTCAGTTTTTTATTTTTATTTTATTTTTTTGAGACGGAGTCTCACTCTGTCACCAGGCTGGAGTGCAGTGGCGCGATCTCGGCTCACTGCAACCTCTGCCTCCCTGGTTCAAGCGATTCTCCTGCCTCAGCCTCCCGAGTAGCTGGGATTACAGGCACACCCCACCACGCCCGGCTAATTTTTGTATTTTAGTAGAGATGGGGTTTCACCATGTTGGCCAGGATGGTCTCGATCTCCTGACCTTGTGATCTGCCCGCCTCGGCCTCCCAAAGTGCTGGGATTACAGGTGTGAGCCACCGTGCCCGGCCAGGGCTGTGTCAGTTTTACAGGCAGGAAGCAGAGGCTCAGAAGTCGAGTTCGATCTGAGTTATACCAAAGAGGGACTCTACTCCATGCCTGGCCTCCTGCTGGGGCCTGGACCTCTCACAACCTGAGCGGACTGAAGAGGCTGTGGTCCTTCTGGCCTGGACTCCAGGTCCGTGGAAGACAGTGGGCCAGCCTCCTTATGGAGGGCCAGCGTGTCTGAGCATGAATTCCCCCCACTGACAAACTGTTCAGGGCACACAATGGTCCATTGTGCCCAGGGCACACCTGAGCCAGGAGCATGATGCCAGGCAGGTGCAGGGAGGGAGGTGCTGGGTGAAGGGGAGGGGAGTGTTACCCTGGGATCCCTCCCTGCTGTGGGTACAGAAGGAAAATGGGGGACTATGTGTGTGAGACGGTGTGAGTGATACCAGGTTCTCAGCTGATGGGACACCCACGTCTGAGTCACTCCCCTCACCTTCTGACTCCACCTGAAGTATTTTCTGAGATGGGTGGGGAGCTCAGGAGGAACGGGCCTCCCTCCAACCTTTTCAGACATCCCTCAGGGCCTCAAGGACCCACCCTCACCCTGGGCATCCAGAGGAAAACCTTTTCTTCTGCTCCTAGAGAGGTCCTGGGTCTACCCCTCAGAATGGGGGTGGGGTGGGGTGGGTCATTTCAAGTCAGGGAAGAGCTTATCACAGCCTGTTCGCTGGGGTGTGGGGGGATGCAACTCAAGAAGGACCTGAAGTGGGAGCATTCCCCTTCCACACACCTCCCTACCTTGGCCCACACCCCCAGACCCGTTGGCCACGACCACCCAATCAGGCCGCGCCCAAGGGAGAGGCAGCTCATAGACAAATTGAGTCCCCCTCCCCCTAGCCTCCTGGCCAGTCTCCAGGTCTCTCCAGGTCTCAGTTTCCCCATTTGTAAAAAGGCCAAGTGTCCGGCCGCCTCGGCCCAGGCCACTCTCCTCTAGCAAGAAAGACTCAGGCTGCACGGTCCTGCTCGCGGGGGTGGGTTGCTATGAAGTGCACGACCGCGAGCTCTGTCCCCAAGGCATAAGTGCCAGAGGCACCCGGCGGGCTGGGGGCACACACGTGTGTGCGGAGCCGGAGCATGCCCTGCGCGCGCGCGCCCGCGCGCGCGGCTACGCGGCCCCAGCGGCGCGGGGCGCCAGGTGCAGCAGGCGCGGGGCGCGCGAAGCTGGGGGCACCGCGGGTGCGGGTGCGGGCGCGGGGCGGGGCGGGCTCACCTGCGCGTAGTAGAGCAGCCACAACTCGTACAGCCGCTCCGAGGCGGCCATGGCCCGGCCCGGCTCCGGCCCTGCTGCGCGCCACCTGTCGCCGCCTCCTCCGCGCCGCCCGCCGGTTGCCCTCGGCCAGGCCCATGGGCGGAGGGCGTCACTCCGGGGCGGAGCGGCGCGGTACTACTGGGGAAGTCTGCGGCTGTGGCCTCCGCGGCGCAGAGC